>NC_000002.12:87192994-87498377 GCF_000001405.40 Homo sapiens
CTCATCTGTGGTTTAACAAGCCTTCCAGGTGATTCTGGCACATGTTAAAGTTTGAGGACCCCTGGCCAAGACTAGTAAGGATCTAGTTCTGGAGCTGAAGTCAGTCCCATCAAATATAATATATGGTGGAGGGTAGGGTGCGACAAGGGGTATTTCGGGGAGACAACCACAGTGACCACTGCACCTTTATAGCACTCATCACAATTTGTAATTATGCATTTGTTTGTGTCATTATTTGTGTAATATCTGTCTCCCCCAACAACACTCTAAACTCTACAATGACAGGGACTCAGTCTAGCTTGTCAGAGTAGCCTCAATACCGGCTATAGAACCTGCTTTATATATGCTGAGCGTTCAATAAGTTCTTGATGAAAAAGTAATAGAAGATATTTCTTGTGCCTCTCAGTTCTGTCATCAGTTGGTTCCGTTCCATTTGTTTCTCTCACAGTCGGGGGTGATATGTGTGTGCACGCCTACCTCAGCGGGCAGCCCTTGGAGGAATCACAGCTGAGCATGCTGGCCTGCTTCCTCGTCTACCACTCTGTGCCAGCTCCACAGCACCTGCCACCTATAGGACTAGAAGGTAATTGCATATCTAAGTCTTATCTTCAGTACCTCTGTTACCTACCCCTTTACGTTCTAGTTTCTCAGTAGTTACTGCCCCTAGTTTGACTTTCCTCTTCATTAATGTTGCAGTGTCATTGTTAGGGACTGTTTTGGAGCAAAAAAGAAAAAATTATCAACTTTATATATGAATAACTTTCATTTTTATTCAGAAAAGGATGGATTCTTCTTCACAGAGCCCCAAACACTGATCTATACTAATAAACTAAATATTCCATATTATTCTTTACTAATTGATTTTTTTATTAAAGCTATTTTTCTTTATTTTCTAGGTTTTCAGTTGGGTTTTTTAGAATCACATATAATCTTAATTTCTAATATTACAAAGCTTTACAACTAATAAATACCTAATTTTGTGTTTGAATTTTTTTATAATAGTTTTAAAAATTAATAGTATTATCACCTGATTGTATTTTTCAGAATACAGAAACAGATAAAAAAAATTTATCCATTAAGCTGAATACTAAGATATGATGAATTCTAAGCACCCAATTTTTCTGAGATTCTCAAAAAAAATATTTTCTGATAAGGGCAAAGATTGTTCCATTTAATCATTTAAACTTGAAGTTTAATTACATTACTAGTTTTTTGCTGTTTTGCAAGCCTCTGATAAAAGTTTACTATCTAGAGACTTCTGGTTATGGCCATGATGGAATTGCTTGTATTGGACTCACTTGCCCTCAAAAACAAATATAAAAGCTAAAAAAAAAAAAAATAAGAAAAGGGAAGTACAACAGGGAGAGCTTTATATTCACCCTAGCTTCTCCCCCAAAGGCATTTGCCAGTTCATAGTACAAGAAGTAGAGTGCCAGCAAAAAGCAGCAATGCTGCAGGGCTGAGGAGCCAGAGGTTGGGTTTGTGATTGCCCAAGAGCCTAGAACTTGAGGAACACAGTCTCAGGCAGGAGAGAACGATAGAAATCATAACTCAGACTCTGGATATACCTTTCCCTTGAGTTACTTAATGATATTTTAGCCTTCATATACATGGGATAAGACTTCAAGAGATCTAGCAGAAGCCACAAGGCCAAAAATGTAAGCAAAAATGTCAGCAGCAGCATAGGACTGAGGAGACAAAGGGTGGAATTCAACGCTTGTTAAAGTGAAGTGGCTCTGATCAGCATCCCAGCTCCTCAGGTGAATTAATACATGGCCAAGCCCTAAGCCTGCTCTAGCCTAATTTTAGATCTGGTCTGCTTCAGTTTCACTCCAAGCAGACTTGACCTACAATTAGCCTAGAGCAGAACTAAGGTGATCTGTGTGCTTTCTCCCCACCTGACAGAAGAAAATGTAACCTTCATAGGAGAAAGAAAACATACCCAGAGCCCCCACAATTTTTAGTCTACAGGATTCAGTGTTGAATCAAAAATTATGAAACATAATAATAATAAAAAAACAGATAATAGAAACAGACTTATGTGTGATTCAGATATTGGAGTTATCATACTGGAACTTAAAATAACTATGTCTAATGTTTCCAGGAAAATAGAAGGAATGATAGGGAATTTCACCAGAAACCTGGGGTCAATAAAAAAGAGTTAAATGGAAATTCTAGAACTGAAAAATATAGTAACTGAAATGAAGATCTCAGTATTGGATTATTTGAAGTGAACTGGAAGACACTTATCTGCTGGAAGACAAGTAGAAAGTAAACAAACTGAAGCACAGAGGGAAGAATGGTTAGGAAATACAGAGAAGAGTACAAGAGACATGTGGAAACCGTGAAAAAAAAAATAAACATGCATGGGGTTGGAATAAGAGAATAAGAGGAGAGAAAAAATGAGTTAGAAGCAATATTTGAAGAGACAGAAGCTAAGAATTTTGAAAAATGGTGTTAAATATTAACCCACAGTGAACCCTAAGCAGGATAAATACAAAGAAAACCATACCTAGTCACATTAATAGTCAAACTACTAAAAGGAAAAGGAAGACATTTTAAAAGTATAGACTTCTTTTCAGGCCAGGCTGGACAAACAGGGTTGTTCAATGGTCAACTGTATTAGAACCAGTAAAATACCACTTAGATAGTATTTGAAGGTAGACAGGCACTTTTGCACATTATATTTAAAGAATTTATATATATATATATATATATATATATAAAATTAAACAATATTAGTAGTTTCACATGTAGTTATAGGTCACTTTCTGAAGTCTAGAATGGGTAAATTCTATCAAATCATATACAGGTTTGAGTATCCTTAATCTGAAATCTGAAGTGTTTGAAATCGAAAACGTTTTGAGCACCAACATGATGCTCAGAGGAAATGTTCATTACAGCATTTTGGATTTGGGATTTTTGGATTAAGAATGCTCAGCCGAGGCTGGGCGCAGTGGCTCATGCCTGTAATCCCAGCACTTTGGGAGGCCGAGGCCGGCGGATCACGAGGTCAGGAGATCGAGACCATCCTGGCTAACACGTTGAAACCCCATCTCTACTAAAAATACAAAAAAAATTAGCTGGGCGTGGTGGTGGGCACCTGTAGTCCCAGCTACTCGGGGGGCTGAGGCAGGAGAATGGGTGAACCCAGGAGGTGGAGTTTGCAGTGAGCCGAGAGAGCGCCACTGCACTCCAGCCCCGGTGGCAAAGTGAGACTTCGTCTCCAAAAAAAAAAAGAATTCTCAGCCAGTAGGTGTAATGCAGATATTCCAAAATCTAAAAAAATCCAGAATCCAAAACACCTCTCTCTTCGGAAGCATTTTGGAAAAGGGATACTCAATTTACATTACAGTGTATTAAGGAATTTCATAATTTTAAATATTGTCTTTGCATAGTCATTTTCAAAGGGAAAAATGCCTGTTTTAAACATGATTGTGTTTCTGAAGCTTCCTTGAAAGGAGAGGTATGGCTGAATTTATTTAGAGATGTGACCTTCCCACCCCATTTCCATTTTAGGGAGCACAAGCTTTGCTGAACTGCTCTTCAAATTTAAGCAGCTAAAAATGCCAGTGCGAGCTTTGCTGAGATTGGCTCCTTTGCTTCTTGGAAATCCACAGCCAATGGTGATGTGACCGTGTCTGGCGGTGAACCTACCCTGAAACGTGACTTCTGCACAAAAAACGTGACCAAACATCAAAGCTAAAGCAATGTTTATAAAGTTTTATGGTATAACTAGGGGGAAATGAGCTGCACAAACCTCAATGTATTTTAAATCTGTTGCTGTCATCATTAACGGTATATGACATATAAAAGCAAGTTAAAATTTACTTTTGTAAATAAAGTTTTTGGTTTGTTTCCAAAACTCTTGATGATTGCTTTAGTTTTGGACTTAGAGAATAGAGCAGGGGTTGCTGGAGTGAATATTGATTTTTAAAGTCTTTGAACTGTGGTGGTATAGGTGAAGTGACTAAGCCCAAAAATGCCAAGTTTTAAAAGAAGCTATGTCATAAAGTTTTACTTTCTGTGGCAAAAGAGCGCTTTAGCATTTCCTCAGATGTCACAGTTGTCCTGTCTAAAATAAGTTTGTACTTCTGGTGACAATGCCAGACACTCTTATGATGTGATCACCTTAAACAGGAGAAGGAGATTTTTGCCCTCAGTTGCTCAACATGAAGTACTGTGGACTGAATTGTGTCCTCCCAGAATTATATATTGAGGCCCTAATCCCTGTGTGACTGTATTAGGCAATAGGGCATATAGGAGATTACTAAGGTTAAGTGAGGTCATCATAAGGGTGGGGCCTTAATTCAGTAGAATTGGTGGCCTCCTAAGCAGAGGAAGAGAGATTTTTCTTTCTCTCTCTGCCATGTGAAGACAGTGAGGAGTCGGCCGTCTGCAAGCCAAGAAGAGCCCTTATCAGGAACAGACTTGGCTAGCACCTTGATCGTGGACCTCCAGCCTCCAAAATTGCGAGAAAATACATTTCCGTCGTTGAAACCACCCAGTCTGTGGTATTTTGTTATGGCAGCCCAGGCAGACTAATACGTGAAGCCTGCTCTAAATAGATAAAATAAGAAATTACTACAGAGGGCTCTTTAGAAATTGTATTTAAAAACAAGACAATCCATATTTACCTAAGATTTACAGAACGTATGTCTGTAAAAGGAGGGATTTCTGGACTAGATGATGGTGAAAAATGTTCATATAAAGGCACCTCCAGCTTCGAGTTGCCAACACAGGAGGAAGAATGCTCCCTGCTGTTCAGATGCTGATATGTGTCCTGTGCTTCCTGGATGGCCAGTGGGATCATAAGCTGGTAGAAGCAAGATCTTCATCCACTGACTTCATATTTCTTCCACATCCTGAACTGTGGTGTTTGACTTTAAAAATAAATTAAAGCAAATAGAAATGTTTCCATTGAGATTTTGGCAAAAACCCACATGACATTTGCGTCTGCAGAGTAGACTTGGAAGGCATGCACCTGGAGGCCAAGTGGTATTCTCTGGACTCTCTGTCCTTGCATTTGCGTGGCTGCCCCGAGGACTCCCTTCTTCCTGGATGTGAAGCAGAGGCACGGTGGGGCTGACTGAGAGGCTGAAATGTGCTTCTCTTCACAGTTACATAGTTTTCTTCTAATTAAAAATAAATTTTAAGTGGTAGATTATGAAAATTCCATTTGAATCAAGATTTTAAAAATTCAATATCAAACCAGTTGTTACTGTCTTCACTCTCCGTTGTTTACGATTGTGTGCTTTTCCCTGAATAAAGAATGACTGGAGAGACATTAGTTGTTTGCACACATATTAACTCATACCTAAGGGAGAACAGCTTTTAGAACATTGTCGATGAAAGCAAATATCAGCTTTAAAAGAGAGAGGACAGAAAGACTGCAGATGGTCTGGAAGCAGCATTTTTAGGCCATCTGATTAGCTAGCAGGGAGCAAAGGGGAGGCTGGGAAGTCAGCCCTTGAGTAGGCCTGCTGGATCATCAAATAAATCAATTGCAGCTATTTTTGGGGCCTCAAAAAATCCTGAGGGTATGGCTCTCACCATCCAGAACCTGCAGCCTCCTTAGAGCCATGGCTCAAAGGGAAGTGCTGCAGAAAAACATTTGGCTGTTAAGTGTTTTGGCCCAAAAATAGCACACATCATTTCCTGTTAAAGCCTGTTGGCCCGAAGTAGTCACACTGCTCTACCTCATGTGCCCAGGACTGGGAGGAGAGGCAGACGCTGGTGAGGATCTTATGCCAGTTACATCATGGTTCCTAACTTACTAATTCCCTGTGCCCATCTTTTCTACTTAGATAGATAGAAATAGGTATCATCGCTTCCATAGACATAATTAAAGAAACCATACAATTTACACATACACTCAGAGTGGTGGTTCTTTCCCCAGTAGACGCTGACATCTGCGTTCCTCCCTTGCAGGTCTTCTGAAGGACCTAGCAGGAGACTCAGGTTGAAACCCTACAGAACCTCGCCGTGTGCCGCCGAGTCTTCCTTGAATAAGGCCATTTTCTCACCCTTTGTCTAGTAACTAGCTGACTCCACAGCTCATGGTAAGGGGCATGTCTCAGCTCAGGGGGTCTCCTGACATCCCAGAGGAAGCAATAAGGTGGGGGTCTTTCATCTCTCAGCCTGATGATCTGTGCACACCCACTTGGTGGGAGGCCAGGGTGCCTGTGGGCAGATGGGTCAGAGTGTGGGCCAGGATTTGGAGTAGAAGCCAGAGCATGTGAAAATCCAAACCAGGAAGACTTCGTTGCCTCCCGCATGCGGGGTTGAAGGCCTCTCTTCTGTGGTCTCCCATCCTCATGCTGATCAAATTGGGGGGGAATGTCTCACTGTGTGAGGATCACCCCAATTAAGCTGTGGGGGAGGACACAGAATCTGATCCCCTCTGTATCCTTAGCGCATGCTACCTCCAGCCACCAGGGGAAAGAAGCAGAGGTGAGGTGGGAGAGGTGGCCACTCTGGACGGTGTAACTGGGCTGGCTGCCTCTCAGCGCCCACGAGCACCCCACAGATATCCACGCTAGTGTACAAAGGTTCCCAAGTGGTGGCCTTTTCCTGCTTCCAAGGGCTGCCCGGGTTCCCCCCTCTCTGAAATAGATTGGTTGCTTCTCATTACATCACAAGCTGCAGAAAAAAAATTTAAATAAAAAGCCTCTACAGCTGTGTCCTTAACTCTTACCTGTGGATAAGGATGGACTTGCCTGCCCAACATCCTCTATCTTATGTCTTTGGGTGAAAGGGAAGCTGGAATGGGCAGTAGGGGCTGCTTGGGGCAGTCAGGACCTTCAGGCTTCAGGCAAGGAGACCCACTGATCAGACACCTGCATCAAATATTGGTGCTGACAGATCCCTTAGATGGCACCGGTCCTGCCCCTCCTACAGTGAGATCCCTGTGGCTCAGGGAGGGAGGTTGACTGCCCCAAAGCACCCATCACAACCCTAATGAAGCTGACTTTCAACCACACTTCCTATACTCCACCCTGAACCGGGTCCAGTACTGCCTGCATTCCCAGTCCAGCAGACTCTTAGGAGAAAGCAGTGATTAAATGTAAGTTAAAAGGACTTGGCACCAGGAAGAGTTTATGAACACATTTGAGAAGCAGACATACTAACTCTTCTTTACACCTTTGGAAAAGCAAAGGCTTTGTGTAATTGGAATTTGATTAACTGAATTAATCTATGTGTTGCTTTCTTGGTCACATTATAACAACCACCTTAATCTACATTTTTTTCTCATAGCTAAAAAGATTTATTCCTATTTCATATGGTACATTATTATATGAAATCTTAAAATAAGTTATTGATTGATTGAAGCAGAGTCTCCCTCTGTTGCCCAGGCTGGCATCAGTGACATGACCATAGCTCACTCCAGCTCACTGCAGGCTCAACTTTCTGGGTTCAAGCGATCCTCCTGCCTCAGCCTCCTGAGTAAATGGGACTACAGGTGCATACCACCACACCCAGCTAAATTTTTAAAATTTTTGTAGAGATGAAGTATTGCTATGGTGCCGTCTGGTCTCAGACTCCTGGCCTCAGGTGATTCTCCTGCCTTGGCCTCCCAAAGTGCTAGGATTACAGGTATGAGCCACTGCACCCAGCCTAAAATAAAATTTTTATACTAAATTCAATAAAATATATAAATAACTGGAAAGTCTTAATTCTCAGTGCTTGCCTTGTCTCTGTAGTTAAGGGACCTGTCACACTCAGGCACTCTTCCTTGTGATGCTGTAGGCCATGTGCTTTAAGAACTCAGGCACACTAGCTCATTAGGGGAGCTTAACATAAGGATGGAGGTTGGAAGCTAGTTGGTGCCACTCGTGTTTCTTTCATTTGTCTTACGTTCGTTTTTGTGCATATCAAGAATATTTTAGACCAGGCGTGGTGGCTCACGCCTGTAATCCCAGCACTTTGGAAGGCCAAGGTGGGCGGATCACCTGAGGTCAGGAGTTTGGGACCAGCCTGGCCAACATGGCAAAACCCCGTCTCTACTAAAATATATATATATATATATATATATATATATATATATATATAAATTAGCCAGGTGTGGTGGCACATGCCTGTAATCCCAGCTACTCGGGAGGCTAAGGCAGGAGAATCACTTGAACCAGGGAGGCAGAGATTGCAGTGAGCCGAGATCATGCCATTGCACTTCAGCCTGGGTGACAGAGGAAGACTCCATCTCAAAAAATAAGAATATTGTAAGTGCTGCTTACTGTACCAATTCAGAAATTAGGGCAGTTTCATCAGCTGGAAATGTGGATAAATGTATGCAACTCTAAAGTTGAAGGAAGATGCGTTAGCAAATCCATCATGGTTAGCATCCCTAGCTGCCATCTGCCTGCCCCGTTGGATCTAGAGAAGATGAGGTCAAACCTTTCTCACTCCATGTTCTATGCAAATTTCTGCAAATCCACAGAGCAGGGTGTAGGTGCTGTCTCCAATGTCACTTCCCTCCAAACTCCCTGCTCTGTTGCACTAATTCATTTGTGGTTCATCTCACTGTGCCCCATGCGTGGGCTGAATGTCAGTCAGCTTGGCATCTTCACTGCCTCCTTTTGTCTCTCCTTAGCTTCCAGCTGTTTTCCCTATGTAGTGTCAGATGAGAGTCTTCCAGTGGGAGATGCCCATGCAGGGCCTGGAGGATAGAGGAGGAGGTGAAGCCTTTACTCTCCTGCACTGGCTACAGCAGACACAGGGCAGATGGCATACTCCTGACTGCAGGAAGCTAATACCAGCTGTGGCAGGTGTCACCACTCCTGAGTTTCTGGAAGTTTACAGGAGCTTCTCTGTCCTCTGCTTCCTTCATTTTCCTGTTTGGATCTCTGAGCAAAATCCATGACCCCTTGAGGGATGCAATGCTCAGATGTAAAGTCGTCCCCATCCTCGAGTCCCACCAAAACCACCCACTGCCACTCAGGGACTAGGCTTTGCTTCTAGAATTTCTAGCCCTCTGGTTACCTCCTCTGAGCTCCCAGTGCTGTTCACTTTTCCATTCTCAAATCCTCAGTTGTTCTCTAAAATGCCAGAATTTCTTTGCAATTTCCTAACCCCTGAACAAACTCACCTGGGTGGCACCAATCTCAAAGCTGCAGCAGTGGGTCTCACTATGCTTTCAGTACAACCTTACATAAGTTCAGAGAAAGCCTGGACTGAGGAAATGAAAACCTGCCCTGCTGCTCATCAGGCTGGTGATTCTTTATCCAATCCACTGGTGGTGAGCCCGTGGGTTGATTCCATGTCTCTGCTATTGTGAATAGTGCTGGGATGAACACGTGAGTGCACGTGTCTTTTTGATAGAACAATTTATTTTCTGTTAGATAGATATACTCAGTAATGGGATTGCTGGGTCACATGGCAGTTCTCTTTTACGTTCTCTGAGAAATCTCCACACTGCTTTCCACAGTGGCTGAACTAATTGACACTCTCACCAGCAGTGTGTAAGTGATCCCTTTTCTCTGCAGCCTTCCCAGCATGTGTCATTGTTTTACTTTTTTAAAAAACAATAGCCATTCTAACTGGGGTGAGATGGTCTTTCATTGTGGTTTTGGTTTGTATTTCTCTGATGATTAGTGATTAGTGATATTGAGAATATTTTCGTGTTTGTTGACTGCTTGTATGTCTTCTTTTAGAAGTGTCTGTGCGTGTCCTTTGCCCACTTTTTAATGGAGTTGTTTTTTGCTTGTTGATTTAAGTTCACTGCTTCTTTGTTGTGGGAGGGGGAAGGCGGGGATGGGCGGGAGCTACAAGAAAAGAGGCATCCCCTCAGACACTGGGTTAAAGAAGGAAGAGGCTCTATTCAGCTGGGAGCATTGGCAGACTTGCGTCTCAAGAACCGAGCTCTCTGAAGAAAGAGTTCCTGGCCCTTTTAAGGGCTTACAACTCTAAGGGGTCCACGTGAAAGGGTCATGATAGATTAAGATCTATAGATAGCACATGTGGTTAGAGTGCGGGGTTAATCTTTTTCAGCTTTTACTTCCTCCTTCTCTTCAGAGACAGGAGACAGTAAGAGAAATGGCCTCTCTCCTCATTCCCCCCTTTGAGAACCTCACTCACTAGTGGGAGTTCTCACTTTCATCTTCACTATCCAGGTCTTCCTGAGAGACAGCTGAGGTCTTTTGATGAACTAAGGTGGTAACGGAGCCTCTTAGTGACTGGAGAAATATGGGTAATGTACAGGGGAGTAACATGCAGGTTCCTAATACTATTATTATTCCTATTATAAGAGTTTTAAATCCTCCTAGAGCTGGAAACCATTTTCCAAACAGGAATCCAGGATCAAGCCTATGCCAAACCTGCACGGGCACATGTGCCAGCTTTGTCATGTCTCTAACTATCCTCATGCTTCGGCTATGCATGGACCAGTCAGCTTCTGAGTGTGACTGGAGCAGGGCTTGTCGTCTTCTTCAGAGTCACTATGCAGGTGTTGTCCGGGCTTGGTCTCGCCTCCCAAGTCTCAGTTGGCCGGGAGCGTCCGCAGACTTGTGTCTCAAGAACTGAGCTCTCATCTTTTCCTTGAATGACCTGAGAGACTTTGTTAACATTTGTGGCCTTCTGAGCTCCCTTCTTTAACCCTTCCAGAAGGGCTTCCCTGTATGGGTTTAGCCTTTGCATACCCTGTCTTTCATTTGGGTCCCAGTGGGGGTCTGTTCCTGGTAATTGGATCCTCACATACTTTTGGGGGTTTTGGTAATCAGCTGGAACATGTTCTTCCACCCACTTAGTTGCTGCTTGGAGCACTCTCCTTTCATCTGTGTTAAAGAGGTACATGAGCAACTGGTGGCAATCAGCTCAGGTGGGGTTGTGGGTCTGGATAATAGTTTGGAGCAAACCAATTATAGCTTGAGGCTTTTCAGTATAGGATGGGGTATTGTTTTTCAGTATAGGATGGGGTATTGTTTTTCCAATTGAGGAGATCGACAGAGGTGAAGGGTTTGTACACAAAGGCATGCCTTTCCACTATATGCCCATCCTCATCTACCCAGTATACTGTTGCTTTCTCATGGGCATTTGTATCCCAGTTCTAGGCCTCAAATGGGCTGCCAAGGGAGGGGTTTCTCCTGAGGTCTCACATCCTGTCTTTTCTACCCTGGGTGGCCTAGGGGTATGTAGGCCTTGGGAAGCTCAGGCGCAGTGGCCTCAGGAGTGGGAGGCCTTCATTCTTGGTGAAACGGGGGGCCACTGGTGCCATTTCTTGCCATGAATCTTCTGATGTTGGGTCGGACAGGACTTCAGGAGCTGACTCCCCTCAGCGGGTGGAGCAGGATTCTTCTTTGGCTGTCTGTCCCTTTGCTACTAGTACTGCTGCTGCCTGTCCTCTTAACGACTGTGGGGGGTCTAAAACCAGCTGTAACCAAGTGTCTATGTACGGAAACTGGTCTGGGTGTCCTGGCTTACCAGTTACCTTGTGCCATACCTTTGAAACAAGGGGCCAGTCTAGGCTTCCTTCTGATGGCCAACCTACTTCTAATGCTGGCCAGTCTATCTCACACAAAGTTCTAAGTTTTCCTGGTGTCATAGTAACTCCATAGTCCCCATTAAATCCTTTCTTGAAATTTTTCAACATAGTTCCTAGTGGAGTGGGCTTACTTTGCGTTCCACCCATCTTCCTCCTGAGACAAAACAACACTCACACCACAAGAAGGAAAGTCTGAAGGGGTCACTCACTCATCTTGCCTGTCTCAAACTCAAGCACTCATTCACTTTCACTTTCCTTTTTGCAAACAAGTTAAGCCAAATCAAAATCAATATTGAGATCAAAGTGCCAATTGCAATCAAGTCAAGTCAAATCAAAATCAATACTGAGATCAAAGTGCTGATAAGGGCACATTGTGGGTGATCAGGCGACACTTCCACTCAAATGGAGCGGGCAAATTCCCAGGACTGGTCCTACTGTATTCCAGATGTCCAGACTCCAAGTGCCGGTTCCTTCCCGGTGTTCAGCTGCTGCATTGATCCTCCATGGGGCCCTGCCGTGCACTGCTGTGATGAGGCATTCCACCAGGGCAAATGCCTACCCGGCAGTGCTCTCAGGATCTGCATTGCTCAAGCTGGCTGGAGTCCCCCACAGGGATGCTCCGCAGGGCAGGCCAAAGCTGCCTAAGGGGCTCCCTCAACTGTCCATTAATCACCTCACTTCTGGGTCAGGGAACCAAGAAATGTAGCAGGACAAGCCGCAGACAAAACCCCTCAGACACCGGGTTAAAGAAGGAAGAGGCTTTATTCAGCCGGGAGCATTGGCCGACTTGTGTCTCAAGAACTGAGCTCTCATCTTTTCCTTGAATGACCTCAAAGACTTTGTTAACATTTGTGGCCGTCTGAGCTCCCTTCTTTAACCAGGTGTCTGAGGGGTTTTGTCTGCAGCTCGTCCTGCTACAGTGACACTTAGCCTCAGTCTCATTTCCAGTAGGGTCAAACTGATGACCTGACATACTTATTTTCTGTGCTCTCAGCTGTGTCTAAATATCCCTGTGAACCACTATAAATTCATGGGCAATCAAGCGTGGCCCAAAAATATGACCAGAGTGGCGCAAACCTGCCTACAATAGCCCTTGAAGCTGATTGAGGCAGTGCCTAGATGCCCTGCAAGAAGGCTGGTGACACCTACCCCTGTCTGAGGCATCTTCCTCATGTCTGGTAGATGCTCTCTTCCTGCTCCTCCCCCATTGTCCCTGGGGCTCCTCAAGGCTCTCGAGGCAGCCACTGATGGCCAGGTTCTCTGTGGGAGTTGGCTCTCCTGTCAGCCCTCCTTCCTTCTCTCTTTTGCCCACATTCCCTCCTCTCCTGTCTTCCCCCAAAATTCAAAAACTGTTTTTATTCCTGCTGCATCCCCAATCATTCATCTGGAGACTCACAGGTGGTCCCTTCCCCATCCCCTGAGACTCCTTGGGAGAAGATAGTTCAGGATCCGAGACTTGGTCTAGTACAGGAATGAGTGATAGCCACCCTGAGTGAGTGCCTTCATGGCTCTCTGGAGTTCCAGGCCCTTGAAGCGGAGCTTACACTTACCCAGAGTGCAGCCCATGACAGTGTGAAAGAGCACTGGCTGTAGCCAAGCGTTAGGGACCAAATGCTTCCAAGATTCCAGAGCGTTGGTCTAGATTCACTGATGTCATCACATCATTCCACGAGGAATGGCTCTTTGGTTTATAAAAGGCACTCAAGGAAAAGGCCATGAGCCTCACAGGGAAGGGGGTTAGTGTCCCAGCCCGAATGCTGGAGTCACCTGCTCTTACCCCAACATGACCTTCACGTGGGGCCTCATCTTGTGTTCAATCAAATCCATTAATGATTTCAAATGAAAATGTTACATTCACATAGCAGAAAATTGAGAATATGCAAAATTAAAAGTTGATTAACCTCTCATCTATACTACAAAGTTACAAATATTGTTTATTTTTATTGCCTTATTTGTGTTTAGTATCATATTAAAATTTAAAAATGTAAGCTTTAATATTTTGAGATAATCATAGATTCACATGTGATTGTAAGAAGTAACACAGAGGGGCTCTAGATACCCCTCATCAAAATTTCTCCAGTGGTAACAACTTGCATAACTATAGTTCAATATCACAATAGGAAATTGAGTTTGGTACAATCCATTGACATTGTTCAGATTTCATCAGTCTTATATACACTTGCTAGTGTGTGTGCATTTTGTTCTATGCAATTTTATCTCATGTATACACTTGTGTGACCACCACCAAGTTACAGAACAGTTGTATTATAAGAATACTTCCTATTACTTTTTTTAGAACTTCATCTTCCCTAATCCCTGGCAACCACTAATCTTTACAACCTTATAATTTTGTTATTTGAACAATATTGACCAGGCATGGTGGCTCACGCCTCTAATCCGGGCACTTTGGGAGGTCAAGGTGGGCGGATCACTTGAGCTCAGGGGTTTGAAACCAGCCTGGGCAACATGTTGAAACCCCATCTCTACAGAAAATACAAAAATTAGCCAGGCGTGGTGGTGTGCACCTGTAGTCCGAGCTACTTGTAGAGCCGAGTTGGGAGAATCACTTGAGCCCAGGAGGTCAAGCCTGCAATGATCTGTGTTTGTACTATTACTGGTGGTGAATCCACGTGGGTCTGCAGCAACCTCAGTTCTTGCCTCCTCAGAAGAAAGAATTCGACTGAAGAGCATAAGGCAGAAGAAGAGACTGGGGCAAATTTTAGAGCAGGAGTAAAAGTTTATTAAAAAGCTTTAGAGAAGGAACAAAAGGAAGGAAAGAACACTTGGAAGAGGCCCAAGTGGGCGACTTGAAGGACAAAAGTGCAGGGTTTGTTGGGGTTTGGTATGCAGGCATACTTCTGGGGTTTTGTGTTCCTTCTCCCCTGATTCTTTCTTTGGGGTGGGCTGTCTGCATGCACAGTGGCCTGCTAGCGCTTGTGAGAGGAGCATGTGCAGTGTGCTGACTGGAGTTGTATGCATGCTCACCTGAGGCATTCTTCCCTTACCAGCTGAATGCCCCTAGGAGGTCATACACCAGTTAAACTCTGCCATCTTGCCTCTTAGTCTGCATGTGTGAGCCTACTTGTTCAACTCCTGAGATTTTACTGGGAAGCTACTGATCACCAGGTTCAGGTGTTTTCTATTTATCAGGAAACTGCCTTTCTCTGGCACTGGCTGTAACCAATTATTATTTTAGAGAGACAGTTAACAACTGCTTGACCATCACCTGGTGGTTGCCTAACATTCCTGGTTTGGGGTTGTGAGGGGCTCTCTCCTGCCCTGCTCAGACCTGACCAGCTACCTACTATAACAGCACCACTGCACTCCACCCTGGGTGACAAAGCAATCCTGTCTCAAAACAAAAAGAAAACAAAAATGAAAAGCCCCCAGTATTACCTAAATGGAACCAGCCAGTATATAATCTGGGATTGGTGTTTTTCACTTAGCGTAATTCCTGATATCCAGCCAAGTTGTTGCATGAATCAATAGTTAATTCATTTTTATTGCCTAGTGGTGCTCCCAGTCATATGATAAGGGCACATTGACTTTGTAAGAAGCTGCCATACTTTGTTCTAGAGTGGTCCTGCCATTGTACATGCCTGCCAGCAGTGTCTGAGTGATCCATTTTCTCCGCATTGACAGTGTTTGGTGTTATCATTATTTTCTAGTTTAACCATATAAGACTGTGGTTTTAACTGAAGTATCTTTTCAATAACATCACACAGTTGGCAAATAATGTTTATCCTTTGCCCATGTCTTCTCATTATTGAGCCATAATTTTTAAAGATATTTTATTGGGTAAACATATTTACATAACAGTAAATGCCTTAATTGTCTTTGTATATTCTAAATATAATTTCTTTATCATTTATATGGCTTGCAAATATTTTCTCCCATTCTGTATTTTTTTTTTTTTTTTGAGACGGAGTCTCGCTCTGTCACCCAGGCTGGAGTGCAGTGGTGAGATCTCGGCTCGCTGTAACCTCTGCCTCCGGTATTCAAGCAATTCTCCTGCCTCAGCCTCCTGAGTAGCTGGGACTACAGGTGCATGCCACCACACTTGGCTAATTTTTGTATTTTCAGTAGAGATGGGGTTTCACCATGTTGGTCAGGCTGGTCTCAAGTTCCTGATCTCAAGTGATCTGCCTGCCTTGGTCTCCCAGAGTGCTGGTATTACAGGCGTGAGCCACCACGCCTAGCCCTGTCTCTTCCTTCCTTCCTTCCTTCCTTCCTTCCTTCCTTCCTTTCTTCCTTTCTCTTTCTTTCTCTTTCTTTCCTTCTTTCTCCTTCCTTCCTTTCCTTTTCTTTCTTTCTTCTTCATTCTTTCTTTCTTTCTTTCTTTCTTTCTTTCTTTCTTTCTTTCTTTCTTTCTTTCTGTCTCTTTCTTTCTTTGTCTGTCTTCTTTTCTTTCTTTCCATCTCTCTCTCCTTCCTTCCTTCCTTTCCTTTCTTCCCTCCCCTTCCCTCCCTTCCCCTCCTCCCTCCCCTCCCCTCCCCTCTCTCCTCACTTCCCCTCCCCTCTTCTCTTCTCTTCTTTTTTCTTTCTCTCACTACATTGCCCAGGCTGGAGTGCAGGAACCTAGATTCAAAGATACAATTTTAGCACTCTGTAACCTTGAACTCCTGGCCTCAAGTGATCCTCCCACCTCAGCCTCCTGAGTAGCTAGGACTATAGGCCCATGCCACAATGCCCAGCTCAAGGAGTGATACTTTGTCTTGTGCATCCTCTGTCTTGCCTTTCCACTTAGCTATGGCCTGGCTAGAGTTCTTAATGAGAGAAGTCTGCTATAATCCTTTCTCCCAAAGAGCCTCCTTTATACACTACATGGTCACTTTCTTCCATATACGAGAGAAGAGTAAGCTTGCTCTCTCACATCATCATTACCAAATCTCAGCTGGGCAATTAAAGGAAATACTTGGATATTTACTTATCCAAATACTTGGACAATTTCCAAAGTAGAATTATCACAGTTTTGGCTTTGAGAAAGAACTTGGTATTATTGCAGGTATTTTGGGAACACTTATATAATATTTTCTATTATACTTCTTGAGAGGGGTTGGTTATTTAGTGACATGAATTAAGGCATTATAATATTAAAGAATGGGGCATCAATTTCATTGGTAAGTTTCCTCTTCAGCAGAAAAGAGATAAGAATGTTCATTTATGCATAAAAGAACTTGTCAAATGCTTTTTTTTTCCCATCAGTTAATATGATCATGTAATTTTTCCTCCTTAGTCTGTTGATATGGTGAATTACACTGATTGCTTTTCAAATTTTGAGTCAGCCTTATATCCCTGGAATAACTTAGTCATGGTTAAGAAAAAATATATATTGCTGAATTTTATTTGTTGACATTTTGTTAAAGATTTTTATATATATCTTCATGACAAATATTGGTCTGTAATTTTTAAAATACCGTTTTTATCTGGTTTTGGTATGAGGTTAATATTAGTTTCATAAAATAAATTAGGAAGTATTCCCTGACTTTTTTTTTGTAAGAGATTTTGTAAACTTGGTGTTTAAACTTTTAAAAACATTTGTTAGAATTCTCGAGGGAAGTTATCTGAATCTAGAGATTTCTTTTATGTCAGTTTTACAATTACAAATTCAATTTCTTAAATTATCTATTTCATCTTGAGTGAGTTGTGGCAGTTTGTAAGTTTCAAAGAAGTAGTTCATATATCTAAGTTGACAAATTTGTTTGTAGAGTTGTTTATAGTATTCCCTTATTATCATTTAATGTTTTAAATATCTATATCCCCTCTTTCATTCATGATATTGATAATTTGTCTTTGTTTTCTTTGTTAGATTTGCTAGAGGTTTATTTTATTAATCTTTTAAAATAATCAACTCGTTGTTTCATTGATTCTCTACTGTGTTTCTGGTTTCAATTATATTAGTTTCTGCTCTTTACTATTTCCTTCCTTCTTTCTGTTTTGGTTTTCTTATATTTATTTATTTTAGAGACAAGGTTTGCTCTGTCATCCAGGCTGGAGTGCATGATTATAGCTCCCTGTAACCTTGAACTACTGGACTGAAGCAATCCTCCCACCTCATCCTCCTGAGTAGCTAGGACTACAGGTGCATGCTGCCACACCTGGCTAATGTTCTTTATTTTTTGTAGAGATGGAGTCTTGCTATGTTGCCCAGTCTGATCCCAAACTCCTGGACTCAAGCAGTTGTCCCAGTTCTGCCTCCCAAATCACTGGGATTCTAGGTGTGAGGCACCTTGCCCGGCCTGTTTTGGTTTTATTTTGATCTTTTTCTAATTTTTAAAGGTGGAAACTTAGATTATTGATTTGAGACTTTTCTTTTCTTATGTAAGTATTTAATGCTGTGAATTTTCCTCTTAGCACTGCTTTGGGTACATTTCACAAATTTTATGTGATAGTTTCATTTTCATTCAGTTCTATGTATTTTAAAAATTTTCTGAGAAATTGAGAACTTTCTTTTTGACCCATGGATTACTTATAATTGTGTTGTATAGTTTTAAAGTGTTTGAAGATTTTTCATATGTCTTTCTGTTATTGATTTCTAGTTTGATTCCATTATGGTATGAAAATATACTCTGTATGATTTCAATTTTAATTTTGTTGAGATTTGTTTTATGGCCCTGGATATGGTCTATCTTGATAAATGTTTTGTGAACATTTGAAAAGATAATGTGTGCTGTCTGATGTCACTGGGGCAATGTTCTACAAATCTCAATTATATTCTTTTCATTGACACTGTTTTTGTGTTCTTCTAAATCCTTGCTGATTTTCTGCCTAGTTGTTCTTTTTTATTATCACTTTTTATTTCTTTATTTGGTGGTTTTGCCTAGTTGTTCTATCAGTTGTTGAGAGAGAGTGTTGAAATTTTCAACTATAATGTGATTTCTCTCTTTCTCCTTTTGGTTCTATCAGTTTTTGCTTTACATATTTTGCAGCTCTGTTATTTGATGCATGTACATTTAAGATTGCTATGTCTTCCTGGTAGATTGACTCTTATCATTATGTAATATCCCTTTATGTCTCTGATAATCTTTTTGCTCTGAAGTCTGCTTTATCTGATATTAATAGCAACTCCTGCTTTGTTTTGACTGATGGTTACATGGTAACATGGTATATATTTTTCTCATCCGTGTATGTTGAACTTACTTATATTCTTATATTTGAAGTTAATTTCATATGGATAGCATATAGTTGGGTCATGATTTTTAATCCACTCTGCCAGTTTCTGTTTTTTAATAGGTCTATTTAGACAATTTACATTTAATATAAGTATGAGATATTAAGGCTAAGTCTGCCATTTTATCTATCTGTGCTTATTTGTGTGTTTATCTCTTTTTTTTCTCTGTTTTATCTTCCTTGCTTTCCTGTGGATTGCTTGAAAATATTTTATAATTCCATTTTGACTTATAGTGTTTTTTAAGTGTATTTCCTTGTATCAATTTTTTAGTGGTTGCTCTAGGTGCTACATCCTGTACATGTAACTCAGGAAAGTCTATTTGAGTTGATGTTTTATCAGTTCGAATAAAGTGTAGAAACTTCATCTCCCTTTAGATAACTTTACCCTATCACATTGATAATATAATTATCTTAAATAGTTTCTTTCTATATCTCGAGAAGTATATTAGACAATGTTATAATTTTTGCATCAACCATCATAGTTTAGAAAACTTGAGAAGCTAAGTGTAGCATATATTTACCCTTATTTTTTCTCTTTTTGTCCTTTCTTACTTTCTGCTATTAGAAGATTCTTTCTATCATCATTTCCTATCCATCTCAAGAAATTTCCTTAGTTATTCTTTTAGGGTAGGTCTGTTGGCAATAAATCCTGTTTGTTTTCCTTTATTTGACAATATGTTGATTTTCCCTGCATTCCTAAAGGATATTTGTGCTAGATATAGAATTAGGGGTTGACAGGTCTTTTCTTTCATTACTTGAAAAAAATCTGTCACCTCTAGTCTCTGTTGTTTCTGATGAGAAACACATTGTCATTTGAATTGTTTTCCTCTTATAGGTAAAATGTCATTTCAATGTTTTCAAGATTTCTTCCTTTAGTTTCAGAATTGTGATTATAATGTGTCTTAGCACAGATTCTTTTGAGTTTGGGATTTGGAATTTGCTCAGCTACTCGAATCTGTAGCTTTTTGTCAAATTTGTCATTTTTCAACCATTGTTTCTTTGAATACTTTTTAAGCCCCATACTCTTTCTCCTCTTTTTCTTGGTTTTTGATCATGCAAATGCTAGACCTTATAAAAATAGTCCCATGGATCCCTGAAGCTCTTTCCCCCTGCCTTAGTATATATTCTTTTTCTGGCTCAGATTGGGTACCTTCTATTTTTCTATATTCAAGTCCATTGATTCTTTTCTCTATCCTCTTGTTTCTGTTCTTCAGCCATATTGCTAAAATATTTATTTTGTTTATTGTATTTTTTTCAATTCTAAAATTTCTATGTGGTTCTTTTCAATATCTTTTTTGCTGAGACGTTTTTATTCTTTCATTTGTTTCAAGCATTTTCATAATTGCTCACTGAAGCTTTTCTATTTTAGCGAGTGTTCTTTGACATTGTGTTGGCAGAGGGGAAAAGGGCATTGCCTTCTTAGTGCCAGATGGGAGTGGAAGTCCAGGTTACCCATTTGGCACCATTGACACCTATGCTGGGAAGGGGTTCCTTGTTACTGCTAGGTAGAGGTCAGAGTCTAAGATTTCCATGTAGCTTTCACCAACACTACTGAGGGGGAAGGGCATGCTTCATTAATGCCAGGCATGAATGAAATTCCTGGATCTCATCTGGTTTTGTCCAACACCATTCTGGCTGGCGTGGGATGGGTAGGGTGCTTTGTTGTAGCCAGGAGAGGATGCAAGTCTAGATTCTCCACTCAGCCTTTGCTAACAAGTGTGGGGCTGGAGTCACATTTTTTTCATGGTGTTTGGCTGGGGGTGCTTATGTTGTAGACAGAAGTTTTCTGCCTTGTTAGGCTGACTTTTTTCTGGTCCTTTGGCTGGGGAAGCTTTTCTTGGGGCCTTTTTTTTTTTTGGCTGTGCCTGTTGGTATTTCTAGGTTGCTGCTTCTCTGGCACCCAGTTTGAGACATAAGAAGCCAAAAAGAGGCCAGGCACAATGGCTCACACCTGTAATCCCAGCACTTTGGGAGGCCAAGGTGGGCTGATCACTTGAGGTCAGGAGTTCAAGACCAGCCTGGCCAACATGGTGAAACCCCATCTCTACTATAGATACAAACATTAGCCAGGCATGGTGGCAGGCACCTGTAATCTCAGCTATTTGGGAGGCTGAGGCAGAAGAATTGCTTGAATTCAGGAGGTGGAGATTGGAGTGAGCTGAGATCACACCACTGCTGTGCTCCAGCCTGGATGACGGAGTGAGTGAGACTCTGTCTAAAAAAAAGAAGCCAATCAGAGAACTTATAACCATGTCATTCATTTCTTATGTCCTGGGATCCTTATTCAGTTTGTCTTCTTTCCATATTTCAAAGTCTTTCATGCTTCATATATAATGTCCAGTGTTTTTGCAGCACTTAGAAGGAGGAATAGAGAGAAATTTATCTACTCCATCTTGTCCATAACCAGAGGTTCAAGAGAGTAATTTTATTTTGCCATTAAATTTTGAGTGTCTAGAGGCCATTACTGTTAGCAAACTTTCTTCAACAGAGGGAGTGTTTACCCTGAAAGCTGCATTTATATAAAAAATAAGGTACCAAAAAATTAGGAAGAAAAATGCAACCTGAGAGTATGTGATAACTTCATGTACACTTCTTTTCTCTTTTATTTGTTCACTATTATACCTAAAAGTTATGAGAATAGAGAATAACATTAATAACGTTCTGACAATCCTTGGAATTCTAAGAGAATATAAGACATCCCTCTCTTATTTTAAGAAAGCATGGAATACTGATCAGCAAAAAAAGAAACGACTTGGGTGGATATCAAGGGAATTATTCTGAGTAAAAAAATCTTTGAGGGTTATATGCTGCATGATTCCATTTATATAGCATTATTGAAGTGACAAATTTATGGAGGTCGAGAACAGATTTGTAGCTGCCAGTTTAGGGAAGAGGGTAGGGAGAGGGATGGCTGTGGCTATGAAAGAAATAGCATGAGGATTCCTTGTACTGTGTTATCTGTGGTGGTGGTGGTCATACAAATCTACACATAATAAAACTGCATAGACACACACACATACTGGAGTGCATGTAAAAGTGGTGAAATATCAATAGACGAAAGGATTGTATCAATGGCAATTTTGTGGTTGAGGCCAGACACTACCCAGAGACTTCAGTGACCCTCCCCTGCTGGTGATATTGTACTATATAGTCCTGCAAGTTTTCACCATTGGGGAAACTGGGTGAAGGGTGTATGGGAGTCTCTCTAGTGTTTCTTATAACTGTATGTGTCAGTCTACAATGAATTCAAAAGAAAAAAGTTTTAAAAAGCAAAGCAAAGCATTTTGCTATTTTGTACTTTCTTCCTCTGCAGACTGCCCTACTCACTTCCCTGGTGCAAAGAGGAAATGGACAGTCTAATGTGGCTTCTGCTTAATAGTCTCTTGTGTGCATAGAGAACCTGTTTTTTCCCAATTGTGTAAGAGTTGGTTGTTCTTTTCTCCATGAACTATTGTTTGGGCTTTGAGTGAGTGAGGGGAGATTTGGTCCTATTCTGGAGTTACAAGAGGGAGAATCTGACTTATGTAGGCACCATTGGTTTCCACTGCTGTCCTTAATGCCCTTCTGAATAAGCCAGGTGATTTTCTCTGCACAGTCCTGAGGCTACATCCACTGAGACTGGCTCTGTACAAAGATGCTAAACGCCAGACACTCCCCAGATACCTCTGTGCCCCCTCCCCTATTGATGGAGAGCAGAAGAGATATGAGTCTTTCACGGAGGCTGACATCACATGCAGACTTTGGCCTCAAGTCTTTGTCACTTGCCAAGGACAGAAGAAATACCGTGAACTAGAAAGCTTTTGTGAGTATAAGGAGGAGAAAAAAATTAGCCAGAGTTGCAAGATGCTTTATGTTGTTTCAAGTTTGTTCTCATCTCTAAAGGTAAACTATAGGACCCACCTGCTGGGGCAGGTAGATGAGATAATCCTGCATTAGTGAACTGTAGCATCTGACTTTCATAGAGAATGGTTTTCTTAGTAGAAATTGGGGCGCAAAAAAATGAATGCAGTTATGGGAACTTTGCGATGAGATGCAAAATATCTGGGTAGAAAGCAGATAAATTACCCTCATGTATGTATTTTAGTATAAAGTGGACATGATTACTAGGTAAAATGCACAGAATTTCTCAGTTTTCATTGATGGTATGAAATGTCTCACACTCAAATGTCAGTAAGGGCCAGAAGAAAATGTAAATATAAGGAGTTAGTGGATAAACAATAATAGAAAGTATGGGGCATTGTCAATAAACTGGAGATCTTGGATTCAATATGAATGTTTTCAAATTCAAATTTTTAAACATTGTGATGGCTGGATAATCACATCTGACCACAGATGGTCAGCAGCTGCTTCAATATAAGTTGTGCTTGGCTTTTCTACATCATGAACCCGGAAATTAAGCTTTTCTGTATATAACAAAAGCACAAATATCAATGGCGTAAACAAGATTAGGTCACCTGCTTCTCGTTAGGATGTAGAAAGACATGAAAACTTTCCTCCTGTGGTGATGACAAGAATGAACCACATAAGAATCGTACGTTCATGGGGCTTTCAAAGATTGGAAGATGTAAGGAAGCTCTGATGAACTGAATTGTAGAGGGCGCGCCCTCTAGATGAGCCGAGACCCTGGAGCTCTCTGGGGCAAGTGCCTGAATGAGTTCAGGTGGGAAAAGTAGCAGCTGCCTACAGGCAGGAGGCTTTGCAGGGTTAAGAAGGAGCATCCTGCGTCAGGGGCAACATGTGGCTCTGGAGGAGTTCCAAATGCAAATATCCATCTCTCAGCCCAACAACTCTCTTCCTTACCTGGAATTTTGCTGGGAAAGTGGCATTGGAGAAGGGGTTGGTAGCAGGGAGAATACAGACAGCCTTACACATCTCTGTGAGGCTTGGGTTCTGGAGCCCTGCAGAAGGTGAACCTAAAGGTGAATCCAAACTGTCTGAAACAGTAGCCACTCCCCAGCTTCCAAACATGAAGAAAAGGTAAGAATCCTTTAATTATAGCAATGCAAGAGGCTGGGGTTGGGCTACCAGAGTTTCTTACATTAGATGTAAAGTGGTATGATATGAATTCAAGATAGAGATTGCCAGACTGGATAAAAAAGCAAGACCAAACCATACAGTATTTACAAAGATACACTTTAAATATGACACAGATACATTGAAAGTAAATGGATGGAAAAGGAAAAACATGGTAATGTCCAGACTCAATGTGAGAGGGAACTCACACAGAGGTGTGGCTGATTTTGGCATTGGGAGGTGTGACTCATTGGCATTGGGAGGCATGGGCCATTGGCACTGGGAGGTATGGTCCATTGGTACTGGAAGGCATGGCCCATTAGGACTGGGAGTTATTGAACATTGGGACTGGGAGGTACGGCTCAATGGCACTGGGAAGCATGGACCATTGGTGGGAACCATGGCTCACTGCACTGGGAGATGTGGACCATTGGCTGGGAGGTGCAGCTCATTGCCCTGGGAGGTGTGGACCATTGCACGAGGAAGCATGGACCATTGCACTGGGAGGTGCAGCTCATTGCCCTGGGAGGTGTGGACCACTGCACTGGGAGGTGTGGCCACTGCACTGGGAGGTGTGGACTATTGCCCTGGGAGGTGCGGACCATAGCACTGGGAGGTGCAGGTTATTGCCCTGGGAGGCATGGATCCTTGAACTGGGATGCGTGGACCATTGCAGTGGGAGGTGTGGGCTACTGGGGGCCATGTGGCATTTGAGTTATGGCAGAATGGGTCTGGGAAAGAGAATTCTGGGCTAAGAGAGTCTTCCGTTCTTTCTTGTTTCCTCCTCTGGAAATGGCTACCTCTTCTTCCTCAAAGGAAGCTGAGGAATGTCTGCAGCAGGCAGGCTGTGTGGGGACTTCTAGACCACAAAGGCCTGTCTCTGTGACAGCTTAGGCCTGGTGGGGTGTTCATGGCTGTGAACACCCCGGAGAGAACATGGCTGTGGTCTTTACCAGCCCTCCATTCCTCTTCCCCTCATAGATCTGTGAGAGAAAAGGAAAATGGATGTGTTCCTTCGTTTTAGGTAGAAGGGCTTTGAGGACTGGAGAACGCCTAGGGAGAAAGGGGTGATCAAAATATACCGTTGTTCCAGGATGTAATTATAAAAAACTGGGCTCCAAATATGAATTCAGGAATACTTGGTCCCCGTGCCAATGCAGCCAAGCCCCTGCACGGTGTGGGAGCAACTCCTGGGGTTGGTGGGAGGCCTGGCTGATGCATGATGGGTCTGAAAACCGCTCAGGCTTTGCCAGGTATGTGTCAGGCACTGATGGCGGCGATCGGACCGGCCTAGGTTGGCTTAGCGCGCCCTCTAGTGGGAGAAGGTCTAAAGAGCAAAATGTGAGCATCCTTGCCACAGGGCAGAAATGATGCTGAACGTGCACGCCACATCAAAGGACATACGTGCTTAAGGGACTTGTGCTTAACAATTACTGTGATTAGTCCGTTCTCACGCTGCTCTAAGGACACACCCGAGACTGGGTAATTTATAAAGGTGTTTTAATAGACTCACAATTCCACATGGCTGGGGAGCCCTCACAATCATGGCTGAAGGCGAAGAAGCAAAGGCACGTCTTATATGGTGTGTGCAGGGGAACTGCCCTTTATAAAACCATCCGATCTCGTGAGACTTATTCACTATCACGAGAACAGCACGGGAAAAACCCACCCCCATGGTTCAATTACCTCCCACTGGGTCCCTCCCATGACATGTGGGGATTGTGAGAGCAACAATTCAAGATGAGATTTGGGTGGAGATAGAGCAAAACCATATCAGTCACCATCTTAAATTGTTAATACATTGGAATTTGTTTATGTCTGTTGTAAAAAAGGCCAGTCGCTTAGCTATTTCATGGCGGTTTTGAGGAATTACCACCATAACTTATGGGAGAGTGTTTTGGTAAATGGTTACATAAGTATGAGGAATTTTAATTTTTTCATTAGAAATAATGTGTGGAATTTATAGGACAATTTATTAAGAAGCTTAAATGTATGTATGGTCGTTGATTAATCTAGGTCCATTTCTCTCCTAGAGAGCTGTCAATAGAGATTGAGTGTGTGGTAAGGCTTCCTCCTCGGTGGGCCTTTTAGTGATAGGATGGTCAAGTGAGGAAGGGCTGTGCTCCTGCGGCTCCTAATTCTGAATTACATTTATTGGGCCATGCAGTCTGGTTTAGTGCCTGAGTTTATGTATGGGAAATGAATTCCATTTCTACATGCTGGGTCCTTATCAGAGCAGAAAAAAGAACCCACGCTATGCAGATACATAAATGTCACCCACATGAACAAGGCACTGTCTTCAGTATGGCATGAAGGGGGCAGTGATGAATGGGCAGCTGGAGAGGGGAGCGTGTTCAGATGAGACAGGCTGGTGCAGACATCTGGGGTCAACCACAGCAGACACTAAAATGCAGTGGGGCCGTGGTGAGGGGGATGGAGGGGATGTGGGAGGTGAGTGGGAGCTGAGGGAAGAGGAGTGGCTCAGAATGCAGTGGGGGGTCTGCGAGAGGACCAGAGAGGGAGGAAGCCTCTCCTTGGGAAGAGTTGGGGGCAGGTCAGGAGAGGTTCCAGGTAGAGTCAGAGGTGGCTGGGCTGGGGTGGTGAAAGCCACCCTTATCCTCCCTGTGACTCTTAGGGTCATTGCACTGCTTTTCTGCTTCCAGATGAGATGGAGTAGCAGGGACGGCGTTTATCCTTTCACCTGACATAATTAACACAGGACAAAATAGATGAGGAAAAAAACAACAAAGCGAAACTGTTGCCATCAGACAGCGCAGAGCTGTGGTCCCTGAGAGGGAGAGACAGACAAGAGGAGTGCTAGGATTTCCCCAGAGGGTGTGGCCTGGACACTTTCCAAGCTGTGGCCCATGGATGTGGCTGCTGTCGTGGTGGGGTCCCTCCGGGGAAATCACTTTGTCAGTGAACAGCAACATCCTTTTCTGATTTTTCTAGTACCACGCATTGTTTTCTCCCATTGTCCAACAAAGGAGGCAAGAATGCAGTGTGCCGCATTCCTCCTGCAGCAGCGCTCCGGTGGCGTACCTTAACCTCGCTTTTGTTTTTTCATGTGTTGGCTGAGTCAGTGAGTGTGCTGTGGTGGACCTCTGCCATTTGTAGCTCCTCAAATCTTCAGCACCCTCTTCACAGTTTGATAGTTCCCCACAGTGTACCTCCTGCCTTCTAATGAGTCTCCAAATATTCCATTTCACAGCCATCCTTGTTTTTGAGGTGCAAACATATGATTTAGGTCCAGGGATCATAGGCACCCACTCAAGGCTTTGATCCCAAACAGTTCCCATGGCTGGGGCAGAGTGCGGTGGAGGGGCAGGGGCAGGGGCTGACAGCTGTGGCAGAGGCTTCCTGATTCAGCTGCCTCCAGATGGGGCCAGAGCGGCTGCCCCTCACTGCATTAGATCTATGGTATGGCACTGGGGGTCTCTTTCTTCAGCATTCGATTTGGTATGTTATCTTTTTTTTTTCTTTGATCAGCTTTTCATTATCTCTATTCACAAGTCGTTATAATATTGCTATTTATCAGTTTAATGTAACACATATGATAAAAACAGATGATAAAAAGTATCATATTAACAATGAGAACATTATTGGCTGGGTGCAGTGGTTCACGCCTGTAATCCCAGCACTTTGGGAGGCCGAGGAGGGCGGATCACCTGAGGTCAGGAGTTTGAGACCAGCCTGACCAACATGGAGAAACCCTGTCTCTACTAAAAATACAAAATTAGCCAGGTGTGGTGGCACATGCCTGTAATTCCAGCTGCTAGGGAGGGTGAAACAGGAGAATCGCTTGAACCTGGGAGGCGGAGGTTGCGGTGAGCTGAGATCGCGCCATTGCACTCCAGCCTGGGCAATAAGAGTGAAACTCCGTCTCAAAAAAAAAAAAAAAAAAAAAGAGAACATTATTTTACACAACCCATTTACTGAATATGCAGCCTCTTGCAACAATAACATAGTGGACCCAACTCTACCCTCTGAATGGACCACTTTTATGATTCTCCTAAAAAGTTTTGAGTTGGATATAGTTTCTTGTTGCTTCTCTCTGTGATCCGAGACTTAAGAATGAGTCTCTGGAAACGCAGCAATTGGAACCAGACCTCCCCAGGATCAAAGAGGACAGGAGTGGGAGAAAGGACGCAGGACACGACTCCCACCGTCTCCAGCGCTGCGCCGTATGCTTGACCTCAGAGCATGCAGGCACTCAATGTCAAGTGTGCAGCCACGTCTATATCCTGCATCTCAAGTGCTCACAACTGTGACAATTAGCAGATATGGGAGAGAGGAGGCATATCATGGAGGAATGAGTCAGTCCCAAAAATTACATGAACATTTCTGAAATTTCAATACCAAGGGTTAACTTCTAAAGTACTAGTGTATAAACAGAAGCCATATAGCTAGCCATGAACTGAAATGCATGTACCATACAGTGAAGGAGCTCCTGTGCATACAAAACCACCCACGTCTCATTTATCTCTAATTTTAAAATAACTCATTCCCTTGCTGGATATGCAAGTGAGTGGTGGAGAAAGAGGTCTATCTGCAAGGCTGGCGGGGGTTAAGGATTTCATTGCTTCCAAAAGACGTGAGCAAGAGAACTTTATTACTCACTGAAGGGGATTCTTCCTTCTCAGCCAAGATGGTCCCATTTAAATCACTTTTGAATTTCCTTTCAAGCTTCAATTGTGCAAATTCTAGTTGTGGTTGAGGATCGTCCCCAACAGCTTTTTGAGTTATTCCTTGGACTCTTCCTTTTTCTACTATGTTTTCATGAATAATTCTAGAATCCATATTTATATCCAGCCCAAGGCTTCTTTCCTATAGAGGTGTCGTTGAGTTGTGAGCTTCAAAGATCTGATCATACTGTTTAAAAGCAATAGGCTTGGGAGTCCAGATGTCAGCTTCTCAGATCCATTTTCACAGTCTGATGGTGTCTGCTAGCAATTATCAGTGCCTGACCCAGAAGCGGTCTATTGCACCTCAGCTTGGAGGAAAAAGTGAAGGCACATGCAGTCTGGGAAAAAAAGAGAAAGGAAGGAAAAGGCAGGCAGGCAGGCAGGCAGGCAGGAAGGAAGGAGAGAAAAAGAAAGGTGGTAGGTTTCTATGTACTGACTTGGATTTGTGTACTGTGTTCCCCAGGCAATTCTAATCCGGACTGCATTCCCCTCAATGTCTCTAAAGCTGTCACATTTGTAAATGCTTACTGCAGAATTTTCTTTTTTTTCTTTTCTTTCTTTTTTTTTTTTTTTTTCTGAGACGGAGTCTCACTCTGTTGCCCAGGCTGGAATGCAGTGGTGTAATCTCAGCTCACTGCAACCTCCGCCCGTGGGTTCAAGTGATTCTTCTGTCTCAGCCTCCCGAGTAGCTGGGATTACAGGTACCTGCCACTGCACCTGGCTAATTTTTGTATTTTTTTAATAGAGACGGGGTTTCACCATCTTGGCCAGGCTGGTCTTGAACTCATGACCTCGTGATCCACCTGCCTCTGCCTCCTGAAGTGTTGGGATTATAGGCATGAGCCACCGCGCCCGGCCTGAGGAATTTTCTTAAATGAATTTTTAAGTTGTTTCATATCAAAAAGGTCAGCATCTTCACCTGGTCCTTTACTCATCTGAAAAGCATCCCAAACTTTCTTGTGCTGATGAAATTGAGTATAAACTGTGTCTCAAAGGGCTGCGTCATAGGGATTTGCATGCTTCTCACACAGCAGAACCAAGTGCTGAATGAGAGAGTCCTTTCTCTGCCGGAAATTTAAAGTCTGCAGTTGATTTTCAGACAAAAAATCCCAGGCTTTAGGATTGTTGTCATTTCCGTCATGGGGATCCTCTTTCTCTCTTTTCTTTCTTTCTTTCTTTCTTTCTTTCTTTCTTTCTTTCTTTCTTTCTTTCTTTCTTTCTTTCTTTCTTTCCTTTCTTTCTCTCTCTCTCTCTTTTCTTTCTCTTTCTCTCTTTATTTCTCTCTTTCTTTCCTTTCTCTTTCTTTCTTTCTTTCTCTCTTTCTTTTCTTTCTCTCTTTCTCTCTTTATTTCTCTCTCTCTCTTTCTCTCTGTCTCTCTCTCTTTCTGCCTTTCTTGCCTTTCTTGCCTGCCTGCCTGCCTGCCAGCTTGCCTGCTTGCTTGCTTGCTTGCTTGCTTGCTTGCTTGCTTTCTTTCTTTCTTTCTTTCTTTCTTTCTTTCTTTCTTTCTTTCTTTTCTTTTCTTTTCTTTTCTTTTCTTTTCTTTCGACAGGGTCTTGTTCTGTCACTCAGCCTGGAGTGCAGTGGTGTGTGATCTCAGCTCACTGCAACCTCGACCTTCCGGGCTCTATCGATCCTCTCACCTCAGCCTCCTGAGTAGTTGGGTCTACAGCATGTGCCACCACGCCTGGCTAATTTTATTTTTTGTAGAGATGGGGTCTCACTATGTTGCCCAGTCTGGCCTTGAACTCCTGGGCTCAAATGATCTTCCTGCCTTGGCCTCCCAAAGTGCTGGGATTACAGGAGTGAGCCATCACACCCAGCCATGAGGATGTTTGAGATGATCCTCTTAATAAACTCAACAACAGTCTCATCCATCTCTCTGTCATGGCCCACGTCTTCAGCTACCTCTCTCCTCCTGCATGCTATCTTTGTCCTATAATAAATCGTTCACTCCTGAAACCTGGTAGAGGGGATTCTGTTGTCTATAACCCCCACCAGTGCATTTCTATCTAACGGTTAGGAAAACCTCCTTGGCTGGGCACAGTAGCTCTCACCTATAATCTCAGCACTTTGGAAGGCCGAGGCAGGCAGATCACCTGAGGCCGGGAGTTCGAGACGAGTCTGGCCAACATGGTGAAACCTTGTCTCTACTAAAAATACAAAAAAATTTAGTTGGCTGTGGTGGTGTGTGTCTGTAGTCCCAGCTACTTGGGAGGCTGAGGCAGGAGAATTGCTTGAACCTGGGAGGTGGAGGTTGCAGTGAGCCGAGATCACACCATTGCACTCCAGCCTGGGTGACAGAGTGAGACTCTGTCTCAAAAAAAAAAAAGAAAAGAAAAGAAAGGAAAGCTCCCAACTAAACACTCAATGGCCTGCTCATAACAGGAGACACAGGGGAGGTAGTCCAGGGTGGGCGAGTCAGCCGTTCAGCAGCATCGTGAAGAAGCCAGTTCCTTCCACCTTCTACTCATTGTTGTGCGGCTTCTTCCCCTTTGCGATCTGGTGCTGCATTCCATCTCTAGTCTTCGGGCATCACTACTTTTCCCTGTGGTGCTCAACAGGCCATACAGGGCAGCTCTGATGTTGGCCAAGTGGAACTGATGTGGTCAGGAGACACAAATCCATTGAGAGGAGGCAGCTTCTCCTTGGAAGCAGAATCTCCCTTTTTATATCCATGAGAAACAGCCAGGAGAGCAGGAAGCCAAGGGCTTTCTCCTTTTCTGTTGCATGCCAGCGCCCTCTTTGGCTATGAGCAGCAGGTCTCTCTCCCTTCACCACTGCATTTGGATGAGACTCAGAGGCTGCTTTTGCTGTCATCTGTTTGGCTTACTTGGTAAGTTTCTGTGATTTGAGGCTTGTCACCACTTGTAGAGTTTTTGCTTGATCGTGTGTTGTTTGTCCAGCTTTGGTTAAGGCCGCTTAAAACCCTGACCTTTGGAGACTTTGTGTGCAGGATTCCTATTTCATCATTGTCGTGTTTTGTCGCAAAGTCAGGTTTGCATCTTGGAGAGCTTTCTGGTCCCCCTTCCTGAGTTTTGTGCCCAGTTTTGTGGATGAGTCCATCATAAATCTTGTGGATGAAATCTTCCAGGTGCTTCTGGACTTTTCTGTTCTTTTGCTTCGCCTGTGTAGTGAGAGGGAGAAGTCCAACATTAAATGAGCCCTATTTTTACCCAACGTCTCTTTCTCCCTGACCACTCTGTGTAAAATGCAATCATAACTCCTCCTTCCTGACCAGCACTTCTAGTCCTCTTTATCCTATTTTTTCTTTCTCCATAGCGCTTATCACCCTTTCCTATGCCATCTCTGCCTCCAGATCTGGAATATAAAGTCCTCAGTAGGAAATACCTTTATCTCTTTTGTTCAATGAGGTATTCTAATTGCTCAGAATGGTACCTGACACATATTAGGTGCCCAATAAATAGTTTGTGAATAAATGAGTGAATAAATACTCAGGATTTTTAACAAAAGCCACCAAAGAAAACATGCTTAATTTATTCAGGAGGTGGAAATCTTGGGTGGGATGAATTCCTTATGAGACCTGCGAGAAGCGCAGGTGATAGTTTGTGTGTGTGTTCGTTGTGCATTTTTATTGATATAAAACAGAAGCACTGGAAAGTGTGGGAAGTGCGCATGTCATGAGGATGCAGGCCCTTGGCTGGCTTGTTTATTTCAGGGGTGGTTAGGCATTGTCGCCCTGGGTGGAGGGGTCAGCGACGAGCCCTCTGAGGCCATCCTGTGACATCCCCTGGGCACCTCCTAGTGTTTGTCATTCCCGACGCCCCAGGGCCAGTGTCCTTGGCCTTGGAGATCTCAGGCTCTGCTGGTTTCCCCACCTCCCTGGCTGTCCCTTTTTAGTCCTTTCCCACCTCCTGACCAGACACTGAACATCCTTGGGGCTGGTCTCCTTCATTTCTTGCTATATTCTTTTTTTTTAAAGACGGAATCTCGCTCTGTCACCCAGGCTGGAGTGCAGTGGCATGATATCGGCTCACTGCAACCTCCGCCTCCTGGGTTCAAGTAAGTCTCCTGGCTCAGCCTCCCAAGTAACTGGGACTACAGGCATGAGCCACCATGCCCGGCAAATTTTTGTATTTTTTAGTAGAGACAGGGTTTCGCCATATTGGCCAGGGTGGTCTCGAACTCCTGATCTCAAGTGATCCTCCTGGCTCAGCCTCCCAAAGTGTTGGGATTATAGACGTGAGCCACCGCGCCCGGCCACTATATTCTCTTTCTATTCAATTTCATTCTTCCCTGTGCCTCTGCTTACCATGGGGCACCCACTTGCAGAGGATGCCTGATTCCATGCCCTGGCTCCCTCCTTGGTGGCCTCATGCATCTCAAACTCAATATACCCAATGCTGTGCTCAGACCTTCCAGCTCAAATGCGCTCTGTCTCAGACATGCTGCAACCATCCTCCTGGGAGTTGACACCTCCCCACCGTATCCCCTCACATCCAGTCCCTCAGCATGTTCCCTTGATCCTAACTTCTAAAGTGTCCTTGAACCTACTCACTTCTACCTCCCATGTGCCCACCAGACCCAGCCCCAACCACTTTTCGCTGGGGTAACCTCAGTAGAATTTACACTGGTCTCCCTTCATTCTCTCACGCACACGACAAACCATTCTGTACCCTGAAGCTGGTATGGTTTTTGAAAAGCTCAAATTTGATTGTGTCTTTAATGAGTTCCCATTGCTCTGAGGTCAGTGTGGCATCTTTCATGGGGAAGGTCATGGCCAGCCCCCTTCCCCTTCTCTTCCTATGTTCCAGCCACCATGACCTGCTGTCCAGTGGTCATGAGCTGAGTCCCTCATACCCAAGGCTTTTCCAGATGCTTTTTCTCTGCTGGAACACTGTTCTTGCCTTGCGTTGCTAGCAAAGATCCCCATGTTCATTAAGCGCCTCTTAAATGTGACCTCTCCAGGGAAGCCTCCTCCACTCCCATTGCCCATTGCCCTGGCTCAGTCAGACCACTCTGTGTCTTCCTTGTTGGTGCTCTCTCCTCTTGTCATTAAATCGCTCCATGTTTAATGTCTGTATCCTCCACTTGACTGTATGCTCTACAAGGGCAGGGTCTAGGCTGGCTTGGATGTTATGCTGCTGAATCTACAGGGCGAAGCATAGGAGGTGCTCAATAAACTGAATAGATTTTGAATAGATGTTCACTGAGGGTAATACTGAGGAGTGGGGTTGTTCTCAATCCTTACTGTAGACTCCAAATGCCAGTACTGTTGGGCGTTGCTTCCTCTGAAACACTCCTTGAAGCTCTGAGTCTCCTTTGGATGGTTTTACCCAACTCCACTCGTGCCTCCATCCCTTGCTGCCTCTCCAGACATTTGCCTTCCTTGTCATTTTCAGGCCGTCAGCTACAGTGACTGGGAATGTGTGCCACTTGGCTCTCACACTCGCCTCTCACTGTCGTTTTTCTCTCACGGGAGTTTATCATCTATTCTTCTCATTTCCTTGCCTTTCTCTCTGCAGCACCGATAAATCATCAGTTTCACCTGAACTTCAGAAAGAAGCCATTCCTTAATTTTGGCAGAAGCACGATGGAGTAGAAAGTGACCAAGTAGACTGACTTCTGATCATGTCTCTATTGTGACATGCCTTCATGAGCTCCCATTGTTCTTGGGGTTAAGGCCTTTAATATATGTTACAAGGTTGGAATCACTCTGGGGAAATGGCCGAAACTCCCTGAGCTTTGTTTCCTCAAGAGGAATGTGAGGTGGATTGGATTAAATTCCACCTACAACCATTTCCATCTCTTACATTTCCAGAATTTGTCCCAGAATCATAGAAGCAAACCTTGTTCAGAGAGGCCATATCCAGCTTTGCAAAATAAAAAAAAAAGTCACTGTGCTGGTGAGATGGGCCTCAATCCTGGTCACATTTCTCTCTTCTCTCCAGATATCTATGCTTCCTCCCTCTCCTGCCTCCCCAGAATATAAACAGCTCCCTGAGGGTTGAGGATGTTCCTTCGTCCCACTCCCAACCTGTCACCCCCAACTTCCAGATTTCTTTAAAAGTCAAAGAGAAAGGAAATTTTCAGGAAGGAGATCATGTCTAAGAGCTTTTTATTAGTCTCATCTTCCAATTTCCTGTAGACTCAAGCTTCTTTCTTTCTGTCGTGCGGGGTTTAATATCCAGTGGCTGTTTGACAACAGCACCAGGAAATGGAATTTCCATCCTGATTCTGCCTGGAACCTTGGGCAAAGTGCCCAAACCTTCTGCCTCACTCTCCTCCTGGGAGTAACAGTCCCCACCCTACAGCCTTCTGGGGCAAGCAACAGAGACCTAATATGAAAATGGAACCAGAGAGTTCTGATGGATGTAAAGTCCTCAATAAATGCATGCAGGTATTATTTGTTAATTTTTGCCATAGGCAGGCTGCAGCCCCCAGGCAAACTCTGAGTAGAAGGAGCCTATAAAAACAAGCCTCCTGCTTCTCTCTCTCTCTCTCATTTTTTTTTTTTTAATTTTTTTTTTAGACGGAGTCTTCCTCTGTCGCCCAGGCTGGAGTGCAGTGGTGCGATCTCGGCTCACTGCAAACTCCGCCTCCCGGGTTCATGCCATTCTCCTGCCTCAGTCTCCTGAGTAGCTGGGACTACAGGCGCCCGCCACCATGCCCGACTAATTTTTTGTATTTTTAGTAGAGACGGGGTTTCATCGTGTTAGCCAGGATGGTCTCGATCTCCTAACCTCGTGATCCGCTCTCCTCAGCCTCCCAAAGTGCTGGGATTACAGGCATGAGCCACCACGCCCAGCCGCCTCCTGCTTCTCTCTTGAAGCCTGGGTTCTGCTCTGGTGTCTCCCCAGCTCATTGCCGGTTGACGGCACATTGGGCTCCCTGTCAGTCAGGTTGGCCACGTGAGGAGGAGTCAATGAGGCACTGCTTCCTGCCAAGCTGAGGCTGCCCTTCTTATAATAAGGAGGTGAGCCTGTCTCAGGGAAGGTTCTTTTCCTAAATTTCAGGTGGGATTCTAAACAGGACACCACTGATTTTTTTAAAAATGAACCTATCAAGACATGCATTTTCATGGGTGTAATCCTGTTTGAAGTGGTCACATTTGGGGTTTTTATGTACTTGCTCCTATTACTGGTGAAACTTCTGTGAATGGGCTTCAGATCATGAACAGCCTCAGTGGTGGCAGAGTCTCATGATTTCAAGTTACCTTATAGTTGAGAAATAGCCCCGCAGGGTAGGTGATGGCGTACTCCCCACTTGCCATTCTATCTGGAACCCGGAAGGTGGTCAATCCATATTCACTGAAATGAACCAAGAAATGAGACTGTGGCTATAAGGTTGAGGATGTTCATTTGCTTGTGAAGCTTCTAAACAAGATCTTCCAAACAGTTAAGAGAACACTTGGATATCTTTATGATGGTGTGTTTGCTTTGAAAAATAAACATGAAAGAGAACCATTATGTTATAGCTCCGCTTTCTAGTGAGTACCCCGTCAAGGCATCATATCCCTCTGTGTAGCAATGGAAAGGCATTTAACCCAATGATTGAACCTCTCTGTGCCTCAGTTTCCTCATCTCTAAAATAATAATAGAACCTAGCTCATATAACTGTTAAGGGGGATCAAAGGAGGTAAAATGTTGTGACAAAAGTTGCATAACACAGTGGAGTGTATTTCATTCATTCCCAAGTCTGAACTTATGTGTAGAATAATGCCACAATCTATGGCCCTGTGTCCTGAAATGCCCTTCCTCCAGGCCCTTTTGGAGCAAGAGCTCCAAGGGGCTGTTCCCTCAGATAATAACCTAGGTGATTGGAAACCTTGACTAGGGAGCACAGACCTGGAGGTCGGTTCCAGTGTGGGACAGTTGGTCATATTTCCCACTCACCCTCTGCCATGCAAAGTGGGTGAGGCAGTGGCTCTGGCCAGTTCATTGGCAGGTGGCAAAACCTTGTCTAGTCTTTGGCATTGGGCATGTGATACCATCGATGGCCAGTAGGTGGCACAAGTTGTCCATCACTGCCGCCAGCTTTGCTCCATTGGGTGCTTTCTCAGAAGGGGAAGATCTATTTCTAATCCAGTCCTGGCTTTATGGCAATGCTTAATCACATGGAAGGGAACATGCAATAACTACTGGTATTTCTGTAAACATGCATGCTAAGAATCAGCTGCCATTTGGAAATGAGGATGGAGGGAACACTCAGTGAGAGGTCTCCTGAGGACAATCTAAAAAAGGAAAACCTTGAGGGTTTTAAAATTTTAGAGCCAGTTAACCTTTGTGACTCATGGAGAGAAACGTTTAGAACCCAGAAGGACAATGAGAATACATCCTGTGGATTGTAACCTGGTCCAAGGTCCACCTTGCCCTCTCCACCTTCCTTCAGCTGTGAAGTTTAGGAAGGAGAGACAAGATCCCCTTGCATGGAGTCAGCTTACCCACTTCATGACCCCCAGCAGGGCCGGGCTGCACCTTCTGGGCTGTTTGCTTAATTTTTTATTCTTTTGTCCTGGCAAGTTGCCTGCTTCTTGGGTTTGTCGTTTCCCTGGAGGAAAGTTTATTTGAATCTCATTCTACCCTTAATAAAATTGGCACCAGATAAATACGAAGCGGATGAAGAGACACATTGCAGCAAAACAAAAAGTGGAACGTGGTCAACAACAGGGCGATGAGGACTTTAATACATGTGTACACTTTCTAAATAAAAAATTTTCATTGTAGTAAAATACACATAACATAAAATTTACCATCTTAGCCATTTCTAAGTGTACAGTTCGGTAGTGTCAAGTACGTTCACACTGTTGGGCAGCTAATCTCCAGGACTCTTCATCTTGTAAAACAGAAACTCTCTACCCATTACACAACAGCTCCCTGTTCTTCTCTCCCCCAACCCCTAACAGCCACCATTCTACTTCCTGTCTCTATGAACTTGATTACTCTAGTGTCAAAGAAAAGAATCAAACTCTGTAAGATATTTGAAGAGATTTATTCTGAGCCAAATATGAGTGACTGTGGCCCCCGACACAGCCCTCAGGAGGTCCTGAGAACATGTGCCCAAGGTGGTCGGGGCGCAGCTTGGTTTTATACATTTTAGAGAGGCATGAGACATCAATCAAATACATTTAAGAAATACAGTGGTTTGGTTCAGAAAGGTGGGACAACTCAAAACTGGGTCGGGGGGACTTCCAGCTTATAGGTAGGTTAAAAAATATTCTGGTTTACAATTGGCTGAGTTTATCTAAAGACCCGGGACCAACGGAAAGAAATGTCTGGGTTAAGATAAAGGATTATGGAGACCCAAGTTTTTATTTTGCAGAGAAAGCCTTCAAGTGGTAGGCTTCAGAGGGAACAGGTTTTAAAATGTTTCTTATCAGACTTAAAGTCTGTGTTGATGTCAGTGCTGGAGAGGTATCATGAGGCATGTCTGACCCCTGCTTTCCATCATGGCCTGAAACAGTCTCTCAGGTTAAATTTTAAAAGAGCCCTGGCTGAGAAGGAAGCCCTTTCAGATGGTTGCAGGGGCATGGGGGGATGCTTAGAATTTTATTTTTGGTTTACTCTAGGTACCTCATATAAGTGGAATCACACTATTTTGTCTTTTAGTGACTGGGATATTTCAGCATAATGTCCACAAAGTTCATCCATGTTGTAGCATGTGTCAGAATTTCCTTCCTGTTTAAGCTGAATAATATTCTATTGCATGCGTGATGGTTAATTTTATGTGTCAACTTGACTAGGTTAAGGGGTGTCCAGATAGCTGGTACAACATTATCTTTGGGTTTGTCCTTGAGGACGTTTCCAGAAGAGATGAGCATTTGAATTAGTAGGCTGAGTAAAGAAGGTCCGCCTTCGCCAGTGGGTGGGCATCAACCCATCTGTTGAGGGCCCAAGTAGAATAAAAAAGGCAGAGGAGGGCCGGGCTTGGTGGCTCATGCCTGTAATCCCAGCACTTTGGGAGGCCAAGGCAGGCGGATCACGAGGTCAGGAGATCGAGACCATCCTGGCTAACACGGTGAAACCCTGTCTCTACTAAAAATACAAAAAAAATTATCTGGGCGTGGTGGCGGGCGCCTGTAGTCCCAGCTACTTGAGAGGCTGAGGCAGGAGAATGACGTGAACCCAGGAGGTGGAGCTTGCAGTGAGCTGAGATCGCGTCACTGTACTCCAGCCTGGGCGACAGAGTAAGACTCCGTCTAAAAAAAAAAACGCAGAGGAGGAGCAAATTCTCTCTTTCTCTTCTTAGCTGGAGCATCCATCTTCTCCTGCCCTGGGGAATTGGAGCTCCTGGTTCTCGAGCTTTCTGACTTGGGGACTCATCACCCTTAGCCCCGCAGGTTCCCAGGCCTTCAGCTGAACGTTGGTCACTCCAATGGCTCCCCTGGTTCCCAGGCCTTCAGATTCAGCCTGAACGACACCATGGCTTTCCTAGTTTTCCAGCTTGCAGATGGCATAGGGTGGGCCTCTTTGGCCCCCTTAATTGGATGAGCCAATGCCTGTAATAAATCTCCTCTTATGTATCTGTATATATTCTACTGGTTTTGTTTTTCTGGAGAACCCCGACTAATAGAGTATGTACATACCACATTTTGTTTATCCACCCGTTCACCAACAGACACTCAGGCTGCTGCCTTCTGGCCATTGTGCATAACACTGCCATGAACATGGTGTAAAATGCCTCTTCAAGACCCTGCTTCCAACTCCTTTGGGTATATGCCCAGAAGTTGAATTGCTTGTTCATGCAGAATTTATTTTTAATTTTTTTTGTGTGGAACAGCCATACTATTTTCCATGGTGGTTGCATCATTTTACATGTCCATCAACAGTGCACAAGGGTTCCCATTTGTCCACATCCTTGCCAACATTTGTTATTTTCTGTTTTTCTTTTTTCTTGATGGTAGCCATCCTAATGAGTGTGAGATGGTGTGTGGACACTTCAAGTTTGCTCTTTCTAGGGCTTTTTCTGGAGTGGGCAAGGCTCCCTGATCCCTTCCTCTGAAAGTGGTGTTACTGTAAAGGTGGCATTTTCCTGCTGGTCATGGTGGCACGCGCCTGGAATCCCAGCTACTCGTGAGACTGAGGTGGAAGGATTGCTTGAGCTGAGGAGTTTGAGGCTGCAGTGCACTATGATTGCTCCTGGAAATAGTCACTGCACTGGAGCCTGGGTGACATAGTGAGACCTTGTCTCAAAACCAACCAACCAACCAACCAACCCACCCAGACATTTCCCCTTCTGCCCTCCCCTCAGAGCTCTGCCTAGAGAGCCTGCTGAGTGTGGGTACTTCTGGGTTGGTGTCTCCACCCTAGGAACCCACTTGAGAGTGACTTTATTTGGAACAATCTTCAGTCACAGGAATCTTCTGGGAAGTCACCAGACCATTGCTTTGAAGAGTACACAGCCTCAGACCCTCTGGGGACAGGAGCAAGGCAGGCTGATTTATTAACCACGCTGCGTCACCCTTTTGCCCTAGAGGTTAGATGGTCCCAGGAGCCCCCCTCGCCAAGACACTCCTCAGAGTGGGGGTAGGAGGGTGGGAAGTTCTAGATCCTCAGTCTGGCCTTCAAATATTCCATTACATTGCCGGGGACATGGCGCACCCACATTTATCCAAAGGACAGGGGTCTCCAGAAATGTCTGCCCGCAATATCCTTTGGTTACCTCCAAAACATTCTCTTGAAGTTGTTTAACTGCCATACATTGTTGTGGGCCGGCCTTTTATTCCCAGATTCACTTATTTAAAAAAAAAAAAAAACTCTCGAGCATCTCTGAAGAGAGAGGTTATATGGCAGATGCAAGTCAGCAGAAGGCAGAGAGCTGAGAATGGTGGGGAGAGAGACACAGGGCTCACGGTGTGACAAGCTTCTTGGTGAGTGGTCAAGTGCGTAATGGCCAGGTAGGCGGCTGGTGGGATGTGCTCAGGCAGACCAGCGTCTGAGTCCCAGGCTGGTCACTAATTTGCTCTGCGTCCTTGGGCAAGCTCCTTCCTTTCTCTGTGCCTCAGCTTCCTCATATACTAAATGAGGGTAGTGAGAGCTAGCTCAGAGCTGTTGGGAGGTTTAAATGAGTGGATGATGTAAATACAAGTGTCAGGAATAGTGTAGGTGCTCTTTAGTGTTCACCCACTGCTGTGGTTTGAGTGTGTCCAAAGTTCGTGTGTTGGAAACCTAATTCACAACACCAACAGTGTTTGGATGGGGGACCTTCAGGAGGTGATTAGGTCATGAGGGCTCTGCCATCATCAATGGATTAATAGTGTTACCTTAGGAGTGGGTTAATCATTGAGGGAGTGGTTTCTTGATTAATGGATAAGTTCAGTCCCCTTTCTCTATTGCTCCCTCCTGCTCTTTTGTCCTTCTACCTTCCCCCATGGGATGACACAGCAAGAAAGTCCTTGCCAGATGCAGTCTCCTTGACCTTGGACTTCCCAGCCTTCAGAGCTGTAAGAAATAATTTTTTTTGTTTTCTTTTTAAAATAAACCACCTGTATGTGGTATTCTGTTACAGGCTAAGATACTTTCTTTCTCCACTAGCCACTTGCTCAGTACAAGTTGAGAGAAGAGTGTTGTGAAGCCCAAGTTTAGGCAGAGAGGAGCAGGTTAGGGCAAGTGAGCAGGCAGGGTTTGTCTCTCACCCACCTGCATTTAGCCAACAGCTACCAGTGGCAGCCACTGGGCTGGTGGACATGTTCCCTGCCACGGAGAGAGGGGAGTGGTCCAGCTGCAAGGCTCTAGTTCTGGGATCTAGTCTTGGTGACGGAGGATCCTGGAACCATCTAACCTCTGGGGCAAGAGGGTGACGCCATGTGGTTAATAAATCAGCCTGCCTTGCTCCTGTCCCCAGAGGGTCTGAGGCTGTCTACTCTTCAAAGCAATGGTCTGGTGACATCCCAGAAGATTCCTGTGACTGAATATTATTCCAAATAAAGTCACTCCCTGGCAAAGGGATAAGTCCCTACCCAGGAGCTGCCCAAATTTTTTTTTGAAACGGAGTCTCACTCTGTCACCCAGGCTGCAGTGCAGTGGTGCGATCTTGGCTCACTGCAACCTCTGCTTCCCAGGTTCAAGTGATTCTCCTGCTTCAGCCTCCCAAGTAGCTGGGACTATAGGTGCCCGCCACCACACCCAGCTAATTTTTGTATTTTTAGTAGAGATGGGGTTTCCCCATGTTGGCCAGGCTGGTCTGGAACTCCTGACCTCAGGTGATGTGCCCACCTCGGCCTCCCAAAGTCCTGGGATTACAGGCGTGAGCCACTGTGCCCGACCTCCTGCCCAGATTTCTATTTTATTCTTGCACTCAGCTAACAGCCTGGCTGCCCAGAGGCAGGTACAACTTATTCAAGAGCAGGAGAATTCCAATTTTATTATTTAAAAAATCACATAATTAACTGAGTATTACAAGCTTTGAGATGTTTGTTGGTTAATAAAGATGAATGGGCTATTTGAGGTAATGGCTTTTAATTAAATGGAAGCTAATAACTTTGGTAAGTTTGTCCGAGTAGTAATCTTGGCTAACAGTTTGAAGTTTCGTACAATAATCTTGGCTAACAATTTGTAGCTTGCCTTGCACTGATTTCATAGCATTCATTGTTTACAACACGCAGAACACCCACTTTACAGATGGGAAAACGGAGGCTGAGGCTAAGGGCACAGGAAGGCTGTGGGGGGATTGCAGTCCACAGCAGCCCCGGGGGTCTCAAGGGCATATTCCTTTTAATCATGGCTTCCCACACAACATGCATCCCTAATTCTGTTCACCTGACCCCTGACTAAAGCTCAGCTTTAGGGCAGGAGATTTAAAATACAAACTCATTATATCTGCAGGTGTGGGCTGCAGGGAGGGCTTGGAGATGTAGAATCCTCCTTTGCTGCCATGTAGAGAGAGGAAAGACTGCATGCAGGCCCAGCTCTGCTACTCACGGCCTATACAACCCTGCACACTTTATCCCAGAGCTTAAATCTTTTCCCTTCTTGCAGCTCTTCTTCTGTTAAGGGACCTAGAGCAGGACATAATCATCTGTTCTTCTTATGGAGGGGCTAAGGAACAAGAAAAATGGTAAGGAGCAAAAAATGGGGCCAGGTCATTTGACAAGGAACCCTGGGAAATGCAAAAGTTGTATATTCTTTGCTGAGTTGGAGCATTAGTGACCTTTCTCTCTTTTCTTGTGAATTTACAGGAGTTGCAAAGGCCCAGCACCTCCCTGTGGCTTTTAAAACCAGGTATGTGGGCAATGCTCAGCAGAGACTGAGGACCATGGCCGGGGTGCCCTGCAGCCCTTTCATGCCGGGCAGCTGCAGCCTTTAATTTGGGGGCTATTGTGGTATTGTTGGTATTATTCAGGGTTTGGGCTTCAAGAGAACCTGTGATGATTTCTTTGTTATTTCACAGAAATTGGTCTGAACGGTTGGCATGTAATGCGGTGGCACTGGTTCTCCTGTGTTTGCCCAAAACCTTGCCAGGAGAACCAGGCAGTGGACGGGTGTGTGGTCAGTGTGGTGACCTGCAAACACCACTGTCCACACCTCATGCTCTTGCTCAAGAATTTTCCCAGGCTCCGTGCATGTGTAAATTTGCAAAAATAACAAAGCCAACCTTCATTGTTTGTTCTCTAAATAAGAAGAAGCTTCGTGGTTTGTGTTCGAGTGAAACAGCAAGGGAGAATTTTGATCCTGTGGAATCTGGCCAGACCTTACAGGGTTGAGGGGTCTCTGCACTCACATTTGCCGTGTTCCTGTCCCTCTGCCTCTCACCTTTGAATGCCTCCCTGGGGCAGATGCTCCCGGCTCCTACTCCTCGGATCCTTTGTGTAATTTCTCACAAATTTCTAGAGCTCACATGGACCTTCCTTTCATAGTCCAGGAACACACAGGGTTGATCCTCGAGGCCTGTGCCTCTCTCCGGGCACCCGTAACACCCTGCTCCATGTTTGCTTCACCTTGGAGTAATCACCTTGCACTCACCCCATTGTCTTTGGGGGCTTATGTTTTGTGGGTGATAGAGTGCATCATCTATGAGGTAAAATCTTTTATGTGTGTTTGCTTATTCCGGGATGCACTGGTGGCCAGGCTGTGCTCATTCTGGCTCACTGAGGGTGTGTTATCATCCTGCCATGGACCACCCTCTTCTAGAAGGAACAGAACATCAGGGTCTCCCTCCCAGCCCCCTGTTCCAGGTAACCACAGCGTACTGCAGGAACAAAGGTGTAGACTGAAAGTAAGTTAAAGGACAGGGCTGAGGCCTATAGACTGATTTTTCGGAGTAAGGAGGTGGGCCCTTTTGAAAATATTGAGATATAATTTATATAAGATAAAATTTACGGCTGGGCTAGGTGGCTCACACCTGTATTTCTAGCACTTTGGGAGGTCGAGGTGGGTGGATCACCTGAGGTCGGGAGTTTGAGACCAGCCCCACACAAAACCCTGTCTCTATTAAAAATACAAAAATTAGCCGGGCGTGGTGGCACGTGCCTGTAATCCCAGCTACTTGGGAGGCTGAGGCAGGAGAATTGCTTGAAGCCGGGAGGCAGAGGTTGCAGTGAGCCGAGATAGCGCCATTGCACTCCAGCCTGGGTGACAAGTGCGAGCGAAACTGCGTCTCCAAAAAAAAAAAAAAAAAAAAAAAAAAGATAAAATTTACCTATTTTAAGTGCACACAATGAATTTTGGTAACTGTATGCATTTGTATAACCACCCGACAATGAGATACAGAACACTTCATCACCCCCAATAGTTCCCTCAAGCCTCTTTGCAGTTTCTCCCCTCCCTTTGGCCTCAGCAACCAGTCTGTGAGTCTAGTTTTGCCTTTCTAGTCTTTCATGTTAATGGAATCAAGAAGTGTGTACTCTTTTATGTCTGGCTTCTTGCATTCAGCATATTTTGGAGCCTTGTCCGTGTCACTGTGTGATTTCTCTTTATTACTGAGTAGTAATGCATTGTACAGAGGTAGCACAATTTGGTTTTTCATTTACCAGTTGGTGAATATTCGAGTTGTTTCCAGTTTTGGGCAATTAGGAATAAAGTTGCTATAAACATTAATGTACAGGACTTTGTGGGGAGTTCTATTTTCATTTCTCTTTGGTTCATATTCAGGAGTGGGTTTGCTAGGTCACAGGATAGACATATGTTAAAACTTTGTAAGATACTGCAAAACTGTTTTCCAAGGTGGCTATACCATTTGTATTCAAAATCAACACTTTTAGCCTAGAGCATATAACTGGCCTTCCTGAAATCCATGGATATCTATCTGTGCAATGGTTTTAGAGACATTTTATTGCCTCCCACATGTAATTAAGTTACTTGGCTTTTAGGCAAAAGATGATACCATGTCTATGGATGAGATGACTCTAGTTTTGAACTCTGGGTTTTGCAGAAGAGTTTGCATTATCCTCCTCCTGAGGAAAGCAGATACATCCGCCACGATGCATGTGAGTCAGGTCTTCTGCGTGTCCTCTGAATCAGGTTCGCATGTGTGCCTCTAATGGCAGTTTCGAGTTCATCCTGTGTTGAGATAATGCCTGAAGGCGAGAGGAAAAAATATCTGTGGTTGTCAAATCGGGTGGAAAGTGATTAATCATGGAGACATTTACGGCATGCTGAACTGTTTCGTTTCCTGACCTTTGTCCCACGTGCGTTAGGGGCAGGCGGGGTCAAGTTTAAATCCAAGATGACAAGTGTCTGAGGCTAAGGAAGGTTTCTGCTGAATACTTGGCTTAGAGTCAATGGCTCCATGTTTCACACCTGGTGAAAACCGACTCGCAATTGAAAGAAACAGCATGGGAGTGTCAAACACTTGCTGACTTGGCCTTGGGCTAGAGCTTCTTGCGAGGGTTTTAGAACTGACACACCCTTTGGATGTGCTGGGGGCATCTGGTTTTTGGTGCCTGAGTCACAAATCCTGGAATACATTTGCCCACAGTGTTTCCATACCATTGGAAGTGCATTATGGCTGCTTCTCTTAGAGTCCTTTAACCTCTTCCTCAAGAGCCAGCTTTGTCAACTTGATGTATCTCATGGCAGGCATGGACTCATGCCTGTGTGTCCCATTGTATCCCCAGATCATGGGATTTGTGGGATTCAGCCAGTGTCATTTACTAATCACTAGGTCCAGGGCCAAGTTTAGGTGAGGTTCACTCCATCTAAGCTGTGTTTTGGGGGAGGGAGGGTCTCTATTTTTTCATTTAGAGAAGTGACTAGACACTAGAAAATGTCACAGAGTAAACGTATGGACTACAGCTTGTTTTCTGAAAAGGTTTAGGGATCCCGTGTTAGTATTGAAAGACCCTTTGAGGCCTCATCCCCTCCACCCAGTGGGCACACAGGCCTCTGACCTTCAGCGCCAAGTCTCCCTTGAGGTCAGCTTCTCTTCATCTTTCACTTCTTTTCTCTTCCTTTCACCCCTGCTGGTTGCAGCGACAAGGTCCCTGCCAACTGCGGTGTGCACACTGGCGGGCCTTCACCTCCCTTAAAATCCAGCTCTCGAAATGTCTGCAAGGGAGCAGCCTGCAATATTACCTAATTTGTCTTTAATCTGGTATTCCTAGAATAATCCAGAGAATAGAGTGGCCTACTGTACACACTGGATTACTCAATAAAGAACATGATGGGAAACGGCAGTATTTTTCTGTTTTAAAATAAGTAGGTTTGGAGGGAGCTGGGAAACTGCGGGCTTTAGTTACAAAATGACTATAATTGTGGGAGACGTATTTTCTTTGAATGTTGAAACACATTGGACAGGATATACAATTTAGAAATAATTTACAGTTAGAGAAAGGCCCTTTCATCTGAGAGGGGGCACATCTTCTGATTGGAAAGGATGGTCCCAGGGGATGAGGGATCGGGCCCCAGGTGAGCTTCATCTTTTTCTCTTCCAACTTCAGTGTGGCCAAACAGAGCGGAAAGTCATCACGTAGAAGGACAAAGTCTGTGTTTTTTTGTTTTTGTTTTTGTTTTCTCTCATGAGAGAAGCAGGCAAGTGCTGCCTGAGAAGGTGAAGGCTCACCTGTGGCAGGCTTGCTTCAAGCTGGCTGCAGACTGAAGGCCACCCAGAGGCTTTGGTCACCAAGGGTGGCATGATGGGTGGCCTTCTCCTTGCTCATGCAGCTCTCACCAGCAAATTTCTACTGAATGCCCACTCTGTGCAGGGTACTGTGCCAAGCACGAGGGATGCCAGGACCCGGAAGAAAGAACTCTGTTAGAGAACCACAGCTGATAGCTGCCAGTCAGCAGTAAAGGTTCAAAGCTTGGCCTGGCCAAGGAGCTATCACGGAGGGCTCTGTGGACCAGGGTCTTGTAGTGGGAGTGTGTCAGCAGAGTGGAGGGGTTGGAGGAGTGAGCCCAGGTATGCAGGGGTATGGATGGGCCGAGAGCCTTGGGCCTGGCCTGGCTGAAGGCTGTCCTGTTGAGGCACTGGCAAGTGGGCTTGGGAGGCAGACGGATGACCAGACACGGCCCCACAGAGATCAGCCCAAAGCGCTTGGACCCAGGGCATCTGGGATGGTTCTTGAGGTGAGCGCATGAAGCCTTGTTTTAGACACATACACTAGAGGACTCCAGCCTCCCTGCAAGCCCTCCTCCTCTCTCTCTCCTCACTGTTGAGGCGAGTGCTGTGTCTGCCTTAGATTCCTTCTGCAGGCTTCTGTCTGCCTGCCAGCAGATGCCTCTATGTCTGTCAGCCCTCAGAATGTCAGGCACATGCACTACCCACTGTGTGTGTGGGGTGTGTGTGTGTGTGAACATGTCAGATACCCACACAGGCTCTCCACTGTTCAGTGTGTCTCCAGTCTGGGACCTGGGGGTGGAAATAGTCACCGTCTACATCCATCTTCTTCTGCTTCTCTCTTAGGCATTTCCAATTCAACATACACCAGCCTGAACTCTTTATCCACATCCCTTTCCAGCATGCTCTTCCTCCAGCCCCTACTGACCCCATCACAGGAAAAAGCCATTCTGTTCTTCCAGTTACTCAGGGCGACAGCCTCGGAGTCATCATCGATGTCTTTTTCCTCTCACACCTGACACCTGACCTGTGGCCATCCTGTTGACTCTCCCCTTGAAATACATCCAGAATCCAGCCCCTTGTCCCCACTCCAGCACTCACAGTCACATTGCACCTGGTCTGGACCCCAGCAAGTGCTGCCCTGTGGGACTCCCTGCTTCTCCCCTTGCTCCACACTGTCTATTCTCTGTAGCCTTTAAGAACAACTCAGGTCATTTCACTGTCCTGCTCAAAACCATCAAATCGTTTCCCGTTTCCTTCAGAATGACATTCACAGTCCTTTCCGTCACAGCTCTGCGTGGCCTGTGGTGCCTCTGTATCCTCATCTCTGACTTAGTTTACTCCACCCCATTCTCCTCCTTCACCAGACTCCCAGGCACTCCTTCACGAGCAGCATGCACCTGCCCCAGAGCCTTGGCACCAGCTGCTTTCCCTACCCAGAACACTCTCCTTCCCACATCTTCACAGCCAGCTGTTTCATTCCCTCCAAGTCCCTTATCAGAGAGGCTTTTTCAGTCACTTTGAGTAAAACAGAAACCTACCTTTTCATCATTCTTGACCCCTTAACTAAACTTGCTTGAGTTTTTGTTGTTGTTGTTTGCTCGTTTTTTACTTATTACCACTTGACATCACTTTTGTGGGAATCCCCTTGCTTTTATGGAAATATGTAAGAGTAAAGAACTTCATCTTATTTTCCGATTATCCCCAGGTCCTAGAACAGTGCTGGCATTTGGAAGCTGTTCAGTATTTGCTGAATAAATGAAATGAATTATGCTGTGATTCACTGTGTGTTTGGAGGTGTTTGGAGGGACTGGCATGGGAGGATTGGATTCTACGGTGGTAATAGTGACATGGCATGATGAAGGCATGGAGTAGAGGGGCGGCCACAGAAATGCAAAGGAAGGATGACTGAGGGAGAGGCCTCTAGCTCGGTTGTTGCAGGACAGGGATGCTTGACTGGCAGTGCCTTGGATGACTCGTTATAAGAGCTGTACTCCAGACTCAGGATATGCTTTAACCATAGGTTTTCAGATTTCTCCTGGGGTCCAGTCAACTCCCATGCCAGTCCCTTGTTCCATGATCCCAGGCCCTGCTCCAATTCCTTAACTCTTATTCTGTAACCGTAACCCAAATGGCTAAGCCTGAGGTTGCAGGCTGACCTTTAGAGAAAAAGTTGAACTTTCTCTTTAAAGCTAAGTGGGAAAAAAACAATGACGGATAAAATGTAAAGATGTACAAAGGTACCAGTTTGTACCTGGGTGTTTGAATTTCTTTACATTTTGCTGTCAGTTGTACATGGCCATTTGAAATGAGTAATTTAATATTCTGCTGATTTTTAAATACATAGATCATTTTCATGGCACTACATAGTAAATCTGTGCTTTGCTTGTCTGCTATCTGTGTGTTTAGGTTCACACCAGTTCTGGTCGTGAAGCTATAGCTCAGGCATTATCATGGACTTCCTAGAAGCTGCCTTGCCAGCAAGGAGCCTAAGAGGTGTTCAGAAAAATTATCCAAAACTTGGAAATAAGGAAAGAGGATGACTCTATGTCCTTTAAAGTCCAGATCAGAGCATTGTCTATTAGATCCACTCAAGGATTATTTAAATCTCAAGGAGAATGTAACTTTGCTTCACATACTGTTTACTAGTAACTGGCTGCCTGTCAACTTGTGGGAGATAAGCTGGATACAATTTTGTCCAGTACAGATGCAAATGATTCCCTTCCCTTCCCTTCCCTTCCCTTCCCTTCCCTTCCCTTCCCTTCCCTTCCCTTCCCTTCCCTTCCCTTCCCTTCCCTCCCCTCCCCTCCCCTCCCCTCCCCTTCCCCTCCCTCCCTCCCTCATTCTCTCTTTCTTTTCTTTTCTCTCTTTCTTTCTTTCTTTCTTCTTTCTTTCTTTCCTTCCTTCCTTCCTTCCTTCCTTCTTTCTTTCTTTCTTTCTTTCTTTCTTTCTTTCTTTCTTTCTTCTTTCTTTCTTTCCTTCCTTTCTTTCTTTCTTTCTTTCTTTCTTTCTTTCTTTCTTTCTTTCTTTCTTTCTTTCTTCTTTCCTTCCTTCCTTCCTTCCTTCCTTCTTTCTTTCTTTCTTTCTTTCTTTCTTTCTTTCTTTCTTTCTTTCTTTCTGTCTTTCTTTCTGTCTGTCTGTCTCTCTGTCTCTCTCTCTCTCTCTCTCATTCTGTCTCTGTCTCATTCTGTCTCTGTCTCTCTCTCTCTCTCATTCTGTCACCCAGGCTAGAGTGCAGTGGCATGATCTCAGCTCATTGCAACCTCTGCCTTCCGGGTTCAAGTGATTCTCCTGCCTCAGCCTCCCAAGTAGCTGGGACCACTGGTGTGCACCACCACGCCTGGCTAATTTTTGTATTTTTAGTAGAGGTGGGGTTCTGTTATGTTGCCCAGGTTGGTCTTGAATTCCTGAGTTCAAGCAATCCACCCACTTTGGCCTCCCAAAGTGCTGGGATTATAGACATGAGCCACCGCATCCAGCCAGCTCTTTTATGTTTAAATCGGCCAAGCGTGATCGATTTCCTTCAGGTTCAAAAGATTACCCAAACATTACAGTTGTATTGTGCCATAGAACATTAACCAGTTTTGTATGTAACTTAGCAAACTTTTTTCAGCATTCTTTCTGACATACGATACATCTGTGTTCCTCAAATGCTTTGAGAATCAGCTTTTCCATCCTATGGGTTCCCTCAGTAATGAGTTAAAGAATTGTGCTTGCTACCTGTATGAGGGTATGAGAGCCAAGTTCCTAATATTTTGAAAATGATGTTTTGATGGAGGAGATAAAAAGTCTCCTGTGTTAGCTATATAAACCCAAACCTACAAAATGATGTCAAGTACCATAGAATGTATACAAAAGACATAACCTACTCCTCCCACCAATTTCTATTTTATTAGCATGCATTTCTCAGGAAAGACTGTTCAAAAGGTAAGGAGAGAATACCATTCTACCATTCTGCCAATTCAAGTTAGACCAGCTATTTCTCTTTGCTTATTCACTTCCTGTTTTCTCTTAATAAATTTATTTAAAGACAATTTATTAGAGAAAAAGTTGTCTTACAAATGCGAATTGTAAGTTGTCTTACTGATGTGATCCAGCAATCCGTCCTGGCCGGCACCCTGCCAGGTCTGTAATTAAGACTGGGGGTTTGCTCTGCAAGGACACATTCTCCACCTTTGTCTGGGGGGCTCTGTACTCAGTCTTGCGGTTTGTCTGTGGAGCTGAGGTGCTGGTTGGGAATCAGGAGACGTCAGTTCCGGTCTCAGCAAAGCTGCTGCGAGGTGCGGGGCAGAGGCCTGGTTTACCTGGTATACCACATGCCCTTGACTTCCCTGTGGTAGGTGCCCCTGATTCCGCTCCAGCTCTTGCTTTGCATGTAATTTACACTGAGGTTGCAAACAACTGCTTATTCCTGTGGGACTTAGTTTTTTCCTTAGGGCCAATCTGAAAAACTTACCTCCTTAGTTACATCCTACGGATTTGCAGACAAATAGGGGAAAGAAATGGAAGAAATAAGGGAAAATGTTATCCAAAGTTGGAAATAATAGAAGATTACTCTATGTGCTTTCGATGTCATACTAGAAGAAGCCGCTTTAAGTAGCACCATTATTCTGAATGGAGAAATCTGTGGTTGCTTTAGTCATGGAGACTACATCACAACTAGGGTTTTCCTTTTATTTTTGAGATGTGTGTGATGGGGGAGGATAGGGGTACAGCATTCTAGAAATGGCCTCATTTTGCATTTCCTTAGGTCCAAAGTTAAAATAACTTTCTGTTCTAAGAAGCTTTAAAAGTGGTTCATGGACCAGGCACGGTGGCTCACGCCTGTAATCCCAGCACTTTGGGAGGCTGAGGTGGGCGTATCACCTGAGGTCCAGAGATTGAGACCATCCTGGCCAACATGGTGAAACCCCATCTCTACTAAAAATACAAAAAAATTTGCTGGGCATGGTGGCGTGTGCCTGTAGTCCCTGCTACTTGGGAGGCTGAGGCAGGAGAATTGTTTCAACCCAGGAGGCAGAGGTTGTAGTGAGCCAAGATCCTGCCACTTCACTCCAGCCTGGTGACAGAACTAGACTCAGTCTCAAAATAAAGTGGTTCATTTCTTTCTAAAATCATTAATTGAACATTAAAAAACATTGGTAAGAAAAATTGAACCAAGAAGGTTTTGGGTTATACTGTAGGTCAGTGAGCTTTAAGTTTCTGTGTCTCTGAAGCTACATGGCTGGACGATAGCTGAAGTCAGTGCCCCGAGTGAAGCCTGAAGAGGAGCTGATGGATTTTTCTGGTGGGGAAGGCCTGTGACTGCACTCAGAGAGAGCTGGGCCAGGCGGGGTGAGGCACGGTCACTCTGAGTTCACAGACCCACTCTGATCCTTGAATGGGTCTGTCCTGAAATAATGGGGAATCCTGGAACATGCTGCTTTGTGTAGACGCCTTTCTCCTTTGCAACTTTTAAAGGTATTTGTCCCCTGGGTTTCATTTGAAATGCTTTTTTCTTCTTCTTCTTTTTTTTTTTTGCCAGATGCTTTCACTAGGAGCAGTATCCAGAAAGCTATGTTTCTAACCTACCTTGTTGTTTGCCTCTTGGGCAAATGGGTTTGTTTACCTTATTGACTCAGTTCAGTGGAAAATATTACCCTGATTGGGATGGAGATGGGGCTGCTGTTCTGAAATAACTACGCAAGTTTACCTGTTCAGGTGGGACACAGCTTCTTGTGTTAGTCACGGATGAATTTTGAAAATTTATACATAGTGCAATAAATGCTGGTTTCTTTCCCCTTCCTCACTCCTTCCTGGGGCCTATATGTGTGTATCTCTAACACACATACACACACACGCAGGCACACACACACTCATACACATGCACACTCACACACAAGAGGATACGTTGCATATACAGCTCAATGCTACAAAGAAGCCCTTTTACCAGAAGAGCACACGGGAACTCCGCTGAAGTTTGACAGGGTGATTGTCTTGTGGCTACTCTACCCTGAGGCCAGAGCACAGTGAGGGCCTCCCTCCTGCCCCCAGCCACACCAAAGAGGGGGCAGGGGTTCACAGGGAGCAAAAGAGGAGCTTTTTGCCATCACCATGAGACGGTGACCACAGGGGCCTGGCTCGAAGGTGAGGGTGGGGCTGGTGACTGGTGCCTGTGGATTCCAGAGTGGTTGGCCTACACAGCCTACTGAGAGGTAGAGCACGGTCCTTTGCGTCCCTGTGGACTCCGAGTGCCTGCCATGGTTTGGAAGGTCCACTGAAGGCTGAGTGCTCAGCGGCGTTGCCAGCCAGCTGGATGCATGTAAACAGCATTGTGAATGGAGAACATTCTTTCACCTTATTCTTGCACATTCTTCTCCCCTACTTAGCTTCTTATCCTTCCTATCTACTCATCTAGCTAGCAATCCCTAAAATTAAATCATTTATAAATGAGTCCGATGAGGGTCTTTTTTTGAAAACTGGATTTAGTGAATAAGGCAGACCCCTGTTTTTGGATAGGGCTTTGCCTCTTGTTATTAAGGAGGAATAACTTGTTCCCAACTTGGTTGGTGACCCCAGCTGAGGAGGAACAAGTGGCAGATGAGTCCCAGGGAAGACCCCTAGGGGGAATGGCTGGAGGTAGCTGTATCAGGGATGAAAAGGGTGGGGGTGGTGATGAGGGGAACGCAGCCCTTCATGCAAAGAAGTGGGTGTTTGAAATCAGTGGGTGACTATTTTTTTGGCAATGTGGGCTCCTTAGGTCATACACAGTGGCCTTAGAAAGCCAGCCCTGCCTCTCTTCCCTCAACTGATGGTGGATTTGTGTAATGAGATCACCGTCTTCTTGAAAAACACTTCCAGGGTAGCTCATTACAAAGCCTCGCACAGTGTTCGGAGCAGGGCGAGCTGCAAGGCCCCGGGCTTTCCATTCTGAAAGAGCTGTGGGTGTCGGGGTGGCTGCCAGCTGTGAGAGCTCCGTGGGTGGGGACTCTGTCCCTCAAAGCCACGCACTCAGGCTTGCCCATTCTAGTGTCTCTGTGGGAGACAATCAATGTAATTTACTCTATTAATGGAATGAAGGATTACAATAATAAAATCTTTTTCAAGGAATGCAAAAAAGCATTTATCAAAATTCAATATCCATTCATGGTAAAAACTCTCAGCAAACTAGGAACAGTAGGAAACTTCCTTAAAATAATAAAGGCATTTACAAAATTCCTGCAGGTTGCATCATGCTTAATGGTGAAAGCCTGAACTATCTCCTAAACCCATTTACTCCTCCTCAGGGAAGACTTCCCTGACCCCATGTTTAAGTCAAACACTCATTATACATTCCCTTAGGACCAGCCTCTCATCCAAAGAAGTGATCATAAATGCAATTTAAAATGTATTTGTGGTTGGGCGCGGTGGCTCATGCCTGTAACCCAGCACTTTGGGAGGCCGAGGCAGGTGGATTTCTTGAGGTCAGGAGTTCAAGACCAGCCTGGACAACATGGTGAAACCCCATCTCTACTAAAAATACAAAAATCAGTTGGGTATAGTGGTGCGTGCCTGTAATCTCAGCTACCTGGGAGGCCAAGGTGGAAGGATCACTTGAGTCTGGGAGGTGGAGGCTGCAGTTAGCCAAGATCGTCCCACTGCACTCCAGCCTGGGTGACAGAGTGAGACTTCGTCTAAAAAAAAAAATTATTTCTGCCACTATTTGCTTAATGTTTGTTTTCTGGTGTAGGCATTCAGCTCTGTGAATAAAAGCATTCTGCTGATTTCTGCTGCCCTGTATCCAGACGGAAGGAATGGGTGAGTGAATGACAGGCACCTGTTCTGTTTACAGTCAGTAAAGTAAACACAACACTACACGTATGAACTCCACCGGAAAGATGAACACTTATGGTATATTTGGTGCCACTGTCCCAGGGAGAGTAGAAGTACAGGGTTTTGTTCTTCTGACTTGAGAAATTTTTGTGCTAGAAGGGCCACTGAGGGTCATCCAGGCCTATCACTGCCCACCCCAAATTTATAGGTGAGGTCACTAGGGCCTGAGATCTGAAGCATGCATGACATCCCGAATGAACTACAAATCCTAGGTCAGAGTTAACAGTAGTGGTAACTGCACAGGATGAGTTGGTGCAGGGTGACAAGCTCATGCGTGGTAGCTATTTTGAATCAATACCCCGTAACTAACCTCTGCTGTTTGAAACACCTGGCAGAGTGCTGCAACTCACCCTTGGGCAAAGCCCCACTCTCTGAGGCTGTGGTGGGGTTCAGGGAATACTACCCCAAAATATGGCAGATTGGCATTGGAGAAAACGGCAGAAGCAGGAAGGCCTCTCTCACCTTCTCCTTGCCCTTCTTTTCCTGAAGCAGGCCATGAAACCAAGCTGACTTTCTCCTGGAGCAAGGCATAAGGTCCTTGTGTGAGAGGTGCCCACTCTTTACCTGGAGGGGAGGAACATCTTTATCTCTGAAGACACAGGGACGCAGAAGAAAAGCTGAACAAACAGGCCTTGCTGAGTTCCCCCTTGTATATAACTAATTAGATCATACTCCCTTTGTCCAATCACACTTCTCCACTACTGTCGACTTCTCCATCAAACTTACAATAAAAACACACAGGTGTCCCTATTCCCTATTTCTTTATCTTTTTCTTTCTTTCTTTCTTTCTTTTTTTTTTTTTAAGATGGAGTCTTGTTCTGTCACCCAGGCTGGAGTGCAATGGCGTGATCTTGGCTCGCTGCAACCTCTGCCTTCTGGGCTCCAGCAATTCTCCCACCATAGCCTCCCGAGTAGCTGGGATTACAGGTGCCCGCCATCATACCCGGCTAATTTTTAAATTTTTGTAGAGACGGTGTTTCACCATGTTGGCCAGGCTGGTCTCAAATTCCTGACCTCACGTGATCCACCTGCCTCAGTCTCCTAAAGTGCTGGGATTGCATGCATGAGCCACTGTGCCCAGCCTCTTTGGATCTTTTTTCCTGAGGTGTCTTATGTTACATAAAATTTAAATTAAATAAGTTTGATGTTTCTCTTGTTAATCTGTATTTTGCCATAGGTGCCTCAGCTATGACCCTCGTAATGGGTGAGGAAAAAACACATTTTCTTCCCTGCAGCTGCTTGGCCACCTGCCTTTTGCTTGGATTGGCAGAAATCTGGCTTAATCTGGCTTCTCCAGTCCTCCATCACCTGGCCAGGAGGTAGCCCTTGGTCTAACCCCTTCTCATGTTTGGAAGCAGACTTTCCCTTTCTTTCTAAGGACTGGTAGGCAGCTCCTCATGGATGGAGTGATAACTCCAGAATGTCTTCGTGTGATGGCTGTTGGAGTGGGAAGTGGGCTGGGAGGCTGTGCTGGCATAGACTTTGTGTAGGATTGAGAAGACAATAACTGCCAGTGTGAAGATCAGGCGGGAGTTGGGAAGACAGCTGAGAGTGGCCAAGGGGAAGCCAGAGCCTCTTCAAGTCATCTCTAGATGGGTGTGAAAGGGAGAGAAGAGGCCAAGAAACCATGAGATTAAAAGGTGGAGGTGGGGGCATAGAGATCCCAGCTGCTCTAGGGGACCCTCCCAGGCAAGTGCTGTGTGTGTATGCTCCTCCACTGTTCCTTCTGCAATGCATTCCATCTGGCTGCTAGATACGGTAAAGGGAATGAAAGGTGGGAAAGGCAAAGGGTGCATTTAATCCACTCTTCAGCTGTGAATTCTCTAGAGGAGAGCTAGTCCTTGTGTTTGTTGATGCAGCTGCCTCTCTCCTGAGACCTGTAAAATGACTTTTTTTTTTAAAGGTAAAATCATGACTCTTACACAAATGTAAAATGAACACATGTCAAAGATTTTATTTAGTTCATTAATTAATGAGGGAACCAGTAAGATGCTACAACCAGCCCAAAGGAGAATTAAAAATGCCACGCATAGCTAGGACAATAGGAATGCTGACATAGAATTTACAAATAGATGCAAAATTGATGATAGCCACTGGACAGTCTGTCCACATGTCCATGGACAAGGATAGTTGGCATTCCATGGGTCTTTTACAACTTGCAAACCGAGGAAAGTTTAGGTCCTCCTTTTTCCTTGCTGACCTTTCATGGGTCAGCCCTCATCTGGACATCAACACTCCTGAGACATGTGGTCACTGCAATAATTGACTGAAATCAGTAAAGACACAATTTCTCCCTCTGCTGCTCCGTGTTCCTGTCTAGAGAGTTGTTTTCCTCTCCAAGTAAAAGTTGTTAAAGAGCTTAAAGACAATGAAGGGCAGAGAGAGCCAGGATGTGAAGACTTTTCTGCTGTACTGTCTTTCACAGATCCATGTTGCAGCTGGGAGCACGGGGAAACCTGGACACGCACTTCACCAAAATGAGACAACTGTGGCAGGAGACAGGCTAAGGCGAGTGGGGACAAATCAATGTGCTGGATGCCCTGGTGTACCTGTGACGAAGAAGCAGGAGCTGGGAAGAGAGAGGAAAAGGAAATAGACAAGTGAATAAATAAATAAGAGTTCAGAAACCCCGTCTCCACCAAAAATACAAGAAATTAGGTGGGCATGGTGCTGGCGCCTGTAGTCCCAGCTATTCGGGAGGCTGAGGCAGGAGAATGACGTGAACCCAGGAGGTGGAGCTTGCAGTGAGCCGAGATTGTGCCACTGCACTCCAGCCTGGGTGACAGAGCAAGACTCCATCTCAAAAAAAAGAGTTCAAAGGAAGTGTAGAAGAGTTGAGAGAAGAACTCTATTTGCACATTCACTCTTCAGTTCATTTCCTCATTCATTTTCTGAACAGTGAATCTGGCTCTGTGCTGGATCCTGGAGCATAAAGACTAAATTAGCTGCACAAAGACCCTGATCACTAACATCCTAGTGGGAAAGACACACTGTGTATTAAGCTGAGTAATCACCACCTTCCCACCATGTCTGTATCCTGATCCCTGGAACATGTGAATATTATCGTATATGGCAAAATGGACTTTGTAGATGTGATTAAGTTCAGGATCTTGAGTTGGAGAGATTACTCTGCATTGGCCTAATGTAATCACAGGGGTTTTCATAAGGAGGAGGCAGGTGATCAGCATAGGAGAAGGCAATGTGATTATGGAAGTAAATGTGGGAGTGATGCAGCTACAAACTGAGGAAAGCTGGCAGCTCTGGAAACTGGAAGAGGCAAGGGACAGATTCTCTGCTGGAGCCTTCCAAAGGAGCCAACCCTCTGACACCTTGCTTTCAGCCTTGAAAGACACATTTTGGACTTCTGACCACCAGGACTGTAAGAGAATAGATTTGTGTTGTTTGAAGCCACTGAGTTTGTGGTAATTGCTATAGGAGTCATAGGAAACTAACATATATGCTGAACAATTGCATGGTCGCATGATTGCAATGTAGAGTGTTTTGAGGAAGGAAATTAAGGCAGCTGGGGAGCTGATGACAGGTGTCCTGGAGGAGGAGGTTTCCTGTGGAGAGCTGAGGGCTTTGAAGGAGGCCACCCATGGTGGTGGATTGGGGACGTGGCAGTTTCAAAGCATACACCATGTGAAGGAAGGACCCTGCAGAAGTCCCAAATCAATGTTTTCTTGCTTATCCCTGGTGGATGATGGAGGCTGGTGGCAGGGGCATTAATGTGTGGCCATGGTGGTCTGTGTGATACGGTGAAAATGCAAAGGAGATGAACTCCCAAGACTTTTGGGAGACATTTATAGGAAGATGGGTGCTAAATAAATCCAAGGCAGTCTTTTCAGACAGAGGGCTTGATACCACTAATTAGGCAGCTTGGATGAGTGGCACCATGGAACTGGCTGGTGGTTTTCTTGTGAAAATAGACACAAACTCCCTTCTCTCCATGTTCTTAGAAGATGTGAATTTAGAGGTCTCCACATTGCCTGACAAAGTCTGTTTTAACTGGGTAAAATAAAAAAAAAATTACCATTGTATTGCTCCTGAACCTTGCTTAAAATTCCCTTTAAAGATCTACAAAGGGTTTTGCTCATTTGTACAATCTTAAAGGTCACAAAATTAGAAGCTTAGCAGCCACATGCCAACTGCACACAGCATTTGAAATCTTTGACACAGACCGTTCCAGAAGTCACAACTGGCAAAGCTGCACTTCTTGTGACACTCAGTAGCCTGCACACCCATCTCCTGGCTTGTAAGCATATGCCTTTTTGTCCAGCCAGCTGAGGTACTTGGTTCCTGATTGTTTTCTTGTTTGTTTTTTAATGCTCAGATATTCTCATGTGGTGAATATTTGTGAGCCAAATTACTTGGCAGGAGCGTTTGATGCCATGGCCAAATGGGGAGCCCAGAGTCAGCATCTTTTTAAAGCTAACTCTTACTTGCCAGCTCCTCTTTCTGCCCACATACTCGCCCCGTACCAGGCCCAGTGGCTGTTGCACAGACAAACACCAAGCAGTCCTGCAAACCCCATTTGCTTCCTTCTGGGCTTGATGCTGCCTGGGAGTGGGCTTCTCCCTGGGTGGTATGTAGGAGTTTTCCTTACATTTTCATTTCTTATCAGCTTACCATTTGCAACTGATGCAGGACAGGCAAGACCCCAAACTGGGGCTTAGCCCAGGAGGATTCTTGGCTTTGCCCAGGAGAGAATTCAAGCACAAGTGGTGGTGTTAGACAGCAACTTTTATTGAGGCAGCAGCAGCTGTACTGCTCCCTGTGGAGCAGGGCTACCCCACAGGCAGTGTGCCCAGAGTAGCAGCTCAGGGACAGTTCAGCAGTCATATTTGTACCCACTTTTAATTACATGCAAGTTAAAAGGCAGTTGATGCAGGCATTTCTAGGAAAAAGGTGGTAACTTCCGGGTCATTGGGTTACTGCCATAGAAAGGGGTGGTAACTCTCAGGTGTTGCCACGGCGATGGTAAACTGACATGGCACACTGGTGGGCATGTCTTATGGAAAGCTACTTCTGCCCTGGCCCTGTTTCAGCTAGCTCTCAATTTGGTCCAGTGTCTGAGCCCAGCCTCTGGAGTTGAGTCCCGCCCCCTACCTCACTATCTTGGTTCTATTTGGAGATGCCCTGAAAGGCTGTGTCCAGTCCCACAGTGAGTGAGGAATCTATGCTGAGGTTCCTTTGGAGGTGAATTTTGAATGACGTATAACCCAGTACAGAGGAAAAGTCCAGAACTGAGGGATGCAGGCTAATATTAAAGACTCATAGTTTTGGGGGCTGTCTGTCCAAAGGCTCATGCATGGGCAGAAAGAGTTCACCTGACCTGTGCTGTGGGAAGTTTGCTGTAAACATTCTGATAAACATTTAACTTTAGTCCCTTTCAGTACCAGTGCCATGCCCTGCAGTGTTCACTAAGCGCCCACAGGCATCTGCTCTCTGTGACCTGCTCATATGACGAGCTAAAGTCGAGCATGCTTCATTCACAGCCAGGCCTCCTCCTTCTTTGTTGGCCTGAGTGTGTTGCTGACCATTCATGGGTCAGCCCCGACCTGGACATCAACACTCCTGAGAAATGTGGCAACTGCAATAATTGACTGAAATCAGTCTCTCCCTGTTTGCTGGTCCATGTTCTTGTCTAGAGAGTTGTTTTCTTCTCCAAGAATAAGAAGGTGGAATCGATTTTTCCACCTTTTGTTCCCCTCACCCCAGTGATGATGAGGCACCAGGAGGGAATTTTCTGACTTTCTGCAGGCATTTATGTTCTGCTTCACATCATCATATTTATTCCTTTAATGTAGGAGAACCTTAAATGAAGCTTGTTGGAAATAGGCCATCCTCCATAACCTGGGTTTGTTGGAGCCCATGTATAGAAATGATTTCTTGGCAACTCTAGTTCTCTTGAGCATGTGTGCTATGGTTAAAGAGGCAGAAGGGCACAAGAATTTTAGCACCCTGAGGACTGAAAACCTTCCATAGAACCAGCATACATATTGTTTTATAAATAAGGAGTATTCTTGGGGTATAGTTGTTTGCAAAGAAAGGGAGCTCCTTAAGATTTATGACCCAGCTCACAATAACCAGATGACCTGAATCAAGGGTGTATGTCAGGAACAGGATCCTGGAGGGGTCAATGACAGTGTCCATCTGTGGCCTCAAAGAGCCCGTTCCCAACTCTCCTGCCTTTTGACAGAAGGTCTGTCTGGTTATGGCTTTAGGAAGATAGATGACTTCTGTATAGTCACAGGAAGAGTCTGCGTGCCTGGAGCTGTGGGCTGGAAAGGAGGTGAGAGATGCTGGCCTCTCCAAGGCCTCGTCCACGTGCCCCATCTCCAGACAGGAGCAGCCAGGGCTCCGTTAGGCTGCAAACAATGGAAAACCTGAATAGCAGAGGCTTAAAAAACATGTGGTTTGCTTGTCTCACCTGAAAGAAGTCTGAAATTGGGAAGTCCAGGGCTGGGTCAGAGGTTCAGAGATGCTGGGGTTGAGGCCTAGATGGCTTTTTGGCCTTTTCCCCAGGAAAAAACAGAATCAATCAGAAGGTGGCTGATGTAGGTCAGGTGGGCTGGGGCTGGAGGGGATGGTAGGCTGTGAGTCTGGCGCTCCCTCTTGCTGGTGTGGGGATGGGTACCAGGAGGGCTTCTCTCCTCCACCTTGCTCTGTTGCTCTGTTGCTCTGTTGCCCAGGCACCCATTGCCAAGAAGCCAGACTGGAATTCCCAATGGGATGGGGCAGTCCCAAGGCACATGGAATCTTTGGTGGGACTTATACACCCTGTACTCCTGTGAGCTCCTCAGTCACTCTGGTCAAAAACTCTAATATTGTTCCTTTTAACACAGTCATCACCCAAAACCCTGTTAAACACCCAAATGCACCTGGGGCAACCCTTGACCTTATGGAGCCCACTTTCTTTGCAAACAACACAGATGTTGAGATGAAGCAGGAAGGAGTGGTTACATAGGAGGATCCAGAATCCCCAACCCCAGGGAGTTCGATATGGGAAAAATGCCTCTGAGTAGGGCGGAGGGATGCTCAGAGGGCTGCAGGGTCCTGGGAAGTGGCTGTGTCTCAAAGTGTGCTCCATATTCATACCCGTCTTTCCCCACTGCTTTTATTTGCTTCGCTTTTGAATCTGTGATTCACCTTCTTTGGTCTCACCTCTTCCTCGGGCCCTTTGGTTAAGGGCAGGCTGATTACTGCATATGGCTGTGCCCCAGCCCTCTGCTTTACCCAGCGATTAAGGAGAAGCCCACACCAATTCAACAAGGCTTGCATTTTAGGAGCAGACAAAAATCTTAGACCCAGAAGCCAGGTGTGCAGAAAATGCATGTTGGCTTCCCTTTAGCGTTATCTAATTTCCCAGGCTCAATTCTGTCTGGGTAAAGGAACATTATTCTTGGTTAGCTGAAGTCCCCTGCTTTTCCTGCAGATGTGTCTGATGCTGGGGGCTGGCATTGCTCCCCTTGGGGGCTGGGAGATGCTCTCCTTTCTGGTCTTTGGTTGTCAGAGCCTGCTGTTCACTGCTGTTGTCTCTTGTTCTGACTCCACCCCAGCTCTGCTTCAATCCTACTCTCTCCAGGCCACAGCCACCCACTGGGACCTCCCATGAAGCTCTTGGGAGCTCTCACCCATCCTGGAGGGAGCCCATGTAAATTTGGGCCTGGCTTGTTGATTCTGAATCACCAAATAGGCATTTGCGCAGCCTGCCTCTCCAAGGGAACTTCAGGGTTTTGCTGCCACTCTGGACTTTGTCTGAGGCTATCTTTCTGCACAAACTGCACAAAGTGGGGATGAAGCCCACTTCATGGGCACAGGCCCTTCCCAGGACACTGCAGCCTCTCCATACCCCTCCCCCCTACTCAGGAGGCCTCTGTGCTGCTGAGGCCAAAGATTTGCTTTGAAAGGCCAAATATTCTTCCTGAGCCCTGGTCTTAACCCGGGGCTGAAGCTTTGCTCTCAAAGGTAAAGGTGAAGACCTCCATTTTCCTCTGCTCTCTGCAAATTGCCTTTGGCTGAAGCAGGGAACAGGAAATGAATGACCAAGTTATGTGGCCTGGGAGAGGGAGAAGAGCCCAGTCAACAGCTCAAGAAATCCCGCCATGTCTACTTAAGGGGAAGAAGAGAGAAAGGAGGATAAAGAGAGATTTTTTTTCCTTTTAATATAATGCACATTAAATTTTAGGTTGTTTTTTTTTTTTTCTACATTTAGGTCCCTTATGTGGCAGAAAATTCCAAAATATATTAGTAAAAATGAACCCACCTTACATACTCTTGGGGTTTCGTTGAAATGTTGAGAAGTTAAGAAACTTTGTTAGATTATTTTACTTAATTTTTAAAAAATAGCCTATCAAGGAGTTTTCAAAACTTTTTAGGTGTATAAACACCCTATTTCGGAAACCACCGTATTTTACACTTTCACTTCCCACCTACACCAGCTCAGTGACAAGAAAGTGTCTGAAACAAGGTGCAAAATCAAGGTTCTCAGAAACACGCTTGGGACGTCTTGTTCCGCAGCTTGGCTGCTCTTTCCGCCCGGAGTGTCCTTAGCCTGTGCCCCTTTCGAACTCCGGCACTTTGTCTGCGGAGTAGCTCCAGCGCAGTCTCCCAGCGTTACCTGGCAGCCTCCTCCTTCCTGGAGCAGGAGAAGCGGCTCTGTCTCCTGTGTTCCATCATCGATTATGGCTGCTCTCACACTGGGTTAGGAAGGTTTGGTCACCTGAGTGCCTCCCTCCTCTGTGCTGTTGGACTCTATGGTTTACATACTCCTAGATGCTATTTTTTACATACTCCTAAGTTTTCAACCTGAGAAATCTGAAACCATCCCCTAACCTTACCTGGTTACCTGTTGAAAAATGTGTTATCCCAGAGGTAGATTCTTTGGGTCCTAGGCATCTGGACTTGCAAGAGTCTCATGTCAGTTTCATGTGCTTACAAAGGTGATAACAGAGAGGGACATAGCTGTGAGTTTTTCCCAACGGCCAGTGAGTGCTTCGTTCCCTGTATCATGTTTTATTTATTTATCTATCCCCAGGGCTAGTGCAGTTTGGACATAGGGTGCTATGGGTTGAATTACATACTTGTCAAATCCATATGTTGAAATCTTAACCCCTAGTACCTCAGAATGTGACATTATTTGGAGAGAGGGTATTTATAGAGGTAATTAGGGGAAAAGGAGGTCTTTAGGGTGGGTCCTAATTCAATATGACCGATGTCCTTATATAGAGGGAAAATCTGGACACAGAGCTGTATACATCCAGGGAGAACGTCATCTGGAGATGAAAGCAGAGATCAGAGTGATGCAGCTCCAAGACATGGAATGCTGAAGATGGTGAGCAACCCACCAGAAGCCAGGAGAGAGGTATAAAAGGTTTCTCCCTCACAGCCCTTAGAAGCCACCAACCCTGCTGATGCCTTGATCTCTGATCCTCAAGGATGTGGAGTAGCTGTGTGAGAGGCTGTCTGAGGGCTCTTCAAAAAGTTCATAGGAAATGCATATTATGAAAAAACTATGCTGGATTTCAAATTTTTTGCACCAAAATTGATTTGTACTACCTTTTTATAACATGTTCATGCACAATCTAGTTTGAGGCACTAAGAAGGATAATACATCAGTTTGAAAAGAGCCTCTATCAGAGCAATGTGAATTTCTGCTAAAATTGAAGTAAGAACAAACATCAAATTTATAGTGAAGCTTGAGGGGAAGTATAGTGAACTCATTGATGCTTTGTGAAAAGCTTATGGAGACAATACCCCCTTCCCCCAAATCAGCAGTTTACAAATAGATAACTTCTTTTAAGAAGGGAGAAGTTGAGGCTGGGCACAGTGGCTAATGCCTGTAATCCCAACACTTTGGGAGCCTGGGGCAGGTGAATCACTTGAGGTCGGGAATTCAAGACCAGCCTGGTTAACATGTGAAACCCCATCTCTACTAAAAATACAAAAAAAAAAAAAAAATAGCCAGGTGTGGTGACAGGCACCTGTAATCCCAGCTACTCGGGAGGCTGAGGCAGGAGAATCACTTGAACCCAGGAGGCAGAGGTTGCAGTGAGCCGAGATCATGCCACTGCACTGCAGCCTGGGTGACAGAGCAAGACTCTGTCTCAAAAAAAAAAAAAAAAAGGGAGAAGTTGATGTTGAAGATGAAGCCTGTGGTGGCAGACCATTCATGTCAATTTGCAAGGAAAAAATTAACCATGCCCTAATTGAAAAGACCTGATGATTAACAGACATTTCAGTTGGTTCAGTTTATGCAATTCTGACTGAAAAATTAAAGTTAAGTTTTCCACTCAATGGGTGTCAAAACCATTGCACCCAGATCAGCTGCAGACAAGAACAGATCTTTCAATGAAAATTAAACAAGTAGGATGAAGATCCTGAAGGATTTCTTCAAATAATTGTAATAGGAGACGAAACATAGCTTTACCAGTACAATCCTGAAGACAAAGCACAATCAAAGCAATGGATACCAAGAGGTGGACATTTTCCAGTCAAAGCAGAAGCAGACCAGTCAGGAGCACAGGTCACAGCAAGAGTTTTTTGGGATACTCCAGGCATTTTGCTGTTGACTGTCTGTAGAGCCAAAGAATGATAACATCTGTTTATTATGAGAGTGTTTTGAGAAAGTTAGCCAAAGCTTTAGCAGAAAAATGCCACTGAAGAATTCAGCAGAGAGTCCTTCTCCACCCTGACAATGCTTCTGCTCATTCCTCTCATTAAGTAAGGGCAATTTTGTGAATTTCAATAGAAAATCATTGGGTATCCAACTTGCAGTTCTGATTTTGCTTCTTCTGACTTCTTTTTGTTTCCTAATTAAAACAAAATAATTAAAAGGCATCCATTTTCTTCAGTTAATAATGTAAAAAGACTGTATTGATATGGTTAAATTCTCAGGACCCTCAATATTTTAAGAATGGACTAAATGGGTGGTATCATCACTTACAAAATTGTTTTGAACTTGATGGAGCTTATATTGAGTAATACAGTTTATAAAGTTGATATTTTTCATTTTTATCTTTTGATTCCATTTTCCATGAACTTCCTAAAGTCCTCTTGTATTTCTAGGAGGGTCTTGGATTAAAAAAAACAGGAGGAAGGAACAAGTGAGAAATTACTCTCATAGTTTATGGCGTGTCTTAACATCAAGTTACTTTTAAGTCTTTTATTCTTTTAGGAAGATATTTTCTCTTTCAGGGAAAATTAAGAAACATCAGGGCCTGAGTTATGTTGGAAAATCTCTCCCCTACTCTGACTGTCTGGCTTTATTCTGAGCTCCCAAGCTATAACAGTGGCACTTGGGTGGGATGAGAGTGGGGTGGGGCTCACATCTACATGGCTGAAGACCAAGGCAGAATCTCACACCCAAGTCTTGATTCTTTGTGCTGCTTAGCTGTTGTTCACACCACTTTTCCTGCTTGTGTCCAGATCTGAATGAAACTGATGGCTGTTGGAGAGGCCTTTGTCATCTGACTCTATCTGTTCCTCTGTCAAGTAATACCATCAATGATGCTATTCATAGAAACATTTCATGTTTGAGAGGTGTTAGGAGTTGAATTGTCTTCTAGAAGCTGTTGAATTCCTAACCCTTTATATCTGTGAATGTGACTTTATTTGGATATAGGTAGGGTCTTTGCAGATGATCAAATTAAGATGAGGTCAGTAGGGTGGGCCTTAATCCGTATTACTACTGGTCATTCTAAAAAGGGAAAATGCCGATACAGACAGATGCATTCAGGAGAATTCTGTGTGAAAATGAAGGTGGAGATCAGTGTGATGCATCTCCACACCAAGGAACACTAAAGGTCACCAGCAAACCACCAGAAGTGAGATGCGAGGCATTGAATAGGTTTTCCTCGCAGCTTCGGAAGGAACCAACCCTGTTGGCACTTTGTTCCTGGACTTCCAGCCTGCAGGTGGTTGTGTAAGCATTTCTGTGGTCGAAGCCACCTGGTTTGCAGTACTTTGTTAGGGCAGCCCTAGCAGACTAACACAAGAGGTCATTGAAAGTGTCATATCCAGAACAGTGTGCCTTTTGGGGGAGGAAAGTCCAGTTGGCCCTTTCACATACACGAACATCTCACATTTAAAGACACAATTCCAGGCTGTCTGTGGACACTCATAGGTGCCCGTGAAAGCCGCCTCAGCCATAAACTTCTTGGAGTCACATTGTGAAGTATTTATTTTTAATTACAGATTTTCTTTGATGATCCTCTTCTCTTCTCTTTTTGTTTCCTTGGCTTGTCACTCATTCGTTGTGGTAAATAGACTGCCTGCTGTTTACGATGAGAAGTAGCCTGTGCTTTGGTCTGGTCTCCTGACGCCCGGTTGCCAGCAGTCCTTGCTGTCTCTGGGTTGGAAGCCGTGATGCCTGCTCATGGGCTCGCTGTCTCCTCAGGCATGAAAGTGGAGGCATCCTTCTGGCTCTATTTTCAACTTACCTTGGTGAGGCCACAAGACCCTATTGACACATGAAGGGGAAGCACAGAGGGAAAGGGGGTTTTACTTTTCCTCTTCAACAGGGCTAGCCCTCGGGGACTGAGCAGAGAGAGTTGTGAATGCTGGGTTTTGAAACTGGCCCCAAACGATTGTCTCCTGGAATCAGAGAAGGAACAACCGACTGCACCTAAAAGAAACAGAGTGTTTACCAGTCTTGCTGGATGGCTTTAAAAACGCAAATACATACGCATTCTCATTAGCCCATAGCACTCAGCCATCTTCACCCCCATTAGAGAAAGCCAGTCTGCTGCCTGCCCCCCTCAAGTCACTGCTGAACTCATAGCATGTGTCGGGCTTCTGGAACCTCACAGATGTATTGCCGCAGACACCCTTTAGATGAGAGGTGTAGGTTAGGGGCACAGGCAAGGGAGCGGTCACTCCTAGACCTGAAGCATCTCTTCCATAGACGTCACAGTATATATCTTCCCAGCCAGCTCCTCCCCAGCCCTTCAGGGAAGGTGAACACAATTCCACACTAGAGTGGCTTTTAAAGAAAAATAACATGTATGAACTCTTCCCAGAATTCTATGAAATGAATGAGTTTGCATTACTTTTTCTAGCTTATGACCTGAGTCTTTTATTTTTTCAGATACATTTAGTTGTGTCTTTCAAAATCTATTTTTGCAGAACCTACCCTTTGTTAGCATTGGGCTGGAACCCCGGAAGGATAATTATGTGTGGGACTTGGTAGCTGCCCTTAGGTGTACAATCCCATAAAGGAGAGATGCCATATGCAGAATGATGAAATGCAGCATGAGGCTAAGTGTCCAGCATGGGTTATGGAGGGTAGATGAGAGAGAGGTTGGTGCCCAGAAGACAGCCGTCCTGCCTCGGGCCTATATGTCTGCAGAGGCCCACAGGAGTGGGGCAGTCCTGTTCAGGGAGGGCTGAGGGGTTCTCCGAATCTTATCAGGTAGGACAGGGAGACTTTAGAAAGGATTGGGCATTCAGTTTGTGGGTGTGTTATAAGCAAAGTCTGGAGCAGCTGTGAGTTGGATTTCACTGGGTTTCATGGAGCAGATGTCTCTTGCTGGGGAATGATGGGATGTAAGACTAGAGACAGACACAGTCAGAGGCGATGTCTGCCTTGAGGCAGACAAACAGATTTCAACTTGGTCTTCTGGGCCTAGGCAGTGAGAAGCCTGGAAGGTGTCTGAGCTTGGAGATGACCTCATAGAGCCAACTTTTTGGAAGATTGGTTGGGTGGCAGAGTACACTGTATGAAGGCACAGGAGAGAGAAAGGACAAATGCACAAAGGAAGGATCCAGAATTCCAGGGCAGGCTGGACATGTGGGCCTGAAGGAAGGGGAGGGGTGAAGGGAGACCTGACCATGGCTTCTGCCTGCTTGACCAAGCTTGGCATGTACATTAGAATATACAGAGTTTGAGGCCTGAGGACCCTTGTTCTTTTTCAATAAGTAATGGTATTTTAAAAACCATCTCTGGGTTTTATCATGAGCAGAGGCGAATTCCATGCACAGTGAGGACTGTTTTATTTATTTATACTTGTTGAATAGTAAACAGCATTGAAGAATGTTTTTAAAGAAACCCAAACTTCCTTTTCCATTTCTCAGTATTAACTTTCTTTTTAGCAACTAGGGACACAATTGAATGCTATTGTCTTAAACCTGCCTGACAGAGCAGAGGTACACGCTGGGGGGCGTGGGAACCTCTATTTGGCAAAGGGAACTTCTCCTGTTATTCCCATATGGAAAGAGACATAAATTTGGGGAGAGCTTGCTCCTTCCCTACATTTCTGTGATCCATGGTTAACAGTCTCCTCAAGTGAATTTCAAATTCTCTTTCCAATAAGCTGCAAAAGTACTTAAATCATTTATTTGTTCTGCTCCTGAAATGAGAGTTACTCACTAAAGTCCCAAAGTGTCCCGAACCATGAGGTGTCCACAGTGAAATGACATGTTTAAAAGTTGCCATAAATGCTGGTAACTGGACATGATAATAAATCTGAGTCATTTCACATGGCCAGTTGGGTCGGTAATAACAAGACATGCACTTAAAATATATATCTTTTTGCCTTTCGGGCTATAAAGATTAATAAATTGTGTAAATTTCCAAGATAAAGTGTGAGACATTCTGAATTTTATGTGAATGACTTGCATGGTGACAGTAACCATGTTCTGGCCCTTGGAACAGGAGGTAATTTACTGTTGATGGTTTCTTGGCATAATATATATACGTATTTGGGGGGTAATAATTTAAAATCATCCAGCACATGGTCTCTGATAAGGTGCATAACTCAGGTACTCAGAGTTGTTTTATAGGAAAAGAGATACAGGCACACCGTGCGACTGCAATCCCGGCACGTTCTCCTTCCTCAGGAATGACAAGGGATGGAAACCTGGCTCCCCACGGGGAATAATAAAGCATGCCTGTGAAAAATGAATCCTGGACCTGAGCTCAGGGCCAGAGTGCTCCAAAATTTGGGGCTTTCCCAGGACTTAGTCCAGATTTGCTTCTGTCCAGGCCAGTGACCGCTTGAAGCTGTAGAGGGCAGGGGAGGGAGGGTCCCCTTCCTGAAAGGGAAGTGCTGTGAGACGTGGCTGTCACTGATACCAGTGGGGACCTCTCTGCCCCCAGCCTCTAATCATGCTTGAAGGTTTACTCTCTGAGCATGGCTTGAGAAGACAAGGGAAAGCAATGGAGATTGGCCATCACAGCCAAATTCTGCCTGATATGGAGGCCTGAGTCCTTTTGTGCAGGTGGTGACTCACTGCCCTGTTGAATGGGAGGAAGGAACAGTGATCAGACCCAAACACTCTGGTTTTCTTCCCACCTGTTTCTCAGAAGTAATAAGTGCAGGGCTCATGCTCTGCCTGTGTGTGTGTGTGTGTGTGTGTGTGTGTGTCTCTGTGTGTCCTGTGTGTGTGTCTCTGTGTGTGTGTGTGCCTGTGCGTGTATGTCTCTTTGTGTGTCTATGTGTGTGCGTGTGTGCCTCTGTGTGTCTCTGTGTGTGTCTCTCTGTGTCTCTTTCTCTGTGTGTGTTGTCTCTGTGTGCACGTGCATACATGTATGTCCCTCTGTGTGCCTATGTGTGTGCATGTGTGCCTCTGTGTGTTTCTGTATGTGTGTGTTGCAGAGGAGCTGCTAATGTGTTCTCATGCTGGTTGTACTGCCCCGCCTTGGAACAACTTTATCCTTGGGTGCAGGGGCTGGGTGAGCCTGGAAGCTGCCAGATGCAGCACATGATGGAGGAGAAGGGCCTGGAAACTTTTGCAGTTGTCACTCAACAAACACTCATGCAGCTCCTCCTGTGTGCCAGGCCAGGTGCCAGGAGCTGGAGGGAATACAGAGAGTGAGCCTGCCGCTTTGGGATCTCATCTCCTGGAGGAGGAATAAGTTATCTACTTAGGTATTCAATTTTAACTGGTATTTAATTACAGCCATACAAGTGGTTCCATTATTAGTCAAGCTGAACTAAGTTTTGCTGCAATAACAAATTTTCCCAGAATCTCAGTAGCTTAACGGAGCAAAGGTTGGTTGCTTGTGAATGCTGTCTGTCCTACAAGGTGGTGCTCTGCTCTGTACAGTCACTCAGGATTCAAGGCTGACAGGCTACCTTCTTCTTTAGGCTGTGCATTCTGGAACATGGGGTTTCTTTAGCCTCTGTAGTGGGGAAGAGAGACAAGAGACTCACTCACAAGCTTCTCTATCATACTACCTTATGATGGAGGTGGTGTTATTAGCCTTTTTACATCTGAGGAAACTGAGGCACAGAGGAGTTAAGTAACATGTCCAAAGTTTCACAGCAAGTGAGTAGCAGAACCAGGATTGTGAGCTCCAGCCATCTGGCTCCAGAATCCCTGTTCTTGTCATGCTCTGCCATCTAATTAAACAGTTTCTTGGGAAGGGAATGAAGAGATGTCAGACAGGCCAGGAGCTCAGGGGACTAGAAAAAGAATTTATCAGAAGAAGGAAAGTATGTCGGGGAATGACAGGGAAGGATAAATGAGCAAGGCTAGAATCCCAGAAAAATAGAGAGACTTCATCTTGGCTGGCAGAATAGCTTTTGCAAATTCGGGATTAGAAGCCTGGTTTCATGAGTTTGGGACGAAAGCTACAGAAAATGCAGACACAGGGTGGATCTTACGGATTGTGAAGTCAGGGAGGTCTGAAATGAAATAGAAATGGCCCAAGGAAACCTTTCATATTCCTTTTTGTTTCCACATACATCTGGCCACAAAAGCTCTTTGGTGGTTTATCCCATCTCACTGCTTCCTTAGGGCTCTTTCAAACTCCTTGCATCTATGTAAGCATGGATAAGGAGCACAGCAGACATGGGACACACCTGTGTTGCTTTCTGGGCATGCTGTAGGATGCCACTTTTTGGCTGTGCACCTGGAGCAAGAGGCAGCAGGGCAGCAGCACCCAGCCCCCTGCAGTTGAAGCTAAAGACTGCAGCTGCAGCGCAGGAATTCCCCAGTAGGACAGGAAAGCAAACACAGGCAAGATAAGGTCAGAGACAGCCAACTGTTTACAGCGTCCAAGCTCTTCCTGGGTTTGGTCCACCCTATTAAAAGATAATAACCTCTTAAAACATTTCAAAGGATGTGTTGGCAGTGTTTAAGAGGAAACATAATTGTCACCACAGCCTGGGTAGTGTGCAATTGAGTAGGAGACCATCTTCAGGATAGGATGGGTGATGGGCAAGATTGTGCTGGGAGAGGAGTTCGTTTGAACTGCAGACTCCAGAAGCTACAGTGGCTGCCCAACCCATGAAAACACCCACAGATGCTGTAACTGCTGGGTATCTGTCATCTTTGGAATAAACCACTCATGCTGGGGTCTCACTTTCTAAGCCATTACCAGCTGCAAGGGTTGGCTTTGTGAAGGCAAAGGGAAGTTTACTTTATAACGATGTAGGCTATGTGGAGATATAGAATTATAGGAGCACAAAGTGCATTACTGACTCACTGTTCTGCTGCCCATAGAGCAGCTCATCCTGCTTTGTGAGGCATTGCTGTGAGTTGCCTTCAGGCAACTTGGGAGGAAGAGCTGCCTGAAACCCTTTCTTGAATCTTCTTTAAGGTTGCTGATCAGGACCCATCTACCATGGGAGGACTGTGGGGATTCCTCCATGACCTCAGTGCTGAGCTGATCTGGCTCATTAAGAGATGGTTCTTACGACCGGGTTCGGTGGCTCACGCCTGTAATCCCAGCACTTTGGGAGGCTGAGGTGGGCAGATCACCTAAGGCTGGGAGTTTGAGACCAGCCTGACCAACATGGAGAAACCCTGTCTCTACCAAAAAAATACAAAATTAGCTGGGCGTGGTGGCACATGCCTGTAATCCCAGCTACTCGGGAGGCTGAGGCAGGAGAATCACTTGAACCTGGGAAGTGGAGGCTGTGGTGAGCCGAGATTGCGCCATTGCACTCCAGCCTGGGCAACAAGAGCGAAACTCCATCTCAAAAAAAAAAAAAAAAAGAAAAAAAAAAAAAGAAAAAAAAAAGAAAGAAAGATGCTTCTTACAAAGAACTCTTTCTTTGCATCTCATGGATAATCTGAATTGTACATCTCACTGAACTACCTTCTTTGCCATGGCTGCTGGGGTGCCCAGAGCAAGTGACCATGGCATGCATGCTGTCACCTAAGTGGCTTTCTCTTATTTTTCTTTTCCTTCTCTGTTATTTATTCTGTTGTATTGTTTATATTTTGATAAACTCACTTAAATTCATTTTGGGACAAGATGGGATCTAAACCAAGAAGTAGATAAATATGTGTGCTTTAGAGGGTAGTTATTGCAGAGTCTATCCTGGGAAGAGTGGCTCCTTTGTTCAGGATGCCTTTCTGGGTATGAGGGGTGGGTTCAATTCCTTCCATCCCTTTCTAGAAGTATGTAGTCTTTGATGGATTCATTGAGTCACTGATTTGTTCTGTGGACACTTATTATGTGCCAGGCCCTGTGCTAGGCCTGAGGAAAGTGACGATGACCTCAGAGTTATGTTCCAGTGGTGGGAGATAGGCAAAGACTATGTAAGTGGGCAGAGACACTAATTACATGTAAGAACCACTGCCTTGAAGGGAGAATGAGGATGAGGGTGTGTCTTAGGTGGGCTGCCATAGCAAAATACCATCTACTGGGAGGCTAAAACAACAGACACTGATTTCACATGCTCTTGGTGGCTGGAGGTCAGAGATCAAGGTGTCAGCAAGTTTTATTCTGAAGCCTCTTCTTTTAGCTTGTAGGCAGCCACATCTCACTGTATGCTCACATGACCTCTTCTCAGTGTTTGAGCAGATAGAGAGAGAGAGAGTGCTTTGATATCTCTTCTTACAAGGATGTTAATCTTATTGGACCCCATCCTTATGACCTCATTTGACCTTAATTATCTCCACGAAGGCTTCATCTCCAAATCACATCACACTGAGGCTTGGGGCTTCAACATATGCATTTTGGGGTGGGCACAGACATTCAGTCATGACAGAGAGGGAGAAGATCTACTTCCTATGGGGTGACGCAGGAAGCCCACTCTGCAGAGGGCAACATGCATGCTGGAATGGAAAGGATAAGAATGAGGTGGCTGTGGGAGAGGAGGGTGGGGAGGCATGTGAGGGCGCGAGGTGGAGAGAACAGCCAGGGCAGAGGCCCTGAGGCTCCCTGAGCAGCTGGTGTGGTCGCAGCTTACTCAGGAGTGGAGAGTAGCACAGGGGAGGATGTGAGATGAGTGGGGCACGAGTGTGCAGAGCCTTGTAAACCAGCTATGGTGAGGGTTTTGGGTTTCCTACTACATCCAGTGCAACGTTACTGAAAGATTGTAAGCAGAGGGATGTCATGATCTGGCTTAGGCTTAAGGAGCTGTGTGGACAGTGGGCTGGAGGGATTGGGAATGGAGGCAGGAGACTGCTTGTCAGTTTTGGTAAGAGGCTGGGACCATGGTGATGGCCACGTTCTAGAAGAGAGAGTGGAATCTGTTGATGGAGGAAATGTGAGAGACAGGGAGAGGGAGCACTTAAGGGCAACTCCTAGGCTCTAGGCAGAACATTTAGGTGCATGGCGATGCTGTTTACTGAGCTGAGGGGATGCGGAAGGGAGCAGAGGCAACGTGTATGTAATGGGTAATTGCATGTGTCAATTTGACTGGGCTAAGGGATGCCCAGATAGCTGGTAAACATTGCTTTGGGGTGTGTCTGTGAAGGCATTTCCAGAAGAGACTAGCATGTGAATCAGTAGACTGAGTAAAGAAGATTACCCTCACCAGTGTGGGTGGGCATTATCCAACTGAGGGCCTGAATAGAACAAAACGGCAGAGACAGGGCAAATTCACTCTCCCTGCTTGATTGCACATCTTCTCCTGCCCTCGGACATTGGTGCTCCTGGTTCTCTGGCCTTTGGGCTCAGACAAGGTGATATGGTTTGGCTGTGTCCCCACCCAAATCTCATCTTGAATTATGGCTCCCAAGATCCCCATGTGTCATGGGAGGGACACAGTGGCAGGTAATTAAATCATGGGGGCTGGTTTTCCCATGCTGTTCTAGTGATAGTGAGTAAGTCCCACGAGATTTGATAGTTTTATAAAAGGCAGTTCCGCTGCACATGCTCTCTTGCCCGCCACTGTGTAAGACATGCCTTTCCTCCTCCTTTGCCTTCCTCCATGACTGTGAGGCCTCCTCAGCCATGTGGAGCTGTGAGTCCATTAAACCTCTTTTTCTTTATAAGTTACCCAGTCTCAGGTATTTCTTCATAGCAGTATGAAAATGGACTAACACAACAGGGCTTATACATCACCTCCCCTTTAGACTTGAACTGAGTTACATCAGTTCACTGTCTGCAAGCTGGAGGTTTTCCTGGGCCTCCAGCTTGCAGACAGAAGATTATGGAACTTCTCAGCCTGGGTAATTGGGTGAATGAAGTCCCATAATAAATCTCTTATATTTCTCTACATGTCCTGTTGTTTCTGTTTCTCTGGAGAACCCTGACTAATGTAGTATGTAAGGCACCCAGTCATAAGGGCAGGCTATCCTTCCATTAATGACCTCATTCCGGGTGTATCTGTAGCCTAGACCACTCTTCTAGGAAAATCCTATTCCCTTCTTGTCTCTTCCATGTGGAAATCTCACAGACATTGCAACCCAACCCATCCAAATCAGATGGGAACCAGGGGTTTAATGTTAACAGGTGATATCTGCTGCTGCCGGTCTGCCATTGTCCTAAAGCATTTTATACACATTTTCTTATCTTAGAAAGTCCCTGTAAGATAGGTGTGCTAACAAGAATCATTTTGCAGCTGAAGAAATGGAGGTGCTACTGGCTCAAGGAACCTGGATTCATTTAGAGAGTGTGCCCAGGATGAGACGTGTGGAGAGCCTGGCCTGAACCAACACTAACAGTCTCCTGGACAGGAGGTGAGTAAGGAAGAAGCGGCAGGGAAGGAGGGACACCGGGTGAAAGGAGGTGGGTGTAGGAGGAAGGAGATCACAACTGTGTTGAAAGTCCTAGCAGCCTGAGAAAGACGGGGGAAGAAGGCCCTGCAATGAACCCTGTGACCTTGGGAAGGACAAGTCCTCTTGCCCCTGGGGCCCACTGTCTGAGTCCCTAGGAAGTATATATACAAAGGGTTTCGGAATGCAGAGTTTGCAGATGTGGGCTGCAGCTGCACCCTGTGTGTGACTGGATGGAATTCACAGCTAGAAGTGGTTTTGTCCCTGGCTGCTGAATGTATCAGCTGTTGGTGCCGCTTTAGTTTTATTGAGTGGGAAGGATGTAGACCCTGAGTCTGGAGAATGGGACTGGGCTGGCCATGGAGCCTGGAGAAGAGAATGAGACCATGCAAAACCTTTATTCCTTGTTCTTGGTTTCTTGTTAAACAGGCCCAGTGCCACCAGATTAAGGAGGTGAGGGGGCGGTTGTAAGAAAGTAAGAGATCAGTCTGAAGATTATAAATATGGGCCAGTGCAACAAAGGGAAATTCTTGTGTCAATATTTTTCTGAGCCAGCACTTGGGAGATCCTGATTTCCTTAACAAAATGATAACAAACATTTTTTCATGTTAATAATGTAAGATGAACATTTCCTTCATGTTTAAGCCACTGAATGTGCAGTGAACAAAAGACATTTACATACAGGCATATTTGAGGATATGGAAGGTTCAATTCCACACCACTGCAATAAAGCAAATATCACCATAGAGCAATTTATACAATTTCTTTGGTTTTCCAGTGCATGTAAAAGTTATGTACATTATACTGTAGTCTATTAAGTGTGCAATAACCACTCCTTATCTGTCTAAGAAACATACATACCTTAATTAAAAGATACCTTATTGCTAAAAGATGCTAAAGGTCATCTGAGCCTTTAGTGAGTAATAATCTTTTTGCTTGAAGGAGAGTCCTGCCTCCGTGTTAATGGCTGCTGACTGACCACGGTGGCGGTTACTGAAGCTTGGGGTGGCTGTGGCAATTTCTTAAAATGAGACAACAATGAAGTTTGACACATCAGTTGACTTTTACTGTCAGGAAAGATTTATTTGTAGCATGCAATGCTGTTTGGGATAGCATTTTACCTACAGTAGAACTTCTCTCAAAAAAATGGAATCAAGCCTCTCAAACCCTGCTGCTGCTTTATCAACTAAATTTATGGAATATTCTAAATCCTTTTTTGTCATTTCAACGATGTTCACAGCATCTTCACCAGGAGGAAATTCCATCTTAAGAAACCACTTTCTTTGCTCACTCATAAGAGGCTACTCCTCGTCTGTTCAAGTTTTAATATGAGATTGCAGCAATTCAGTCACATCTTCAGGCTCCACTTCTCATTCTAGTTCTCTTGCTATTTCCAACACATCTGCAGTTACTACCTCCACCAAAGTCACAAACCCCGCAAAGCCACCTATGAAGGTTGGAATCGATTTCTTCCAATCTTATGTTAATGTTGATACTTTGACCTCCTCCCATGAATCAATGTTTTTAATGACATATAGCATGGTGAATCCTTTCCAGAAGGTTTTCAATTGACTTTGCCCACATCCATTAGAGGAATCACTATTTTTGGCGCTATAACCTTACAAAATGTATTTTTTAAATAATAAAACTGGGAAGTCAAAATTATGCCTTGATTCATGGGCTGCAGAATGGATGTTTTATTAGCAGGCATAAAAACAACATTCATCTCCTTGTACATCTCCCTCAGAGCTGATGGGTGACCAGGCATATTATCAGTGATGAGTGCTATTTTGAAAGGAATCTTTTCTTCTGAGCAACAGGTCTCAACAGTGGGCTTAAAATATTCCACAAACCATGCTGTAAATAGATGCTATCATCCAGGCTTTGTTATTCCATTTTTAGAACACAGCCAGAGTATGTAACTCATTTATTTATTTATTTAATTTATTTATTTTATTATACTTTAAGTTTTAGGGTACATGTGCACAATGTGCAGGTTAGTTACATATGTATACATGTGCCATGTTGGTGTGCTGCACCCATTAACTGATCATTTAACATTAGGTATATCTCCTAATGCTATCCCTCCCCCCTCCCCCCACCCCACAACAGGCCCCGGTGTGTGATGTTCCCCTTCCTGTGTCCATGTGTTCTCATTGTTCAATTCCCACCTATGAGTGAGAACATGCGGTGTTTGGTTTTTTGTCCTTGCGATAGTTTGCTGAGAATGATGGTTTCCAGCTTCATCCATGTCCCTACAAAGGACATGAACTCATCCTTTTTTATGGCTGCATAGTATTCCATGGTGTATATGTGCCACATTTTCTTAATCCCGTCTATTATTGTTGGACATTTGGGTTGGTTCCAAGTCTTTGCTATTGTGAACAGTGCCACAATAAACATACGTGTGCATGTATCTTTATAGCAGCATGATTTATAATCCTTTGGGTATATACCCAGTAATGGGATGGCTGGGTCAAATGGTATTTCTAGTTCTAGTTCCCTGAGGAATCACCACACTGACTTCCACAATGGTTGAACTAGTTTACAGTCCCACCAACAGTGTAAAAGTGTTCCTATTTCTCCACATCCTCTCCAGCACCTGTTGTTTCCTGACTTTTTAATGATTGCCATTCTAACTGGTGTGAGATGGTATCTCATTGTGGTTTTGATTTGCATTTCTCTGATGGCCAGTGATGATGAGCATTTTTTCGTGTGTCTTTTGGCTGCATAAATGTCTTCTTTTGAGAAGTGTCTGTTCATATCCTTCGCCCACTTTTTGATGGGGTTGTTTGTTTTTTTCTTGTAAATTTGTTTGAGTTCATTGTAGATTCTGGATATTAGCCCTTTGTCAGATGAGTAGATTGCAAAAATTTTCTCCCATTCTGTAGGTTGCCTGTTCACTCTGATGGTAGTTTCTTTTGCTGTGCAGAAGCTCTTTAGTTTAATTAGATCCCATTTGTCAATTTTGGCTTTTGTTGCCATTGCTTTTGGTGTTTTAGACATGAAGTCCTTTCCCATGCCTATGCCCTGAATGGTATTGCCTAGGTTTTCTTCTAGGGTTTTTATGGTTTCAGGTCTAACATTTAAGTCTTTAATCCATCTTGAATTGATTTTTGTATAAGGTGTAAGGAAGGGATCCAGTTTCAGCTTTCTACATATGGCTAGCCAGTTTTCCCAGCACCATTTATTAAATAGGGAATCGTTTCCCCATTTCTTGTTTTGTCAGGTTTGTCAAAGATCAGATGGTTGTAGATATGCAGCATTATTTCTGAGGGCTCTGTTCTGTTCCATTGGTCTATATCTCTGTTTTGGTACCAGTACCATGCTGTTTTGGTTACTGTAGCCTTGTAGTATAATGTGAAGTCAGGTAGCGTGATGCCTCCGGCTTTGTTCTTTTGGCTTAGGATTGACTTGGCAATGTGGGCTCTTTTTTGGTTCCATATGAACTTTAAAGTAGTTTTTTCCAATTCTGTGAAGAAAGTCATTGGCAGCTTGATGGGGATGGCATTGAATCTATAAATTACCTTGGGCAGTATGGCCATTTTCATGATATTGATTCTTCCTACCCATGAGCATGGAGTGTTCTTCCATTTGTTTGTATCCTCTTTTATTTCACTGAGCAGTGGTTTGTAGTTCTCCTTGAAGAGGTCCTTCATATCCCTTGTAAGTTGGATTCCTAGGTATTTTATTCTCTTTGAAGCAATTGTGAATGGGAGTTCACTCATGATTTGGCTCTCTGTTTGTATAAGAATGCTTGTGATTTTTGCACATTGATTTTGTATCCTGAGACTTTGCTGAAGTTGCCTATCAGCTTAAGGAGATTTTGGGCTGAGACGATGGGGTTTTCTAGATATACAATCATGTCATCTGCACACAGGGACAATTTGACTTCCACTTTTCCTAATTGAATACCCTTTATTTCCTTGTCCTGCCTGATTTCCCTGGCCAGAACTTCCAACACTATGTTGAATAGGAGTGGTGAGAGAGGGCATCCCTGTCTTGTGCCAGTTTTCAAAGGAAATGCTTCCAGTTTTTGCCCATTCAGTACGATATTGGCTGTGGGTTTGCCATAGATAGCTGTTATTATTTTGAGATACGTCCCATCAATACCTAATTTACTGAGAGTTTTTAGCATGAAGGGTTGTTGAATTTTGTCAAAGGCCTTTTCTGCATCTATTGAGATAATCATGTGGTTTTTGTCGTTGGTTCTGTTTATATGCTGGATTACATTTATTGATTTGTGTATGTTGAACCAGCCTTGCATCCCAGGGATGAAGCCCACTTGATCATGGTGGATAAGCTTTTTGATGTGCCGCTGGATTTAGTTTGTCAGTATTTTATTGAGGAATTTTGCATCGATGTTCATCAGGGATATTGGTCTAAAATTCTCTTTTTGTTGTGTCTCTGCCAGGCTTTGGTATGCTGGCCTCATAGAATGAGTTAGGGAGGATTCCCTCTTTTTCTGTTGATTGGAATAGTTTCAGAAGGAATGGTACCAGCTCCTCCTTGTACCTCTGGTAGAATTCGGCTGTGAATCCATCTGGTCCTGGACTTTTTTTGGTTGGTAAGCTATTATTGCCTCAATTTCAGAGCCTGTTATTGGTCTATTCAGAGATTCAACTTCTTCCTGGTTTAGTCTTGGGAGGGTGTATGTGTTGAGGAATTTATCCATTTCTTCCAGATTTTCTAGTTTATTTGCATAGAGGTGTACAGTGCAATCAAACTAGACCTCAGGATTAAGAAACTCACTCAAAACCGCTCAACTACACGGAAACGGAACAACCTGCTCCTGAATGACTACTGGGTACATAACGAAATGAAGGCAGAAGAAATAAAGATGTTCTTTGAAACCAATGAGACCAAAGACACAACATACCAGAATCTCTGGGACACATTCAAAGCAGTGTGTAGAGGGAAATTTATAGCACTAAATGCCCACAAGAGAAAGCAGGAAAGATCTAAAATTGACACCCTAACTTCACAATTAAAAGAACTAGAGAAGCAAGAGCAAACACATTCAAAAGCTAGCAGAAAGCAAGAAATAACTAAGATCAGAGCAGAACTGAAGTAAATAGAGACACAAAAATCCCTTCAAAAAATCAATGAATCCAGGAGCTGGTTTTTTGAAAAGATCAACAAAATTGATAGACTGCTAGCAAGGCTAATAAAGAAGAACAGAGAGAAGAATCAAATAGACACAATAAAAAATGATAAAGGGGATATCACCACCGATCCCACAGAAATACAAACTACCATCAGAGAATACAATAAACAGAGTATGTAATTCTTAAAAGCCCTAGGAGTTTTGGAATGAGCGTTGGCTTCAATTTAAAGTCACCAGGTGCATTCGCCCTAATAAAAGAGTCAGCTTGTCCTTTGGAAACAGGCATTGACTTCTCCTCTCCAGCTATGAAAGTCCTAGATGGCATCTTCTTCCAATAGAAGGCTGTTTTGCTTGCATTGAAAATCTGTTGTTTAGTGTGGTCACCTTCATCAATGATCTTAGCAAGATCTTCTGGATAACTTGCTGCAGCTTCTATGTCATCACTTGCTGCTTCACCTTTTTTTTAATTTTTTTTTTGACGTTTCACTCTTGTTGCCTAGGCTGGAGTGCAATGCTGTGATCTCAGCTCACTGCAACCTCTGCCTCCCAGGTTCAAGCAATTCTCCTGTCTCAGCCTTCTAAGTAGCTGGGATCATAGGCGTCCACCACTACTTCTGGCTAATTTTTGGTATTTTCAGTAGAGACGGGGTTTCACCATGCCTGGTGGCCAGGCTGGTTTCAAACTCCTGACCTCAGGTGATCTGCCCGCCTCGGCCTCCCAAAGCGCTGGAATTACAGGCATGAGCCACCACACCAGGCCCACCTTGCATTTTTATGTGATGGGGACAGCTTTTTTTCCATAAGCCTCATGAACCATCCTCTGCTAGCTTCAACCTTTTCTTCTGCAGCTTCTTCACCTCTTTCAGCCTTCATTGTATTGAAGAGAGTTAGTGTCTTGCTCTGGATTAGGATTTGGCTTAAGGCAGCATGGCTGGTTTGATCTTCTATCCAGACCACTTACGCTTTCTCCATATCAGCGATAAGCCTATTTCACTTTCCTGTTCATGTGTTCACTGGAGGAGCACTTTTAACTACTTTCAAGAACTTTTCCTTTGCATTCACAAGTTGGCTGTTTGGTGCAATAGGCCTAGCTTTCAGCCTGTCTTGGCTTTTGACATGCCTTCTACTAAGCTTGATCATTTTCAGCTTTTGATTTAAAGTGACAGATGTGTGACTCCTTTCACTTGAACACTTAGAGGCCATTGTAGGGTTATTATGGACCTAATTTTAATATTGTTGTGTCTCAAAGAACAGTGAGGCTTGAGAAGAGGGAGAGAGATGGGAGAACAGCTGGTCAGTGGAGCAGTCAGAACATACGAAACCTTTATCAATTAAATTTGCCATCTTATATGGGCATGGTACCCCAAACAGTTATAATAGTAACATCAAAGATCACCGATCATATGTCATATGTCACCATACAGACATAACGATGAAAAAGTTGAAAATATTGTGAGAATTACCAAAATTTAACAGAGACAGGAAGCGAGCACATGCTCTTGATACAATTGCTTGACACAGGGTTATCACAAACTTTCAATTTGTAAAAAATGCAATGTCTGGGAAGTGCGATAAAATGAGGTATGCCTTTACTGACTTTAATTTTAGTAAATGACTTCATAAGGAAAAGGAAAAAATGTCATTGTGAGGGCACTGTGTTTGTTATAGACTAGCTAGGTCATCAACTGGGTGGTTTTGATACTAGCAGAGTCCTCCATGTGCTAGGACACTGTTTGAAATTCTTGTTATAGCTTTAAAAGTCATGGTTTTATCAACTAACTCCCTATTAGTTACTGTAATTGAATTTTTATGTTAGCTTCCACTAGTAGCAAGTTTTTGAGTCAAGATGGCCCTTGGGTTTTATTGCCAACCCTGACAGCAGAATCCTAGACAGGGTCGCTTTGCTCTTAAAGCCTCTGATGTCCAGTTGCAAAGTGAGTATAATTGCTTCTCTCTCAGATCTGTGTTGAGGAGCTCAAGAAATAACGAATGTGGAAGCACTCAGATCAATTACTTTTTTTGTTTGTTTCTACCTTATCTAGTTTCCTAGGTCAAAAGTTTGCTTGGCTAATGGAAGAAAGGAGTCCCAACCTTTCCAAGTGGGACAGATTCCCTAGCTGTGCTCTGTATATTGAATCTGCTTCTTATCATTTGGCTGTGGTCTGTGTGAGTGCTGAAAAGGAGGAGATAATTTCACGCACTAGGGAAATGGAAAAGACTCCTGCTTGGCAGGCACCAGGGTGGCAAGAGAATCCAGGATGTGGCCACGCACAGCTTAAAGACTACATTTCCCAGCTGCCTTTGCAGGTGAATGCCATCAGTGAGACCTAATTGAGAGTATAGTCTGGGGAGTCTGGGAATGTTGCCTAAGAAAGGCTGATTTAGTTGGTGGTGCAACTCCCTTTTTACCTCCCCTCTTTCTCTCTTTCTGGAATGTGGATATGATGGCAGAACCACAGATGATCTTGAATGAGGAGGTCACTTGCTGAGGATGGTGCAACAGAAAGATGGAAGGAGCTCAATCCCTGATGAGCTTGTGGACCTACTGTATCAGTCCTGGATTACTCACTTTCTGTCTTTTATGGAGAGAATAAACCATCCTCTTTTTAAGTTGCTCTTCCCCCTTTGTTTGTGATCCCTCTTACCATAGACCAAACTTAATTCCTAATGAATAGATCTGCCAAATTGTTTATATCAGAGATGACAACAGGAACACATCTGTTTACATTTTCCTTTCTCCTGAAGCCCCACCTAGTCCCAGAGGGTGGTGTGTTTCTTCACTGCTATTTTGGGCAGAAGCTACCCGGCTGTGGTGGTTAAAGTCAGCACTGCTGTTAGCCCTTGTGGGGCCTTTGTGCAAATTGAAAAAAGGCATTCATATCCTAAGACACCTTCCTGTTCTTTGCCAGAAAAATGTCTCAATGCAAATTGACAATGTGTGGACAGGAATGGAACATGCCCTTGAGAAGCAGCCCCTGCACAGGATGCCACTGCTCAGCTTTGGGTCAATGTCCAGGCCAGTATCTGACCTCGAACTTCTCTCTAGGTCTTCCACCTTTACTTAGCACAGGCCTCAGAACAGTCCAGCCAGGGGTCTAGGAGAGAAAGTGGCTGAGACTGTGTGAGATGGGGATGGGGCAGAGGACGGATAGGGTAGAGGGTGGATTACAGTGAGTTTCTGGCTATTGACTGCTTTCACATGAGCAGCTCATTTCTGTGCCAACCATTTGACTAGTAAGTTGGCAGAAGCCCTGCCTGTTGGTCACATTCTGGCCCATGCTACAAGGCCACCTGGCAGGCTCAGGCTGCAGCACGGCAGGCTGTGTGCACACGGCTATCTCCCCTAGTCTGTCCCCAGAGCTGTCTGTGCAGTCCTGAGCTCCCATGTAAGCCAATGCTACTTTTGTGTGAAGAAGGTGGACGAAATCATCAGCAACTCTTGCTTATATAGAATGTGACCCAAGCAATGGAAAGAGAAAATCCAGGTCTTGGTTTTGTACTGGCTTGCGAGAAGTCCTTCTTTTCCTCTCTAGCAATTTCCCTACATCCATCCCTGCCTACCCACATTGGATTAAAGGGAAGAGAGAAAAATGCCCTAAGCCCCAGAGAGAAAGGTGGCAGAACCATGATATTGCTGCTCTTGACTTTGTAAGATGGCCAACATCAGCCCAGAGAAATCTGATCTGAAATAGAATGAGCTCACCTGACTTCGAAATTTACCACATTTGTCATGAGGCAGTCACTTAACCTAAAAAGTAAACAGGCTCTTACTCTGTCATAGTTTACATTTGTGTGTGTGTGTCCTTTTCTGTTTTCTTTCTTTCTTTCTCTTTCTTTCTTTCTTTTCTTTCTTTCTTCTTTCTTTCTTTTTAGTAGCTTTAACTTGTTCTGCAAACAAAGAATATGACAGAACAATGTACGTTCCTTTGAAATGGCACCATTAATCTTGATAGCAAGTTTCTAATTATGAAGGATAGAGAGCTTTGGCTGCTTCATGGAACTGTGTCCTGGTGACTTTTTTCAGTCCCTTTTTCTTGCTTTCCCTGTCTCCGGTAGCTTCCTTGAGAGCTGTGGTTTCTCAGTGTTAGATATTCAAAAGCACAGCAGCCTACAGGCCATGGCTAAATCTTCTTTACAACCAGATGCATATGAGATCTTAGCAGGAAGTAAGAAAAGTAAACGCATTATTAATAAACACACTTAAATGCATACAATAAAATGAATGCTGTTTCCTTCAAAGTAACCCTCCTTTGCAGATATAGTCTAACCAAGCCTCTATTGCCCTGCCCAGCATGGATCTGAAACTCTCCTCCGTAAATTCTCTAGAACTCTAGGACCGCCCCTTCTAAATGCCCAAAAGAATCCCAACTGACTGAGGGCAAAGATGCACCTTATTTCTGGCTCCCTTTCGCTTCACCACTTGACTTCAAATGACTTCAGGCTGATTCCAGAAAGCTAATACACCCTCAAAGGACAATGCACCTTCATTTAGCTCACTCAGGAGAGAGGCCACAGTCTTGAGGGGAGGCACTCTCCAAGGCACAGCTCAAAAATTGTTTCAAGCAATGGAATCTTCACGTGAATGGGCACATGGCCTCCCACAGCAAGGATGCTCGTTAATGGGGAAGAATCACTGAAAATCCGAATTCAGATGTGTTTCAGAAAGCAGCTTCAAAGTGTGTGACTGATCTTCCTAGTCCTGGGAAGAGCAGAATTGGCCCTTAGAACCGTTAAGAGTCAGATTGTGAAACAGAGAGTTCTTGTTCCCCATATGTTTCACTCTAAATGGAACATGAATCAGAGCTGGGAGAGGAGCTTCCAACTTCTGTCAATAATAAAAGCCTTCTTATGAGTCAAGTGCTTTGTAAATACTTTGATTGGTAGAGGAAAAAGGAATTGCATATTGAAAGAACTGTATTTCCATTAAAATGCATGTGTGTAAAGTAAAGAAGGGCAGGAAACATTGAGCCCAAGACTTTCTGAGTTTGAGTGAACCAACCTGCTGGAGTGGTTTCTGGCCATCACTTTGTGCTGCCATGTCTCAGCCTGTGCTAAGTCCAGAGGATCTGGGGTTCCGATATTTGCAAGAAAAAGCAAGGACAACAGGTTTGAAGTCAAGCAATGGGAGGGTCTCCCAGAGACCTGGAGCAGGGAGGATGAGTGCCTTAGCTGCTTCTGTCTATCCATCTTCCATCTGTCTGGCAATCAGGATATTTTCTGGGGCCCATTCAATGCTTCTCTGTTGGCTGGGGGCTCCCATCAGCTGCCAGGGGTTCCACCTGTTTTCAGTGGTCCATGTGCAGTACTCAGAGAAATGCCTCCTGAGGGAATGAGTCCAGCGGGTGAGCGCCTTTTAAGAAATGCGGTGGCTCACACCTGTAATCCAGCACTTTGGGAGGCCAAGGCAGGCAGATCACCAGAGGTCAGGAGTTTCAAACCAGCCTGGTCAACATGGTGAAACCCCATCTCTACTAAAAATACAAAAAATAGCTGGGTGTGGTGGTGGGCACCTGTAATCCCAGCTAATCAGGAGGCTGAGGTAGGAGAATCGCTTGAACCTGGGAGGCGGAGGCTGCAGTGACCCAAGATTGTGCCACTGCACTTCAGCCTGGGCGACAGAGCGAGACTCCATTTCAAAAAACAAGGAGTATGAAAATGCTTTCCAGCTCTTTGCAGTAGGGCCTGTCTCATGGGGTGCAGCCTGGAACTTGCGCAGGCCCCTACACAGAAGGACCTGTGCTTGGCCCAATGCTCTGCTCCTGCTGTCTTGTCATACTTAATACTTTTTTTAGCAAGAGGCCCTGAATGCCATTTGCATTAGGCAAATTCTATAGCTGATCCTGATGAGGCTCTTCTGTATGGGGACCTGCACAACTGCAGGACTGCACCCTATGACGCAGGCCCTATTGCAAATGGCTGGAAAGCGTTTTTGTATTTCTTAAAGGGTGTTCACTCCCTGGATTCAGTCGCCCCCAAAATAACGTCTTGGGTGTCTTATTTAGGTGGCACCTGCTTGGTCTGAAAGAGCTCATGTGACTTCAGGAAATACTGAATTTGTTCTGAGAAAGCCTCTTGCCCTAAAAAAAAGTGTATGGGGGGAGTGCTCCTAGTCTGTCATAGTTAAAGTTCAAAGGTTATTTACAGTGTGTTGCATCCACTGTGGTGACTCCTGGCAGATCCTGAACTTAAGCAGACGTGTGTTACAGATCTTAATGAGTGTGTTGATGCCGATGGGAGTTGCCCTGGATCACACCAAGTGGGTGATGGGTGGGTGAGAGGAGAGACATTCTTTTTGTTAACCCCTCATTTCCACGGTCAGTCTCAGATGGTCATTACAAACCTCTTCTAAATCTGGACCTCAACAAGCCCCCCTCACACCAGGGACAAAGTAAGGGTCATGCGATGGCCTCTGAGCTGACCTTCGAGTTCAGAGTGGCCGTGTGCTGGTGCTGTGATCATTAAACTGACTGCTTTGCAAGGTCAGCACTCAAGGCTATAGATTTATATCTCTCTTTTATTCTAAAACTAGACTATGCCACAACCAGGTGACTGTGGTGCCTCACTCAGGTGGTCTGTCTTCTGCAGTTGAAGGCAGGTCTTTTTCCTCCATCCATTCAGATTGAATCCAGGGGGTCCTCCCTGGAAGACCTGTGTTCCACAGAAGACTCCCCTGGAGCTTCTCCTCTCTGCACCTCAGCTTTCTTGTGGGTGCAGCAGGCCACCCAGGCCCAGTCCCTGCTCACGACAATGACTTCAGCTTTCCAGGGTCTTTCTCATGCATTCCCAACCATTAGACTCCCCAGTCCTCTCTCTATTTTTTCCCCTTATTTAGTAAATATTTATTGAAGATCCATTACTTGCACAAAAGACAGCAGGCCGCAGGGAAAGGGGTTTATAGTGGGAGATACGATGAAAAGATGATTAAGATTGCAAGTTCTCAAAAGTTTAGATGTTGAAGTATTATTTTCCAAAGTGAGTTACACAGGGTATTAATGGGTACCGCTCAAAGAAAGGGTTCTAGAGTGAATATGAAACATTGGCTTAAACAAAGTTAAACATTTTAAATTACTGCACAGCTTCTCAAAAGTTTTAATATGCTAATGTGTCATCTAACTTCCCAAAAGGAGAAACATAATATATTGGACTTCTTAAAAGTATTTATGACATTTTTTCTTGCATTGAACTAGTCCCAGATAGAAGACTTAGCCTTAAAGGGCAAAATAAAAAGATGAGTTCTTTTTCTTTTTAACTGACAAATAAAAATTGTATACATTTATGGCTTATAATATGATGTTTTGCAATATGTATACTTTGTAGGATGGCTAAACTGAGCTACTAACATGTGCATCACCTCCTATTTTTTTGTGTGGTGAGAACACTTAAAATCTACTCTCAGTGATTCTCAAAATACAATACATTATTAACTATAGTCAGCATGTTGTACAATAGATCTCTTGAATTTATTCCTCCTGTCTAACTGAACTTCTGTATCCTTTCACCAATATCTCCCCAACCTTCCCCATACCCCTGACTCCAGCGCCTGCTATCACCACTCTACGTTCTACTTCTGAGTTTGACTTTTTATAATAGATTCCACATATGAATGAGATCATGCAGTATTTGTCTTCCGTGCCTGGCTCATTTCACTTAGCATAATGTCTTCAAATGTCCTCAGGGTCTGCCCCTCTTTCTGCCTCTGTGGGGGCTCCAAGTGGGAATTCGTGGTTACTGTAATTGGCAGGGGGCGGAGATTTGGAGCTGGAACCTCTAGAGTCTGAGCTCTACCATGGAAAGGCCGTATAATGCTCAGCAAGTCATTTAACTCTTTGGTGTCTCTGTTTTCTCATTGATAAATGCAAAGATAATAGTGCACCTTCACTGAGCTTCACTGGGTTAGCCAGGTAAAAAGCCTTATGGGGCAATGCCTGGCTCTGGCAGGCTTGAATGCTGGCCGCTGGCTCTGGTTCTCCCATGTGGAAACAAAGCCTACGTCTCACACCCAGCAGCAGGAGCAGCGGGGTCTCGGCCCAGCCAGTGTGTCCTGAGTGGCACAGGGTCAGACATAACCAGGTCCATGAACATTTGTGTCTTTGTATAAGGTCAGACTTTTATTGATGCAATTTCAATCATAAAAGCCACTAGCTGCATGGAGTTCCCAAGGAGGTGATTTTCTTTAGTGCTACCTGTTTACTTGGTAGTTAAAGCCTCAGGCGCACTTTACAAATCAGTCAGTATTGCAAACAAGACATAGTAGTACACTTAATCAATATACAATTGCTATAGATTAAACCTTCTACATCAGTAAACATTCATAAAGTAATATTTAACATTAAGAGAAAGGGGGATAGGATAAACGGGTTAATGAACCAGTCCAAGAGGGTAACATGAACAAGGAGAATGTCCTGGTCTGATCTGGATGGACATCAACATTTTGTAAGAAAGAGACTATCGTGGCAGATGCTGGGTGCTGGTCATGAGTAACAGCAGGATGGGGTCTATGAAGACGGCCATCTGGAGCTGGTGAATTCTTCCTCTTTTTATAGCCCCCGAGTCCTCTGGTGAGGACTGATAAAGTGAACCTTATCTGATTGGGTATAGTCACTGTTGATTAGACAAACATCTGGCTCCTGTTGGCATGATGTCTTTTAAAAATGTAAGATGGAGTCTTTTTCTAAGATGGAGTCACTTAGGTCAAAGGTCCTGTGTCCACAGGGGCTGCCCACATTTCACCACAAGTTGCCATGAGACTGCCCAGGAGGACCCGAATGCCTGGAGTGCTCCAGCCATGCTCATGCCACGGCTTTTGTCCCTCTGCCTGTCTTTGGACACCTCTGGTGTGGAGTTGGAGATGAGGAGGAGAGGCTTGCATTCCTATCAGCAGTGTGGAATGAGCAGAGGTGCGGGTAGACTGAAGCTCTGTGTTTAACCTCTGTTTACAGAATATGGACGCTGAGAGAGAGTCTGGGGTACTTAAGGAAAGGCTTGATTGGATTGCAGAAAACAGTTTCTGAAACAGACTATTTCTGAAGACTCAAATTTTAATTCTTTTGAATTTATACAGCAACTCATCTCACAAATAATTATTAAATGATAATAACAATAATAATGATACTCTTCCTCCTCCTATTATCACCAAATAGCATTTACTGGGTGTTGGCAAAATGCTGGGCATTGGTCAGGAATGCTGGACTTGTATTTCCACTTGACCCTTCAAAAATCCTTGTGATCAATAAATTACTATGTTATATAATTAAAATATTAAAATTATTGGAAATTTTATTTAATAATAGCAATAATATATTAGTGTAAATACTTTTCTGAATAATGAAATATACAATAATATATTATGCACAAACACAAATGTGTTAAGTAAACACATCAGAGCTTGTTGCCAGCCATGATATAATGTGTATTATCATATGCTATACCGACATCCCCATTTGACATTGGAGGATATGAGCTCTGGGTTGCTAAGTGACATTTCCCAGGTTACAGCTCTCTGGAGGAGGCAGCTGGACTCCAGGACCCCGTGTTTCCTGAGACCTCCATAGCCTGCCTCCCGCTTTGCTGTGCTGCTTCTATGAGAAGATAAAGTAATTTAATAGCAGCTGTCGATATGCAGGGCCACCTCTCAAGTGCTTGAAAATAGTTCTCTTAAGCGGGAAATACTTTTTTTTTTTCCCAAAATAATTTATTATGTTTCAAAAGTATTTCCTCTAATTGCAGGGAATCCAAATCAAGCGCTTGCATTTCTTATAAACAAACACCTCTGTATACTTTCCCCTGACCATGGCTGACTTCAAAACCAGGCCGGCCTGCACCAGAGCCTCAGAGCCAGAGACCGCCCCAGGCAGAACCACAGACTATGCAGGGCACCTCTGTTCACCTCTGCACCCATCTCCCTGAAGTGCCGGGCTTGGCTTCCCGGCAACATCCTTCATTTCAACAGCTAAATACGCGGTCAACAATGGGTTGGTGAAAATGGGGGCGCCCAGGAGCCATTCCATGCCTTCAGATGGGGTCCGGGCTCACTGTGCAATGCATCATTTCACACAGGTTAAAAGGAAAAGCAGTTGCCAGTGCCTGTTGTTCATTTAAGGAGATTAAAATGATAGAAAAAGAGGATTTTGCATTTAGACAGTGAGCAGTGGAATTTAAAAAGCAGTGCCAGAAATCATTTAGTATGTGTTACATTCTATTCTTTTTTTTTTTTTTCCAGACAGAGTCTCACTCTGTCATCCAGGCTGGAGTGCAGTGGCATCATCTTGGCTCACTGCAACCTCTGCCTCCCTCAAGTTCAAGTGATTCTCCTGCCTAAGCCTCCCGAGTAGCTGGGATTACAGGCACCCGTCACCAAGCCCAGCTAATTTTTGTATTTTTACTAGAGACGAGGTTTCGCCGTTTGGCCAGGCTGGTCTTGAACTCCTGACCTCAGGTGATCCGCCTGCCTCGGCCTCCCAAAGTGCTGGGATTATAGGCGTGAGCCACTGTGCCTGGCCTTAGTATGTGTTACATTAAAAAAATCACTCCATAAAGATGTACAATTATTATGTATTAATAAAAAATGAAAATAAAAAGACCGTGTAAACTGCCACGTATTCCCACTGGAGAGCTGGTGAGTCTCTCCGTGGATCGTACCATTACCACAAGAGTCCTCTGGCCCACGCACACCCTGCTCTGCCCATCAGCAGTGCTCCCCCTCCTCTCCGCCATTGGCTTCTCATATCCTCCTGGGCTGATGTGCCCATGCTGTGTACTCAACACTGCCTCTGGCTGGTGCAAGCCTGGAAGGGAGGTAGACGGTATGGATGGCTAAGCAGGCGAGCTGGGCTGGCTGTGGCCTCGGCTGTCTATCACGCTGCTACCCAGCCTCGGATTCAGGTCGAACTTGCCTGCACTTTCTGAACACCTAGAAAGATGCAGCCCGGGCCCAGACAGTTCACTTCTCACTCAGCAAATGGGAAAAAAAAATGGAGAAGGCGCTGCGTCCTTTGAGGCTCCTGCCCTCCAGCCACCTTATCTACTGTGTCTCTCTGGGCTCAAATGGCGCTTTCCTCCAGGGCTCTCTTGGCGTCTCATCCCTCTACCTCCACAGGGTGTGGTACCTTCCTTTGTTCCTGTGGTTCCCACTGCACAGCTGGATCTCTGTTCTCACTGCCTGAAATTAACATTCCTGTTCCCGTTTCTCTTGCCTTCCTGACTTCCAGGAGGTGGTGGCAGTTACTCAGCTCTGCTTCCACACCCTCGCCATGTCTTCCTCAATAGACTCAACCCTTTGTCCTGCTAGTTGCTAGTACTCAGGTCACAGGCAGTGGAACTCGTCTTCGGCATTTAGTAAGAGATGGCCTTTCTGACTTTGTGCCCCAGCCACGGTGCAGTCTTCTGGATCTTTCCCAGCAGCGTCGACACCGTGAGTGCTGCCTGTGCACGCATTCGTTGCATTCTTGCTCCAGATGGCAGTCTGACCAGCACGACTCAACTCCCCTCCCCTCCTGTCCCTTTCTAGTAAAATTGCCTGTATGTTACCCCAACCTCTGCTGACTCACAGGTGACTGCTGTCCTGATTTTTAACCCCGCAGAATAATTTTGTCTGTTTTTGAGATTCACATAAATGGAATTGTATAGTACACACTATTTGGTGCCTAGTGGCTTGAATTTAGTACAGTGTTTTAGAAACACATCCCTGCTGTTTTGTCTGTCAGTAGTTTATTTGTTTGCTGGGTGATGTTCCATTGTATAATTATCCTATAATTTCTTTATTCATTCTCCTGTTGTTGTGCCCTTGTTTATTTCCAGTTTTTGGCTACTGTGGGAGACAGCATGTGTAGCAGTGGCGCTAGCTAGGCTTGGACATTAGTCTCTCTCCAGAACTTGGGACAGGCCATTAAGGACAGGACTGGTGAATGTGACCCAGAGCTTGCTGACCCTCAGCTGCCTGGGACAGCAGTGGCAGTCTGACCCTGGGGGAGTCAGAGGAGGGCCACGTGGTGACCGTTACACCCCAGGAGATACGGACTCAATGAGCAAACCCCTGTGGACAGGGGTCAAGGAATCTCCCTCCTAAGGAAATACAGGGTTTTGTGATTTTCTTTGGTTCAATGTCAAGAGAATCAAGTTGTGGGAAATGCTGGAACCCTCCTCAACTCAGTGCACTGAGTCCCTGAATGCTCACTAAAGGAGACAGGAAAGGTGGAGTGCAGGCCTGCACAGCAGCTACTGGGCTCTGGATCAGGGAGGGCATCGTACAATATCCAAGGAGAGAGCAACGGAAGGAAACACCAGTTAATTCATTTAAATCTCACAATAACATGTCATCTCTATTTCATAGATTTGAAAGCTGAGGTTCAGATATGTTAAATAATTTGTCCAGGGGTAGCAGCTAGTGTCAGAGCCGCTTCTTAATAACTGGCCACAGAACTAGATAATTCTCCAAAGATAAAATGCAAACTAAGTGACTAGTAGAAAACATTGATTATATATTAGTTTTATGCCAAATGCTATTCTTGCCAGGGTATTACAGTTAAAAAGACAGACAGAAATTCTTGCCTTGATGGTGCCCCAGGATGAGATGAATGATGAACAAAGTGAACACATAGAGTATTCTAGAAGGTGGTCTATGGAGAAAAATAAAACAGAGAAGAAACAGGGGTTGTGGTTTCAGGGGTATTTGCAAGAGTAAATATCTTGACCAGGAAAAGCCTATGAGAAAGTGGCATTTGAGGACAGACTTGAAAGAGATGAGAGCATGACCCTGGGGTGGGATTGAGCATTAAAGGTGAGGAAATGGCCGTGCAAAGGCCCTGTGACAGCAGTGTGCCAAGGCTGAGAAAATGCAGAGAGGGCAGGGTGACTTAAGTGACTGAGTGAGGGGGAGTCATAGGAGCTGGCGTCAGAGGGGGGTTTCTGGGGATGAGCTCAGGTGGACCTCACAGGCCATGGTGAGGAATGACTCTTTGCTGAGTAAGGTGGGAAACCATGGAGGGTTTGGAACAGGGGAGTCACATGCCCTGAGTTGCGTTTAACAGGATCGCTCTGGCTGCCCAGTTGACAACAGATAATTGTGGGACAGAAACATGAAGACCCTTAGGACATTATTGCAATAATTCAAGCAATAATTCAGATGGTGACTTTGACCAGAGTGGCTGTTCCACACGTGGTGAAAAGTGGTCACAATAAGGTTCAATTGGGAAAGTGGGACCCAAAGATTTGCTCACGGATAGGATGAGGGATGTGAAAGAATTGATTCTGACTCCAAGGATGGTGACATTGCTATTCACCGAGGTGGGGCAGGTGACAGGAAAGCAGCTTTGCAGGGAAGAACAGGAACTCATTTTTGGATACTTCACACTGGGAAATGCCAAGGAAAGCTGTTAGACAGCTGGATATCTGCATGTGGAGTTGAGGGAGGGGTCCAGCTCGGAAATATAAGCATGGGCGTCATCAGCGTACAGACTGTATTTCAAACATGAGAGTGGATGGGGTTATCTAGGGAGTGCCTCTGACATTCTGAGGTTGGGCTAGACCCAGGGGAGGAGACAGTAGAGGGGCATCCAGTGAGGGGAGAGGAAAGCAGGAAAGCAGCGGTGGACTGGAGGGGGTGTCTGGCTGTGTCACAGCAGCTCTTAGGTCAGGTGATCTGGGGGCTTGGCAATTTGGAGCTCATTTGAGGGAGATTTTGCAGCAAAAGCCTGAGTGGGTTGGGTTCAAGAGAATTGGGGACTGTGGACACAGACAACTGCAAAGGGTTGGGTGGAGAGGATGTAGGCCAAAAGAGGCTCTGTCCAGCCTGACCAACATGGAGAAACCCCATCTCTACTAAAAATACAAAATTAGCCGGGAGTGGATGTGCATGCATGTAATCCCAGCTACTCAGGTGGCTGAGGCAGGAGAATCTTTTGAACCCGGGGGTGCGGAGGTTGCAGTGAGCCGAGATTGTGCCATTGCACTCCAGCCTGGGCAACAAGAACGAAACTCCGTCTCAAAAAAAAAAAAAAAAAAAAAGGGAAAGAAAAGAGGCTTCTTCTAACTCTTTTTCATGGCAGATTTCAAACATATACAAACACAGGATGAAAGAACAAAATGCTTGTGTCTCCACCACCCACTTCAACAATGATCTTGACCAATCCTGCTCCATCTATACCATTCCTTCCCTTGCAAACCCCAAACATGTATATTAAATTAATTGATATTGCCCCACCTGCAAACCCCAAACATGTATATTAAATTAATTGATATTGCTCCACAGCTCACTGAGGCCCCACAGCTCACTGAGACCCTGTAAAAGTTTTTTGTTTTTTTTTTTTTTTGAGTTCTTCTCCCCTCTATGCTTCATTTGGGATAGGTGCCATGGGGCTGCCTTCTAGTTTGCTGATCTTTTCTTCTCCAGCATCTAATGTACCATTCATCTTATCCAGTGAACTTTCCATTTCTGATATTTTACTTTTCATTTCTAGAATTTCATTTGTTTGGTTTTTGTATCTTCCATTTCTTTGCTTGTCATGTTTATGCCTTCCTTTTTGGTGGCTCACGCCTGTAATCCCAGCACTTTGGGAGGCCGAAGCGGGTGAATCATCTGTGGTCAGGAGTTCGAGACCAGCCTGGCCAACATGGTGAAACCCCTTTTCTACCAAAAATACAAAAAATTAGCTGGGCGTGGTAGTGCATGCCTGTAATCCCAGCTACTTGGGAGGCTGAGGCAGGAGAATGACTTGAACCTGGTAGGCAGAGGTTGCAGTGAGCTGAGATCGTACCATTGCACTCTGGCTTGGACAACAAGAGCAAAGCTCCACCTCAAAAAAGAAAAAAAAAAAGGAAAAAGAAAATATTTGTAAGATTAAAAATAACTGTTTTAAGATTCTTATCAGATAGTTTCATCATCATTGTAATTTCTATTGACTATCTTTTTTAAAAATCCAGTTTATGGGTTATGGTTTTCTTGCTTCTTTGTATGCCTGGCAGTTTTTTATTAGATGCTCTATATAGCGCACTTTTCATTGTTGAGGGCTAGATTTTGTTGCATTTCCATAAAGAGTGTTGGATTTTCTTTTGGAACACACTTAAGTTGCTTGGGATCAGGTTGACCACTTCAAAGCTTACTTTTATGTTTTATGGCAGGCCCAGAGCAGCATTTAGTTTGGGACTAATTTAGCCCTACTGCAGCAATGTCCACAACTAGGGCATGGCATGGATGGAGTGGCCCATGCAGAGTAGGGAGGGGCAAGGCACGTTCAAGAGCTGAGAGGCCATTATAGGAAAGATCATCTTGTGACTATTAAAGTGGCCAAGGTACTAAATCTGTTTGTCCTTCCTTCCTTCCTTCCTTCCTTCGTCCTTCCTTCTTTCCTTCCCTCCCTCCTTCCCTCCTTCCTTTCTTCCCTCCTTCCCTCCTTCCTCCCTCCCTTCCTTCCCTCCCTCCCTCCTTCCCTCCTTCCTTCATTCCTTCCCTCCCTTCCTTTCTTTCCTCCCTCCTTCCCTCCCTCCATTCTTCCCTCCTTCCCTCCCTCCCTCCCTCTCTCCTTCCCTCCCTCCCTCCCTTCCTTCCTTCCTTCCCTCCTTCCTATCTCCTTCCCTCCCTCCTTCTTTCCTTCCTTCCTTTCTGAAAGTTGGGAAAATAAAGAACTAAATTCCGTGCATGATCCTAGATTGGATCCTGAATTGGGGGTGAGGTCCTATAAAAGATATTATTAGAACAATTTGATGAAATTTAAATTTGTACAGTATATTAAATAATAATACATAAATAATAAATTTCCTGAATTGGGCCAGGTGTGGTCGCTCATGCCTGTAATCTCAGCACTTTGGGAAGCTGAGGCAAGTGGATCACTTGAGGCCAGGAGTTTGAGACCAGGCTGGCCAACATGGTGAACCCCATCTCTACTAAAAATACAACAATTAGCCAGGCATGGTGGCGGGTGCCTGTAATCCCAGCTATTTGGGAGGCTGAGGCACTAAGAATTGCTTGAACCCAGGAGACAGAGGTTGCAGTGAGCAGAGATCATGCCACTGCACTCCAGCCTGAATGACAGAGTGAGACTCTGTCTCAAAAATAAAAAAAAAAACCATAAAAATGAATAAATTTTCCAAATTTGATCAGTGTATTGTGATTATATAAGCGAATTCCTTGTTCTTAGGAAGTACATATGCTGAAGTATTGAGATGCAAAGGGTCAATTTACTCTCAAATGGTTCAACGACATAAAGAGAGAAAAAAGAAAAAAGAGAAAGAGCACAAATGTGATAAAATGTGAACAAAGAATGAATCATTGTTGTACTATAATTCCCGGGATCCCAGGAATATGTACTCACTAGGACAGTCATTTGTCACGTTGCTTAGGAAGCAGGTTTGGAGTCTTGTGTGGGGAATTCGTCGACACCACCAGTCCCGAGTTTATGTGCAGTGGAAAATGGAGCAGTGTGGTCAGCAGTAGGAGAGCCAGCTTCCACCCTCCACCTGCTGTTCCACGTGGTGGGTCTGCACAGCCTGGCTTGTGAGCAAATCCATTTTTCCTTCTCTTTGGGACCAACATGGGCTTAGAGATGACATAGCCTTGGGCATCCAATAAATTCAAATTTGAGAATCTCAATGATTCAAAATTGCTGCTGTCAATTAATACATGATGAATTCATGTTGTTTTGAAAAAAGAATGATTGAGGTGACCAACAGAAGACTTCAATGTTTGTCCCCAAGTAGGTAGGCCACCCCAGATTTCCAACCCTGGGTGCATTGCATTGGCAATCTAAATCCCAAGGACTGTGAACTCTGTGGTCATTCTGCAGTTTCCTCTGAGAGTATTCATGGGTTGGGGAATCTCCTGCTGAAAAGGATATTGGGTAAAATTGCTTTATGTGAGCACTAGTAAACATTTAGCATATATTACCAAGAAAAGCAACACTGTAAGCCCAGGAAGCTTAGAGCTTCTCAAACAGAAGGGGATGATGGAGAAAAAAGGTGAAAAGTCTGGCAGGCAGGATGAAGGTCAATCAAAAAAGGGCAGCTGGCCACAGGGAAATATCATTTCACCCCTACTAGCGTGACTGAAAAAAATGTATGTTGGTGAGGATATAGAGACATTGCTGATGTCATTTTAAAATGGCATAGCTACTTTGGAAAACAGTCTAGCAATTCCTTGAAAAGTTAAATGTAGAGTTTCCATATGACCCAGCAATTCCACTCCTAGGTATATACTCAAGTGAAATAAAAACACATGCCCCCGCAAAAACAAAACTTGTACACGAATGTTCATTGCAGCATTTTTCATGATAGCCCAAAGTGGAAACAACCCAAGTGTCTACAAACTGATGAACGAATAAATAAAATGCGGCATATTCATACCAAGAACTATCCTTTGGCAAGACAAAGAAATGAAATACTGATAAATGGGACAATTGGGGTAAGCTTTGAAAATGTGCTGAGTGAAAAAAAGCCAGACACAAAAGGCCACATATTGTATGACTCTGTTTATCTGAAACATCCAGAACAGGCAAATCTGTAGAGACAGAAAGTAGATTAGTTGTGGCAGGGCTAGAAGGAGAGGGATTTAGGGAGTGATGACTTATGGGTGTGGTGTTTTCTTTTTGGGGTGGTGAAAATGTTCTGAAATTAGATAGTAGTGATGGTTGTACAACTCTGTGAATATACTGAAACTAACTGAATTGTACGTTCTAGAAGGATGAATTTTATGGCATATGCATGGCACCTAAAAAAACCAAAAGAGGGCAGCTGTGTATCCTGGGTTTTTCCTTGCTTCTTGTATGTGTGTTTCTGCAGTCCGGTTGAGCAGCTATGCCTCAACCCTCGGGTCTATCCTGGTCTTGAATGTTCCTGACTGTTGTCTTCAGTCTTGGAACCACACAGCACCACAGCACAGCCTGCAAGCCTTCCTGGGAAGATTTACACCTCTAGGCTGAGTCTCTGCTACTGCACTTTCTCCTCCCTCTCAAATGAAACCGCAGTGCCTCTCTGTGTGACCTTCTCAGTCATGCAATGACTTCTCTTTCATTTCCTATAAGCCTCTGAGCTCTGCCTTCTCCTTGCCAATTCCCCTTAGCTCCATCTTCCTTTGGCCGTCCGCCGTTGTGTAAATCTGTAGGGAAATGTCATTCAAAGACAAAACCCACTGCTTATTCTTCTTTCTTAATTGCTCCTTGGGAAATGTTTGCTTCTGTGTTCTTGGTGAAGGAAAGCTTAATTTTGTCTGCTTTTATATCACTAGTCTTTTCAGATTACACATTCCCAATCAATCACCTCTTGAATCAAGTAATTAGTTTTATTGTATCAGTCTATCCTTCAGAATTTCATTATGCAAATATAAACATGCATAAATACATTCATGTTTCCCCGCCTTTTACACAAAAGGAGGCACACTGTTTTGTGCCTTGCTTTCGTTTCACTTACTATGTCTGAGAACTTTTCACATCATTATATGGAGAGCTTCCCCTTTCTTTATCAGCTGTGTGAGAGTCCAGTGTCAAGATGGACTGTGTTTGGTTTCATCAGTCTCTGTGGAAGGATCCTGGCTGACCTGTGTCTTTTGCTTTTACAAACCTTGCTGGATGATCTCACAATCACCTTGTTGCATGCACACGTAGGCAGAGCTGTAGAATAGACTCCCAGTGGGGCAGTTGCTGGGCAAAGGGTAAATCTCTTTATAATTTTGGCACATATTGCCAGAGTGCCTTCTACAGGGTTCTATCAACTGCTGGGCACTCCTGTCAGCAGTAAGAGTGGCTGCTTCTCCCAGCCTTTCCAGTAAAATATGTTACCAACATTTGAAGCCAGGTGCAGTTGCTCATGCCTGTAATCCCAGCAACTTTGTTACTAACATTTGGGATTTCCGCAATGGTGTGTGCTAATAAATGTTTAACAACCACTTCTCCAAACAAAACGAAACAAAACAAAACCCAAAACCAAAAAAACAAGAAGCCCTAATTGTAGTATCTGCTGATTTCCATAGCATAAATACTTCTACCCAGGCCAATTGCAAGCTATCAACATGATGTCCCTGAACACGGAGTTGGGAAGAGATGGGCCGTAGCACCCACTGTATAGTATTTCTACCACACAGATGCAAGAGATGCAAGTAGCATGGATAATTGTGAAATGTGGTAAAATAATAAGGAATTTAAGAGTTTTTATTTCCTTTGTATTTGTATGATTTATTTAGTTATAAATTTATATAATTAAATCTTAGCAACAATCTGCATTTAACAACCTACTCATAAAACCAGCTCCTAAAAATCTGGTAATTATTCATGGTCAACTGTCAAGAGTCAGCTCCAGCACACTACTGCAATGCTGCCAATTTGAAAGGTAGCGAATGCCATCCCAATGTAGTTGTCATTTTTATTGTTATTGTTTTACTTGTTTAAGGACGATTTGCATTTCCTTTTCTGTGAAATATGTTTCTGTCCTTCGCACATTTATCTACTGAGTTTTATTCTCTTGTTGATTTCTAGGAGATCCTTATACATGAAGCTCCTTCTGCATATCTTTTGTCTGTGTTATAAACTGCAGTGTTTTTTCCCGGTTTGTTATTTATCTTTTGTGCTTGCCCATGGCATTTTTCTTTTTTTCTTTTTCTTTTTTTGCCATGAAGTTGTTGTTGTTATTGTTTCAAAATATAGTTGAATTATTTTTTTCATTTTTTCTGGTTTTTTTTTTTTTTTTTTTGACACGGAGTCTCATTCTGTCACCCAGACTGGAGTGCAGTGGCATGCTATCTCGGCTTACCACAACCTCCACCTCCCAGGTTCAAGCGATTCTCCTGCCTCAGCCTCCCGAGTAGCTGGGATTACAGGTGTGTGCCACCATGCCCAGCTTATTTTTTTTTTGTTTTGTATTTTTAGTAGAGATGGGGGTTTCACCATGTTGGCCAGGCTGGTCTCGAACTCCTGACCTCAAGTGATTTTCCTGCCTTGACCTCCCAAAGTGCTGGGATTACAGGTGTGAGCCACTGTGCCCAGCCCATTTTTTCTTTTATGGCGTCCAAATGTTGAATAACTAGGAACAACAGGATTAAATACATTTTTTTTCTAATCACAATCAAGTTTCACATACTTAAGCAAGTTTCTTATACTCTAAGCAGTCTGTACAATTCCTGTATCTCCTTGGAGTTCATTATATTCAATTTTGTCTTTTTCTTTTGAGTCAGATTATTATTTAAAAACCCTCTCTACTTAATGGTATCACAAATATGCATAATATGTTAGAGACAGGCCTGGCACACTTCAGCTAAAAAGAAGTATGCATAGAGGTTATAAAATATTTATCAAGATACCATCACTAGTTCAGTGGTGGCTAACCCCACCACTTTTCTGTGACTAGTATTATTTCCTACTGGGGAGTTTCTTCACTTGTGTTTGACTTCCCATGTGGGCATTGTCTTAGTAATTTTGTGTTGCTGTAACAGAATAGCACAGACTAGGTAATTTATAATGAATAGATATTTGTTTGACTTATGGTTCTGGAGGCTGGGAAGTCCAATATTGAGGTACTGCATCAGATAAGGGAAGCTCTCATATGGCAAGAAAGTTTACAGGGGAGAGAAAGAGAGGGCTGACCTTGCTTTTATAACAAATCCACTCTCAAGGTAAAGAATCCACTCCCTCAACAATGACATTAATCCATTCCCGATGGCAGAGCCCTCATGAAATAATAATTGCTTAAAGATCCTATTTCTCAACACAGTTGCACTGGGAAACAAGTTCCCAATGCATGAACTTTGGGGAACACATTCAAAGCATAGTAGGCATGTACTGGCTTAGTCCTGCATTGCTCTCTCCATCAGACTTCAAGGCCCAAAGCTCTAAGAATGATGCTGGAGTGTGGTTTGTGTTCAAGAAATATTAGTTGAGACACCACATTCAAAGGTATGAACCCCTCAGATAGACTTTCATCTGCATCTCCACCATCCCTGACAATGCCCATTAACATTTAGTCAGCAGCCACACATTTCCAGCATTACTTGAGAAGCTGTGCATGTGGTCTATGTGGTGTAGCCTCAGAATACGGTCATGCAGAAAGTTCTAACTCAGTGTATCTAAAAGCCACTTGACCACTTAGAGTGAGCTTTTATTTCTAGCATCTCATTTTTGGTTCTGACTTTAGAAATGTGAAAACCAGATCTCAGGTATGATATGTAATTTACCCAAAGTTACCTCATTGCTACTTTGGCTTTTAGTAGTGCGTCTGGCACATAGTAAGTCCTCAATAAAATGAAGAGCATTTGAGATGACATGATTTTCCCATTTCCCAGTCCAGGGCTCATGTCACTGTCCTATTACAGGTATGACCCAAGATGGTGGTGGCTGGATAGTTTCCTTCCAAGGTACTCTTTAAGGGGTAGACATGAAAGGCAGTGATCACTCATGCCAACACCCTATGCTTGTAACCTGATCTCCCCCTGGCTGGTAGGCCTTATTCTGTCAAGATTTACCCTTAGAAAAGCATATGATAAGTATAACAACTACAAAATATTGAGGGCATATTATATACCAGTTAATGTGCTATGTGTCCAATCCTCATCCAACCCTGTCTGGTGTTAATATTATTACTGTCATTTTATAGGGGTGCAGAGAGGTTATAGGACTAGTCCAAGACCAGACAGAGGCAACAGTAGAGCCAGGTGGAAATTCAGGTCTGTCATGGTCACAATGCTCTTTGTCCGTGGGGCATGGAGTTGCCCAATATATTATTGTTTTACAGTCTTTAGACACAGTGTCTTCGCTTGACAGGAGGCACGTTCCTTTATGTTGTAGGAAATGCACTGAACCTGAATAACTCTACAGGAGAGCTCTCATCCCCCCTTCCAGGTCGTCCCTGCTCTCAGCCTGCACCTCCCATTTTTTGATCAAGACAGCCTTGAAGTTCTTTATGTCTGTGGAAGGAAGGAGACGGAGCTTGTTTTTCACTTTTGCTGCCATGATTAATTATTTTTAGGAAAGCATTGTGTCTTTTGAGAGAGGATTGTAAGTGCTGGGAGAATAAATGGATCTTAGAGTGAGCCTTGTGTGCTCCAGACTTCCCCAGCTTGATAAACAGCTTCCTGACCAGTGGCTGCCAGTCCCTGGTCTCACTGGACGGACATTGGCTGGGGGCCAATGTCTGAGTTGAATGGCGAGGACTGGACAGTGCTTCTTCCCAGCCAGTGTGGCAATGAGCCCACTCTTAAGAAGGCGCCTTGGCTTGGGAAAACACATTGCACATTAGATGTTGGTATCCGCGGCAGGGACCTGAGGCTGGAGTCACTGCCAGGCACCTTCTGGGAGGCCTGGCTTTCCAGCAAGGCCTGCTTCACATTCTCAGGAGAACCAGACCCAGCATAGGAAATGCCCTATTGCCCAAGAGGAAACCCCATGTCGAGGAACTGATATAATTAGGATACTGATAAAAATTAGAATGAGAAGGGGAGGGCCTAAATGAAGGGTCATGGGGTGTACTTTTTAAAAAAAACAAACAAACAAACAAAAAAAACAAACCTTCCTGCCCTTCTCTGCATATGAATATACTACATGCTTATCCAAGAAAACTTTGAAAAGTAAATAAAAATTTCTTCCAATAATTTCACCCAGAAATTTAACTTCTACTATTTTTAAAGGAGTGTCTTTTGTATGCCAAACTTCTCCTATTTTTAAATAATATATCATGAAAATCATTTTATTTTGTAAATTGGACCTCAGGTGTATGAAACTGGGTTAATTGTGACCTATGATTCATAGTGCATGTATTAGTCCATTTTCATGCTGCTGATAAAGTCATACCTGAGACTGGGAAGAAAAAGAGGTTTAATTGGACTTACAGTTCCACATGGCTGGGAAGGCCTCAGAATCATGGGGGGAGGCAAAAGGCACTTCTTACATGGTGGCAGCAAAAGAAAATGAGGAAAAAGCAAAAGTGGAAGCCCCTGATAAACCCATCAGATCTCATGAGACTTATTAACTATCACGAGAATAGCATGGGAAAGACCGGCTCCCATGATTCAAATACCTCCCTGCTAGGTCCCTCCCTCAGCATGTGGGAATTCTAGAAGATACAATTCAAGTTGAGATTTGGGTGGGGACACAGCCAAACTGTATCATTCTGCCCCTGGCCCCTCCCAAATCTCATGTCCTCACATTTCAAAATGAATCATGCCTTCCCAACAGCTCCCCAAAGTCTTAACTCATTTCAGCATTAACCCAAAGGCCACAGATCAAAGTCTCATCTGAGACAAGGCAAGTCCCTTCTGCCTATAAGCCTGTAAAATCAAAAGCAAGCTAGTTACTTCCTAGATACAATGGGGGTACAGGTATCTATGAAATGGGAGAAATTGGCCAAAACAAAGGGGTTACAGGGCCCATGCAAGCCTGAAATCCAGTTGGGCAGTCAAATTCTAAAGCTCCAAAATGATCTTCTTTGACTCCAGGTCTCACATCCAGGTTATGCTGATGCAAGAGGTGGGTTCCCATGGTTTTGGGCAGCTCCGCCCTGTGATTTTGCAAGGTACAGCCTCCCTCCAGGCTACTTTCACAGGCTTCCATTGAGTATCTGCAGCTTTTCCAGGTGCATGGTGCCAGCTGTCAGTGGATCTACCATTCTGGGGTCTGGAGGACGGTGACCCTCTTCTCAGAGCTCCACTAGGCAGTGCTCCAGTAAAGACTCTGTGTGGGGGATCCAGTCCCACATTTCCCTTCTGCACTGCCCTAGCAGAGGTTCTCCATGAGCGCCCTGCCACTGCAGCAAACTTTTGCCTGAGGATGCAGGCATTTCCATACATCTTAAAGATCTAGGTGGAGGTTCCCAAACCTCAATTCTTGACTTCTGTGCACCCACAGGCTAAACACCACATGGAAACTGCCAAGGTTTGGGACTTCCACCCTCTGAAGTCACAGCCCGAGCTGTATCTTGGCCCCTTTCAGCCATGGCTGGAGTGGCTAGGACACAGTGCACCAAGTCCTTAGGCTGCACACAGCACAGGGACCCTGGGCCCAGCCCAAGAAACCACTTTTTCCTCCTGGGCCTCCAGGCCTGTGATGGCAAGAGGGGCTGCCATGAAGGTGTCTGACATGGCCTGGAGACATTTTCCCCAAGGTCTTGGGGATTAACATTAGGCTTCTTGCCGCTTATGCAAATTTCTGCAGGTGGCTTGAATTTCTCCCCAGAAAATGGATTTTTCTTTTCTATTGCACAGTCAGGCTGCAAATTTTCCAAACTTTTATGCTGTGCTTCGTTTATAAAGCTGAATGCCTTTAACAGCACCAAAGTCACCTGCTGAATGCTTTGCTGCTTAAAAATTTCTTCTGCCAGATACCCTAAATCATCTTTGTCAGGTTCAAAGTTCCACAAATCTCTAAGGCGGGGCAAAATGCCACCAGTTTCTTTGCTAAAACACAACAAGAATCACATTTACTCCAGTTCCCAAAAAGTTCCTCATCTCTACCTGAGACCACCTCAGTCTGGACCTTATTGTCCATATCACTATCAGCATTTTGGGCAAAGCCATTCAACAAGCTCTAGGAAGTTCCAAACTTTCCCACACATTCCTGTCTTCTTCTGAGCCCTCCAAACTATTCCAACCTCTGCCTGTTACCCAGTTCTAAAGTTGCTCCCACATTTTGGGGTGCCTTTTCAGCAATGCCCCACTCTACTGGTACCAATTTACTGTATTAGTCCATTTTCACACTGCTGATAAAGACATACCTGAGACTGGGAAGAAAAAAAGGTTTAATTGGACTTACAATTCCACATGGCTTGGGAGGCCTCAGAATCAAGGCAAAATGCACTTCTTACATGGCAGCGGCAAGAGAAAATGAGGAAGATACAAAAGCAGAAGCTCCTGAGAAACCTGTCAGATCTTGTGAGACTTACTATCATGAGAATAGCATGGGAAAGACCAGCCCCCATGATTCAATTACCTCCCCCTGGGGTCCCTCCCACAACAAGTGGGAATTCTGGGAGAGAGAATTCAAGTTGAGATTTGGGTGGGGACACAGCCAAACCATATCAGTGCACTCTCTTCATTTGACCATGCAATGCATGTTTTTAATAATAAACATCTCCATCCAATATGAAAACTCATACTGTAACTGTGATTTATAAAACCTTTGGCCCAATCTTTTTCCTACAACTACACTTCTCTTTATCTACCTTTTATTTTTACTTTTTGCTTACTTGAGCACATGCTATACATGCCCCTTTTTATGCCTCTCAGGAGGTTTACAGTGGTGGAATTTCATCACTCAGATAGCTTTCCACTCCACGCCCTTTGGATCCCAAAATGGACTGCCCATTTATCTCTTTCTGTGTGAAGGAAGTCAGGGTTAGGAGAGTCATCTGTATATGCCTCCTCGTTTATCTCTGATTCTTTAGCAAAACCACCCTGAAACCCAGGCAGATGTCAAGTCAGCTTGTCCTTGAGGGTCTCTGCTAAAGGAGAGGCCCCAGTGGCCACTGCAGCCTCCATAAATCGCTGTGGTCAAGCATGCATCTTGCCATCAGACCAACCACCACCTGATATGTGAAATTCACATTTGTTAATTATTTGCTAGAAATCTAAGAAGCTGTTATTTATTGTCATGTAGTTGAAAGCCTCTTTCCGCCTCCTCCAGAATTCACTTTTCTTTCTATCTTTCCTCTGATCATTGTTTTTATCCTTTGACTGTTCTTTTGTAGTTCTTTTCTTTATTCCTGAATTTATTTAAGTTGCAGATGAGGATTTTGGCTATGTCCACACCCCAGACTTCACCAGGAAGGTAACTTAGGGTTCCCCAAAATCCAACCAAACTGTTCTCAAATGCAGGAGGAGAACTCTCCCCTTCCCCTCTACCCCTGCCCCCTCATTTCTTCTCTTACAGGCTTTCCTAGCTCTTTTCCACCCCATGCCCCTTCTGTCTCTCCTTCCATCCTGGGGTTTGTGGTAGAGGATTACCCAGTTGCGGACGAGTCACATGCCTTATCCAGTGAAAATATTATTGTCTTATGGATGCCAAGAACAACTCCTGAATGTACAAACTATTTTTAATGCTCATTTGAGATTGATAGATATCAGGCAAATAATAAAAGTTTCACAAGATTGCTACAAATAAATAATTTTGAAAACAAAACCAACCAAAGCAAAAAACAAACAAACAAAAACAACCTTTTCTGTTGTGATTAGCATTTTTGCTAAACTCACCTTGGGCTTTTGACTTTCCAGACACTCTCATTGCAGGTGTTTGGAGCTCAGTTCTGTTCCTCCAGGCTTGTGCGCTCTCCTTGACCCCACCTTTTGTGCGTGTGCTGTCCTTGTCTGAAACCAGCCTGGAGCTCCCTATACAGATGTGTCAAGGTCAGGCCAGGTCAAGGCTGAGCACAGAGAAAGGAGCTGCTGTAGGAGGCCCACAAGGAATTTTGTTGGATCTGTGAGATCAGTGTATGCTCCAGCCCCTCTGACATATCCAGAGGAGACAGCCTTGAGTTTGGGCCCAGTACTGCCACTTATTAGCTGTGTAAACTTGAAAAAGTCAATTAATTTTGCATAAGTCTAGTGCAATAAGTAAGAGTCTTCAAGTCATCACCCTGTTGTGATGGATTACATGAGATCAAGCATGTAATGTGTCACCATGATAACTGGCAAAAATAAGTGCTTAGTAAATGCTGACCATTCTTCTTCTTAACAACATCATCATCATCATCATCATCATCATCATCATCAACAACAACAACACTAGGTGCAAGCGCCAGCCCCGGCCAAGGCCAATAGGCCCTGTGTAGGTTGCGGGCTACCTACTCAGTCTGGATGCTGGTTTCCTGTTCTCCTGCTCCTGTCTTTGCTCTTGACCTGTTTTCTTCTTGCCTCTGCAATGGACTCTGCTGCTGGTTGTGCCATCTCCTCAAGGTTGGACCCTTGGAAGCTGACGTATAGCTGGTACCTTCCAGCTACCTCTTCAACACCCCTGCATAGCTTGAACTCAGGTGACCTGCTCTGCTCCAGGCTCCGAGTCCCCCAGGTGCATTTTCCTGTCCTTGTTCCCACCATGGGCTCAGACAGTGAGTGCCTTGAAGGCAGGAATAGGGGGTCCTCAACCCATTCCCTGGCCCCTGACAAGCAGCTGGCTGCAGGATGTCCTCCACTACTTGTTAGTCAAATGCATGAAACATTGGATGAAGGCAAGAAGGTGAGATAGCCAGGTGTGGTGGCTCACTCGTGTAATCTCAACACTTTGTGAGGCTGAGGCAGGTGGATTGCTTGAGCCCAGGAGTTTGAGACCAGCCTCGGCAATGTGGCAAAACCCTGTCTCTACAAAAAAAATTTAAAAATTAGCCAGGCATAGTGGTGTATGCCTATAGTCCCAGCTACTTGGGAGGCTGAGGTTGGGGGATTGCTTGAGCCTGGGAAGCAGAGGTTACGGTGAGCTGAGATCTCACCACTGCTCTTCAGCCTGGGCGACAAAAAAGAGAATGTCTCAATAAATAAATAAATAAATAAATAAATTAGTTAATTAATTAATAAAGGAGAGATAGGAACCTTCTCCTTTGTTGAATCCAAGTTTAGTAGGATGTTCCTTTCTTTTCTCTCTCTTTCTTTTTCTCTCTTTCTCTCTCTCTCTTTCTTTCCTTTCTTTCTTTCTTTCTCCTTCCTTCCTTCCTTCCTTCCTTCCTTCCTTCCTTCCTTCCTTCCTTTTTTCTTTCTTTCTTGACAAGATCTCACCCTATCATCCAGGCTGGAGTACAGTGGTACAATCATAGCTCACTGCAGCCTTCAGCTCTTGAGCTTAAACTATCCTCCCACCTCAGCTTTCCAAGTACCTGGGACTCTAGGAGCAAGTCACCATGCCTGGTGGATGTTCTTTTCTATTGAAAGTCTAGAGTAATTCATGGCCAATACTTAATTTTAGCAGCTTTGTTCCTTTTGAATGAGCCCTCAAGCCAAAAACATATCCATCTTTTAACAGTTTCATTTATTTCCTTTGAAATCACTTCAACTGGATTCAATGCAATGCATTTGAACAGATGTTTACACAGTGTGTTGGGCATTGTTATGGGCACATGACTGAGAAGAGAATGGTCAAGTTTCCTGCCCTGGACAGAACTAAAATTTTACCAGGAAGAGAGATGCTGAGCACCTAACTAATAAATACACAGGGTAATTTCATTTTTATAAGAGTTTCCAAAGCAATTACCATCACCACCAAAGAATCAGGGTAGATTACTGGGTCTCGACAAGTGTGTGTGTGTGTGCGCACACGTGCGTGCGCATGCATGTGTGTGTCTTGGGGAAGAGATAAGGCCTGAATAAGGAGGGACAGCTGTCCTGTGGAGATCTGGAGAAGATTATTGTAGTAGAGGAATGGCAAGTTCAAAGGCCTGGAAGTGGTAGCAGAGTCATTGTGTTTCAGGGGCAGAAAGGAGGCCAGCGTGCCTGGGTGCCAAGGGAAGGAGGTGAGGGTGAGGAGGCGGACAGGCATCTCAAGTGCATGGAGAGCCACCTCTTCTTGGGTCCCCAGTCCAGGGCACTTTCTTTGGACCCAGGATGTAGGTACTGACAGCTGCCATGAATCTCGGAGTTGTCAGCATTCACAGCAAAGGGCATTTCCAGGCTAAAATCTAAGTAAACAAGCTCCAGAACAAAGAAGACACCATGTTCAAAGTGTGTGAAAATGGATAACAAATAGGAAACATTTAAAAACAAGCACTTTGTGGAAAACCATGTTTCCTTGATGTGCTTTCTGTCATGGTATCTGAAACACTGCAAAAGGACATTGAAGATCTGGGAGGGAGAGTTGACAATCTTCCCAAATAAGATACAGTTATCTTATTTCAAATAAAAAGGAAGCAAAATTGGCACAAGTTTGGGTCAAATTTCTCCTGTGCCAAGTCTAGAATCAGCAGGTAGTGCTGAAATCACTGTCCCACATCCCAGACATAGTGAGCATTCTTTTAAGGCTCCAGGCTCAAGTGTGTGCAAACAGAGGGAAATTACACTTGAAAAAAAAGATCAAGGACCGTGAATTAGATACAACCTTGGACAACAAAAGCAGCAACCATGAAAGGTTGTATGTACTTAAGAAGTCAAACACTTCTGGGAAAGCTGTGGGGAAGAGAGTTGGTATATGGGAAAAAAGTGGTAAACTCAAAACGCCTTTTGTATGGAGAAAGGCATTGGCCAGCTTTAAAGGCACTGCAGCATCAGTTGAGCAAGTGCTTTTAATAAATTACTCTCTTTTGTAGCTCTGTACTTTTTCTGATATGGATAAGCTATCTAGCATCCAAAGCAAACTCATCTTAAACCAAGAATTCAAACAAATGATAATAAAGATGGTAGAATGCCTATTCCACTCCATTTGAAAGAGATGCACAAAAGAAAATGGTAGGTGTTGCTTGCAGGAGTGTGATAATAGTGTTGCTCTTCTAAACTGGCAACTTTATGAGTAGATCATCAAAGCCAAGGTATTTTACTTTGTGGAATAAGAAACGATCACACCGAAAATAATAAAATTCAGCACTGCAGGTTTTCTGCCCTTTATAAATGTTTTTCAAAGACGGAACCGAAAGAATAGCTTGAGTGATAACAAGCTTTTCAGAAGGAGCTCTGGAAATTAATATGGGACAGGTGATGGAGCAAGACTTTCAGCATGAAGAAGCCCAGGAACTGGGAAAACACAAGTCTTTACTTCAGAATCACCCCATAGCCTCCAAGTAGTGTGTTGCAGGTTGAATCTAGCTGAAAATGGCATAAAACAGAATATTAATAGCTATATCCACATATCACTAAACTAGGTACATTCTTGATGTTCCTGAATATAAGGAGATTATAAATTAAAATGATTCTGAAAAACTACAGACATTGATGCAAGTTTCTAGTTTCAACCAGGATAATATCACATCTCACCTCAAACAAAAGGCATTTTCTTCAGAAAGGAACTAAAAAAAAATGGCCTTTATTCTATACTTGCTTATGGTTCTGGTTTAAAAACAAAAACAGGTTCCAGAAGACTACTTATTCAAAGACCCTGCCCCACATTCCTCTTGAGGATCCCAGTGAATGTGGCACTGATAATATGAATGGTTTACCTTCCGTGAGATTGCATTGAGGGGGGAAATATTCTTAGAAATAAAATTTTTAAAAAGAAAATATGATGTAAATTGACCAAGGGGTTTAAAAAATCTGTCAATCTCATATCCTATACCTAGCAAAAATATCCTTCAGAAATGAATGGAAAATTAAGACATTCTCAGATAGAAGAAAAATAAGAAATTTGTCACCAGCATTAAAGAATGACTAAAGGGATGTCTCTAAACAGAAAGTGAATAATAACAAAGGGAGGCTGGAACTTCAGGAAGGAAACAAAACAATGCAATGGTTAAAAATTCTCCTCAAGTGTTTAAAAAATTGTGTTGAAGCAAAAAAATATAACATCATCTGGTGAGATGTTCAGTGTCTGTAGTGGAAATATTTATTTAACATATTTGTATTTTAAGGGGGAGGGTAAACAGACCTAAATAAAAGTCAGATTTCTATACTTCACTTGAAGAGGTAAAATGCTGATACAGTTAGCTATGACATATTATGTATATATATTGTAATATCTAGGGAAATTAGTAAAAAACTATATGATGAAGAGATATATTAAAAATGTACTATAGATATGAATATATGTGTGGGTTAGTATACATACATAGTTTTCCTTACTCTGTCACCTGAGAGAACAAAGAAGCAATGACAACCCTCTAGCAATTAGCACACCGGACACACAGATCTTGGTTTCTAACACCATTCACCAATAAAACAAATCAGGGCTCCTTGGAGAAATGGCTGATTCCAGGCCTTGGGGGAAAAATATATGAGATGAACCTGGAGCATTTTGTAGCACCAGAATGTAAGGAAATGTGTGTGTGTGTGTGTGTGTGTGTGTGTGTGTGTGTGTGAAGAGACACAGGAGCCAACCAAAAGAGCTCTCAATGGCCAAACTTGGAATAATTGGAGCAAGAAAATAATAAAGTAGTAATGTATTATCACCCAAAATAAATATCCATGAGTCCATAGTGATATAAGTAAATACTTGAATAAATAAATGGGGGGAAAAAAGACAACTCTCTCTTATGAAGAACTGGAAATAGTTAATACAGATACTACAACCTGAAGGAGGAGAAGTGTAAGTTCCTGGTCCTTAGGTATGGGCCTACATAGTGATTTTCTTCCAAAGAGTGTAGAATAGATAGGGGGTGGGGGAAAGTAGATTTACACTGGAGACACCTGCCAAGCACTACTTCAGCCAGGTGATCATGGTCAACACCTGCTGTGATAAATCGTGGTGTGAGTATGTACCCTGGATATGATGTGATGAAAATGACACTTCACTGCTTTACCCATTACCCTTGTCGAATCATGAAAAAAGCCTCAGGTGAATTTCAATAAGGGGGTATCATAGAATACATTGAATATAGGATAATACCTAACCAGGACTCTTCAAAATTGTCAAGGTCCTAAAAATCAGGAAAAGTTTGAGAAACTGTCACAACCAAGAGGAGCCTGAGGAGATGTGATGACTAAACACAGTAAGTATCCTGGATGGGACCCTGGACCATAGGAAGATGTTAGGTAAAACTAAGGAAATCTAAATAAGATATAGACTTTGGTTAATAATAATGTATCAATATTGGCTCATTAATTGAAACAGTCGTGCTAATTAATATAAGATGTTAATAAGATGGGACACTGAGTGAGGATGTATATGGGAACTTTCTGTTCTACCATCTCATTTTTTTTAAACTTATAAAAAATAAAGTCTATTAAAACATTATAGCACTTTGGGAGGCTGAGGTGGGTGGATCATCTGAGGTCAAGAGTTTGAGATCAGCCTAGCCAACATGGCGAAATGCTGTCTCTACTAAAAAAACAAAAATTAGCTGGGCATGGTGGCAAGTGCCTATAATCACAGCTACTCGGGAGGCTGAGGCAGGAGAATCACTTGAATTTGGCGGGATGGAGGTTGCAGTGAGGTGAGATCATGCCACTTCACTCCGGCATGGGGGAAAGAGCGAAACTCCGTTAAAAAAAAATCATGAGTTTAAACATAAAACATAAAAATATATAATGTTTAGAAAGAATTCACAGGAGAAAATCTTTGGGACCTAAGGCTAGACAGAATTCTTAGACATGGCACCAGCAGCACTATCCATAAAGAGAGAAGAAAAAGTCAATATACTATACTTCGTTGTAATTAAAAACTTTTGTGGTGTAAAAGACTCGGTGAAGAGGATGAAAAGACAAACTGCAGACTGGGAGAAATTATTTTCAAATCCATATCTTTTTTTTGTTTTTTTGAGATGGAGTCTTGCTCTGTTGCCAGGCTGGAGTGCATTGGCGCGATCTCAGCTCACTGCAACCTCCAGCTCCCGGGTTCAAGCGATTCTCCTGCCTTAGCCTCCAGAGTAGCTGGGACTCCAGGCCCAGCTAATTTTTGTATTTTTAGTAGAGACAGGGTTTTACCATGTTGGCCAGGATGGTCTCGATCTCTTGACCTCGTGATCCACCTGCCTCGGCCTCCCAAAGTACTGGGATTCCAGGCGTAAGCCACCGTGCCCGGCCTCAAATCCATGTCTTACAAAGACCTTATATCTACAATACACAAAAATGTATCAAATTCAACAGTAAAAAGACAAGAAGAAAAATGAAGAATCCCATCAGAAAATGAGGGGAAAATATGCCCATGAATTTCACCAAAAAGACTATACAGATGGTAAAGAAGTGCAGGAAAGGATGTTCGATATCACTAGCCTTTAGGGAAATGCACATTAAAACCACCGTGAGATATTACTACACACCTATCAGAGTTGCTAAAATTGAAAACAAATTATAACACAAAATGCTGGCAAGTATGTGGAGAAACTGGATCACACCTACATTGCTGGGTAGAACAAAAAATATTATAGTCATTCAGATAACAGTTTGGCAGTTTCTTTAAAAACTAAATATGAAATTGCTGTTTGACCTGGAAATTGCATTCCTGTGCATTTATTGCGGAGAAATGAAAATGTATGTTCACACAAAAACCTGTACAAGAATGTTTATAGCAGCTCTATTCATAATAGCTAAAAACTGAAAAGATGCAAGATGTCCTTTAGTGGGTTAAACCATCCACATCATGGAATACTACTCAGCAATAAAAAGGAACCAACTATTGATACACACAAAACCCTGGTTAATCTTGAGAATTACATTAAGTGAAAAAAAGCCAGTCCTCAAAAGTTACATACTATGTTACTCTATTTATACAACATTTTAAAAAGGACAAAGTTACAGGAATGAAGAACAGATTAGTGGTTGGTGGGACAGCAGTGAAGTGGGGTGGTTGCAAAAGGGCCACATGAGGGATGCTTGTGGGGATGGAATTGTTTCATAGCTTGACTTTCTTTTTGTTTGTTTGTTTGTTTTTTTTAGACGGACGGAGTCTTGCTCTGTCACCCAGGCTGGAGTGCAGTAGTGCAATCTCAGCTCACTGCAACCTCCACCTCCCAGGTTCAAGTGATTCTCCTGCCTTAGGCCTCCCGAGTAGCTGGGATTACAGGTGCCACTACCACGCCTGGCTAATTTGTTGTATTTTTAGTAGAGACGGAGTTTTACCATGTTGGCCAGGCTGGTCTCAAACTCCTGACCTCCGTTGATCCACCTGCCTCAGCCTCCCAAAGTGCAAGGATTACAGGCCTGAGCCACTGCACCTGGCCAATAGCTTGTCTTTCAATAATAGTGTTCTTGCTGTGATATCATACTACAGTTTTGTAAGATATTACCAGTAGGGGAAATTTGGTTAAGAGCATGTGATGTTTCTATTATTTCTTACAACTGCTTATGAATCTACAGTTACCTCAAATTAAGTGTAATTTAAAAAATACTGGAAAACAACAACCCCCTTACCCCATGCAGATATTTTCATCTATTTTGGTTGTATTTATTTGGTATTGACTTCCACAATGTATATAGTATGTTTTGATTGCTAATCTATGATTTATTAATTGAAGACGATTTTAGATAGATCTGTATCTTTATGGTAGAGTTTATTTATTGTAGCTGCATTTTAATTTAAAACTTAATTACTGTTGCTTTGTTTCCTTCTGGTTTCTGCATGATTTCCACTGCGTCTCTTGTGTTCTGTTTGTTTGTTTTGGAGTTTCTCACATTGAGAGATTTTTCTCATTGTTGGGTAACCATGACTCTATCTTCCTGTTTAAGAATTAGGGGCTGGGCACCATCGCTCAGGCCTGTAATCCCAGCACTTTGGGAGGCTGAGGCAGGCAGATCATCTGAGGTCAGGAGTTTGCGCCAGCCTGGAGGGTTGGAGAAACTGGCTGTTGCATTAGTCCGTTCTCACACTGCTATAAAGAATTAACTGAGACTGGGTAATTTATGCAGAAAAGAGGTTTAATTGACTCAGAGTTCTGGAGGCTGTACAGGAAGCATGGCTGGTAGGCCTCAGGAAGCTTACACTCATGGCAGAAGGGCAAAGGGAAAGCAAGCACATCTTCACGTGGTGGCAGGAGACAGTGAAAGAAGAAGCACTACACACTTTTAAACAACCAGATCTCGTGAGGACTCACTCACTATCATGAGAACAGCAAGGGAGAATTCTGCCCCCATGATCCAGTCACCTCCCACCAGGTCCCTCCCTCAGTGTTGGGGATTGCAATTCAACATGAGATTTGGGTGGGGACACACAGCCAAACCATAGCAGCTGTTACCTCATGCTCCTAATTTTGTGGAAGATCAGATAACAACTTAGTTTCAGTTTGGTGGAATTGTAGCATAGATAACTCTGTTTTGATTTTTAGTCTGGTTGTTGGGGCGTAGTGAGGGGGCTTAGTGGGGGCCCTGTGTGTTTTATCTGGTGACCCTCCAGTTTCTCAGCGCCATGCATTTGCTTGTCCTGGCCTCTGCAGTCACCTTTGCTGGCTGTGGCATTGTGAGGGTGTGAAGGCTGCAGATTCTTAGAGGGGGCCTATTCCAGGCTCTCCTGTGTTCATGACTGTCACATCCCATCTTGGGCGAGGCCAGGCTAGAGTCCACAGGCTCCACTCAGGCTCTCTTTCCCAGACCCCGACACCTCTGTCAGCCTCGTTGTAGGTCCTCTTTTGATTGCTATTGCCTTGGACCTGGACAGTTTATAAACCAAGCTTGCCAAGAGGCAAGAGTGAAGAGGTCTGTTAAATAGGGAAAGAGCTTGGAGTCTCCTGGGCCATGTGCTCAGTACACAAGTTCTTACAGGTGGGTAGTCCTGTTTGGGATAGTTCAGACACACCAGAGTAGGGAGTGAGGGTCCCATGCTGGCCACCTTTCTTCTTCACCTCCCTCTTCTCATGCCTCCCTGCCACCACCCAACATTTTCAGCCTTGAGAAATTCCAAGTAAGCCCCTTGCTCAGGGCTGGGAATCCAGTTGGCAGTTCGGGAGGCGGTGGGGTCAGAGTTACCGCTTCTTTCCGGGCCTTTCCAGAGGTTCTGCTGCTCCCCCAATACGCCTTCCATTGTGCTCCAGTGCGTCCCTCCAGCACATTCCCACAGTTAGATTCTTCTGGGGACTGTTGTAGGCACATCCCTGAAATTCCCGAGGGATCTCCCCCTGGCTAGTGTACTTCCTTTTCTCAAGGTATGTGGGAACAGGAGCTGTCTGCCGGGATTAGCAGCCCACATGATTTCCCAGTCTCAGGACCTGTTTCCTGTTGGGAGCCCCTGAGCTCTGAGACATGTGGTTGCCAAGTGCTTGCAGCGCTGGGTGTGGTGGAGCCCCAGGCTGACTCTCCTAGGTGGCAGACTCTTGGGGGCGAGCTCTCCCCAGGGCGGGGACAGGCTGGGGGTGGCGGGCTCTTGGGGGTGGGCAGGATCTCCTTGGGTGAGGGGTGTCTCTGGGGGTTTGGCTCTGGGGAAGGGGTTCTGAGGAGGGGGCAGATTCTCCTGGGGAGGTGGGCTCTGGGGGTGGGGAGCAGGTTTTCCTGGGTGGGCCTCTCCTGGGACCAACTCTCCCTGGCCGCAGTCTCTCTTGGCCACGATTCTTTCCTCCACAGCAACATCCATGTGCAGAGGTGCTAGAGCTGCCAGTACTAGCTTACCAGCGCTGGCTACAAGATCTTCAGGAACTTTTTGGCCTGGTTGTTAACCAGAGCAACTATTAAAAATTATAGAACCTCAGGTAAGCAAATTAAATCGCAAACAAAAGTAATGGATACACAAAACTTATACTACCTTTTTTATGACATTTTACCATTTCCTGTGCCCTTGAGGCTCTTTACGTTATGGTACCTGTGTGGTGGAAATACTGTACTGGGCGACGGGGCAGCTGTGCTTCTCTCCCCAGTTCCTGCTTGTGTGGGAGTATTTCACCATGGAAATCAGCAAATCATGCTTAGTTATTTGGACAGCTGGTTATTAAACATTTACCAGCACACACCATTACCTGAGTTCTATCAGCTTATTAAATTAAAAAATAAATGGAGCCCTTTAATCACATTGTTCTTATTTTATTTTATTTTTTATTATTTTTTAGAGGTAGGCTCTTGCTGTGTTGCCCCGGCTGGAATGCAGTGGTACAATCATAGCTCACCATAGCCTGGAACTACTGGGCTCAAGTGATCCTCTTGTCTTAGCCTTCTAAGTAGAAAGGACCACTGGTGCTTGCACCATGTCTGACTAACTTTTTTTAAAAAATGCTTTTTTGTAGAGATGGGTCCTTGCTTTATTGCCTAGGCTGGTCTTGAACTCCTGGCAAGAGATGCAAGTGACCCTTGCGTCTCAGCCTCCCAAAGTGCTGGGATATAAGCATGAGTCATCGTGCCTGGCCTAATCACATTGTTCAAGCATTGTGCAAATCAATGGAAGCCTAGCTCACAACACTTCTGGTTTAAATGCAGGCACACTTCCCCTCTGCCTGGCCCTGACTCCTGCTGCCCTCTCCTACTCAGTTCTCTGGCAGCTCATCCCCCTCACCCACTCTACTCCATTCCCTGCCTGCTTTCCAGTCTCTCGACCTGGACAGGTTTTCTGTCCCTTTCCCCATTGTTTCTTTGAAGTATTTATTATGTACCTTCCTTTATCCTCTCAGCTAAAGGGTTTCCCTTTTCTTGCCAAGGTTTGTGATCCATCTCTCTCTTCTCATTCTCCTGATTCTGAATTTATCATAACATTTCCTGGGCACAATTTAAATATGCTTATTTGACCTTCCCAGGCTGTGCTAACAGCACCACCACCACTGCTGCTGCCGAAAAGAGTTAGTGATATTTATCTACACCTGTACCTGTGCCACCTGTGTCCCATGCCAGAGACCCCGGAGCACTCCATGGGCAGGTCCCATTTAATGCTGATACCTCCATGAGAAATGAGTGTTTGGTTGAATTTAAGTACTGTAAGGGAACTTTTTAGACTGCCCTAGGTGGTATGTGAAACCTGAGGGCTTTGTGGTTGTGCCAAGGGGCTTCTGAGTAGAGAAGAAGAAGGGATACCAGAGAAGATGAGACTCACCCACAGCCCTTCTAACCCCAGACCTAGCAGAGCATTTCACTGTCCAGAAATAGGAGTTGAAACTGTGGCCTTCAGAGCAATGTTTTAACCTGGCTTTAGTATTCTTACTAGCTGAGTGACCTTGGGCACTCTGTGCCTCAATTTCCTCATCTGAAAAATGGGGATAATACTATTACCTTATAAGGTTTTTTGTGAGGTTTAAATGAGTTAATGCACATAAAGCTCTTCAAAAAGTGTTCAACTAATAAATATTAGCCATTGTCATTACTGAGGCTATGTGCAAAATTGTACTTAATAAAATAATGCTTCTGGTAAGAGGTTGAAGACCACATATGTAGCTCTATGGCCTTTATTTTATAGTTGAGAAAACTGAAGCTCAGAGCTAAGAACTGGACACAGCCAGTGAGCAGCAGAGTCAGGACTAAATCCCTTTCTGCTCTGAATTTTTCAACAAATGGTATTAATCCTCTTCTTTGACCTGGAAGGGGCATGACACCTACAACATTTGATACCCATGGCATTTGACACCCACACCACTCAACACCCTTGTGCCTTTATTTTGATTAAAGGTGTGCCTTTAAAGTGATGAGAATAGTGTCCAAATAAATATGACAGAACCCTTCTATCCATTTTCTCTGGGAAGAAATGAATATTAATATCTCTGGTAAGATTTGAATATTAAACAAAGAGAAAGAACTAGCCCCTTTAGTGGATATAGCATGATCTGGGGAACAAAGAGACAGCCCAGATGGGAGCATGTTATTGGAGAGGGATAAGGAGCGTGCAAGGTAAGGTGTCGGTGAACAAAAGTTCTCTGTAAAAGAATTGGAAGGGAAGAGACTTTATTCCACTAAGCAGTTTGCAAAATGGGGAGATGTGACCTGTGGTCTAAAATGAAGGTTCCTTCCAGGGAGCAAAAGGAGGTTTCAGTTTTGACAGCAAAAGTTCCTGTCCGGGTTCCCACTCAAGTCCATTTATGCAAATGAAGGATTCAAACTTGCTTAGTTCTAATTACTTGATGAAGCTAAGTTCTGATTGGTTGGTTCAGGTGAGTTCTGAAAGTCCCAAAGTTGAACAGAGGTATGGGTTTTCTGTTGACACAGAGTACATCTGTGATGTCTAGTCAATAAATGACCACTAGGCTCAATGTTAAATTTAGGCCCAGTTAGCCACTAGGGATCCATCTTGAAGGACTGGCTCTTTCGGTTTCATATTCATTCCCATGACCGAGGCAGGACCCATCCTGCAGCTTTTGCCCAGCGGGTAGGAGACCAGGCTTGGGAGGCCATTAAGTCAACTTCAGACACTGTTTTACTGCCCAGGGTGGAGGAAGATCTCTAAACTAAATGCCTACAGCATCCACAGCTGAATCTGGCTGGCATGTAAAGAACCAGCAGTAAGCGATGTGCCTGGTGTGCTGGGGTACACGAACGGAGGCGAGCCGGGCCCTGTAGTGATAGTCAGTTTCACTGGGACTACCCTACTCCAGACAGGAAGTCCTCATTGCTGACAGCACTTAGGAGCAGTGCCTCTCCACCAGAAGTGTATTCTCAGCAGGGGTGGATCTGAGAGCAGAATACCTAGTGGAGAAGAGGGGTTTCCACTTGTGGGGTAGAGCTCTTTCAAGCACCCGGGCCACATTCAGAGAAGTTCCCCTGCACTGGGCTAAATGAGTCAGGTGGCCTCACTTCTCTCAGACACATCTGGCAACCTGGGCAGCTTTTGGGGTGACACTGCAGGACCACAGGAGGGACTCCTTCTCTCTGGCATTCTGAGAGGTGAAGGGCTTCACATTCCAGTGATGGAAATCTTGGCAACACTAGAGAAAGGAGTGCAGCTCCTACCTAACCAGTGAGAGAATATTATACATGATTTTGTATAATCTGATTTGAAACTTGAAATAATGCAACATTTTCTTAGTTGAAAAACAACAAAAAATACATAATTTCAAAGCTGTTCTTGGGGGCGAGGTGCGGAGCGTGAACTGTCTCCCACTTCAGGGGGTAAGCAGGTAGACAGGAATGTCACCATCCATTGTCTCGTGGGTGTGAATCACTGCTTCTAGACTCCTGTGCTTTTGATAATTATTGCAAAGTCATTTCAACTTTTGCTGTGTTATGATCTTTAAAACAAATAGTGTATTCTACTGCAGGATAGGTTAATTGTCATTAAGAGGTGATTCCAGTGGTATTGTTAAAAAAAGTACACCCACAATCAGTAAATTTAGAAAGAAAGTTAGGTGAGATAAAATATCATGAAGATTTAAAAACACCAGGAAATAAATACCAGTCTGCTAATTTTATGACAAGCATCCCAAGAAATATTGGAGATGATGCTGAGAAAATAAAAATAGCATTAAAGATCCTCAAACAGCCCCTGTTCCTCTGACTTTGCAGCATTTGGAGGGGAAAGCACTCTTACATTATGAGGGCCTCTGGAGCCCCACCTAAATCCTTAAGTGAAAACTCCCAGGGAGCATCATTTTCTGACAGTTGCAGCTGGATTAGCACCACGTGGGCCAGTAGCCTCAGAGAAGGGAGTGTGCAATATCAGCTTCCTCCAGAGAGATGCCGATGGGTCCATTCTGGGCCCCCGTTTCCATACCTGTAGCCTCTTAGGGGACACAGAATGACTGGGAGGTGCTGCCTATTCACCTGTGGAATGTGGGCACTTCTGGGGTCTGACTTTCTCCTATATAGCTCTGTAGCTTTTGAATACCTATAATAATTATGTACTTGTATTAATTTTTAAAAATCTATTAAAAAGAAAAAAAATAAAGGAAGAGGGGCTGAGCTCTGCTGTGGAAATCAGATCTATTTAGAAAGCAAGAAGGTCTGTGGACAATCCAATACAAGGTGGCCCAGCCTCCATACCACCTCCAGCTGTCCCCAGGCTGCTTTGCAGTAACAACCTATGGGCAAATGGCAGCGTGCGCCTCCGTCTTTCTGCCCTATATGCCTGAAGTCACAGCGGTCCTTCAGGAGTGTTATGACTCATTCCCATGGGGAGGTGGGGGCGTGCTAGGTGTCTTAGTCCATTGTGTTTGCTCTCATAAAATACCATAGACTGGGGGGCTTTAACAATAGGCATTTATTTCTTACAGTTCTGGAGGCTGGAAGTCCAAGATCAAGGTGCAGCAGATCTGGTGTCTGGTGAGGGCTCCCTTTCTGGTTTGCAGATGGCCGCCTTCTCTCTGTTTCCACACATGGTGGAGACAGGGAGAGCTCTGATCCCTTCCTTTTCTTATAAGGGCACTAATCCATCATGAGAACCCCACCCCCATGACCTCATTTAAACCTAATGATCTCCAAAGGTAATTACATAGGGGGTTAGAGCTTCAACATGCAAATTTGGCAGGGACAGGGGGTGGGGAACATGAACATCCAGTCCATTACCATAGAGATATTCAAATGGGGGTAAATGCTTCTGTGGAAAATCCCCCCGTGGGAGGCTGCTCTGGGCTGTGTGTCCACCCCAACTTGGTGCTCCCACGAGACTGTGGGAAAGGGTGGCAGTCCTCTATCCCCAGTATGGCCTTCAGCATGTGCAGTCCCTGGCCTGGCTACCTGCAGAAGCCCACAGGAAAGGGGCAGCCAGGGGTTGAAGGAGAAAAGAGGAGAGAGGGGTGGGGATGAGACACTCCATTCTGAGGAGAGGTCCCCAGGAAGAGGCTACGCAGATTCTTTGGAACTGGAATTGCCTGAGAAGGCTTAGGACAGCGCTGCTCATTAGACCACTGCCTGGGAAATGGCCATCAGCTGAGAATGTGGGACCTTAGTGTCCCTGTGTCTGGGGGAGTCCAAGAGAGAGAGATGGATACTGAAGATTTTGCAAAGTGGCATGGCTGGGTGAGTGGGCCCTCCACCAGGAGACACTGACTACAGGTGCTTGCTGGGCATAACCGAAGGAGGGCCCGGCAGAATCCAGACCCTCCCCATTGCCGTGAGAGGCTCAGGGGGCTAGCTTATGAGGAAGAGAACTAAAAACTAGGGGACACATTCTGAGGATACAAAATGCACAATGAGCCCTCATTTAGATGAGGGGTAGGGTCTTAACCAAACTCCAGCATTACACCCCAGCCTTTCCTTGTGGTTCTATGTTGTCATGCACCATGTGCTTAGCTACAGCTCTCCTGGGTGCTGCCTTCCAGAGATGGGACCACCTCAGTGACAGTGAAGAGATTAAGTGTGCAAGCTGGGGACAGCGGGCAAGTGATTAACATTTCCTGACTCTGACTCGTCCTTTGGAGGGTGATGCTACATACAGCCCATCATACGCACTATCATGGCCCAATCTCTCTGAAAGTGAAATCACTTCTCCCCACTGAGCTGCATCTGGAATTTTAGCAGCTTGGAGCAATGCAAAATAATGGTGCTTAAACTCAGACCAGCCTCCTCAATTTTGAGCTGGGCAATCCATTACACATACATTTTAGGCAGAATGGGATCCTGGTAAATTTGCTGTCTGTGTATGTGGCCCACAAATTTCCATTCATTGAACAGTTGTCATTTTTAAGAGCTGCAGGGCAAAAAGGTTATTTGTTGACTTTTTGTTTTTTGCAAATGATATTACCTTGCAAAAGAGCTTACCCTGAAACTGAAAAGAATGATTCTGTGTTACCATATGCTTTTATAGGCTTAGCTCTTGTCTGTGGGAAGTTTGCAAGCATTCCCTCCTCTGCTCCCCATTCATTTATAAAGAAACCTCCCACATGGTGCTATTAAAATAAAAACTTACTCATATGCTTAGTCAATGCCGAGCAGAATTTCTTTCATAGGTTCCGTATGAATGAGTTCTGAAGTAACAGGTTTAGAAAATGAAACTGCTCAAAAAGAATATGAAAATGACTTGAAAAGGTGCCAGAAAATACTTTGACTGTGTGTGCATGTGTGTGCACGGGGGTGGGGGAAATATCAGATCATGGGAAGGTTCCAAGACCTTCAGGTTATAATGGCATGTGAACAACCTCAGGAGTTGGTGTGGGAATAAACGATTCAGGCTTAAAATGAGAAACTCCTGTTATGGACACCACGGGATGTTCTAGTCAACAGATCTAAACACGTGGCCCCATGACTACCTGTTTATGTGGGTGTAATCAATGCCCAGCTCTGCTATTCACCAGCTGTGTGGCCTGGGGCAAGTTGCTCCACCAACCTGATCCTCAGTTCCCTTGCCTGTAACATGCTGATAATAACAGCATTTATTCCATAGGACATAGGATCCCCACAACCCCAATTCCTTGGAGCTCAAAAATTAGATGAATCTTGATCCTTGTTCACAGTACTTTCCACCACGGATCCATCCATGACTTTGTCATTTATTTAGTTATGTAACTAGTTATTTCCAATATTGTAATGAGCACCCATGAATCTACCACCAAACAAAAGCTAAGTCTAGGACAATAACCTACATCTTATCAGCTAGTCCCCAGTATCTTATTAACCTCTTCTCCCCACTTCTAAGGTCTACACCATCATGAATCTTGTGTTCCTGATACCCCTGCTTCCCATTTTATTTGGTTTTATGCTTCCATATGTATTTCTAGAAAGTAGGTATATTTTTATCTTAATTGTTTTTTAACTTTATAAAACTTTTAGGGACTTACTTTTTTCCATTTAATGTTATATTGCTAAGAGTCATTCACAGTATTGTGTGTCATTGTAATTTCTTTGTTCTGACTGCTGCATAGTAGTGTATACAAATAAACCATAGTGTAATCATCCATACTCCCATTGAGGGGTACTTGGGAAAGGAGAGGGTCCAGACTTTTGCTAGTTAGAACAGGGCTGTTATAGTCCTACTGGTACATGTCAGCCTTTGTACAAGTATAAGAGTTTCTCTTGGGTATGGACCTTCAAGGAGAATCATGTCAGAGAACATGTGAAAGTTCAACTTTAGGAGACAATGCCAAAACATTCTCTAAAGACTCTGTGCTAATCTACAATGCCACAGGCTTCATCCTCTCCAGCACTTAATTGTGTTAGGCTTTTTACTTTTTGCTAATTGAATGAGTATAACATGTTATTTCATTGTGATTTTAATTTTCACTTTTTTTCTTTAACAAATTTTTTTATTTTTAGTTTTTGTGGGTACATAATAGGTACATATATTTATGGGGTACATGAGATGTTTTGATATAGGCACACAATGCATAATAATCACATCATGGGAAATGGGGTATCCATCCCCTCAAGCATTTATGTTTTGTGTTATAAACAATCCAATTATACTCTTTTAGGTATTTTTAAATGTACAGTTAAATTATTTTGACTATAGTCACCCTTTTGTGCTATCATATACTAGGTATTCATAATTTTTTTCACTTTTCTTTTTGAATCTTTTCATAAGTTTATTGGGCATATATGTTTCCTCTTCTGTGAAATGCCATTGGTGCTTTTTTTCCCCATTATTATACTGGTTATTTGTGCTTTGTTAACAAAATTGATTTGTAGCAGTTCTACATATATTCTTGGTACTAAACCTTTGTGGTTGATATTATGAATATCTTGTCCCAGTTTTTACTTTGTCTTTTTACTTTTTAAAGGTATCTCTTGGTGAACAAATGTTCTTTATTTTGACATAGTTAAATTTATCATTTTATAGTCAACAATTTAAGTGCTTAAGAAAAACTTTAGCTGCGTGTATTAGTCCATTCTTGCATTGCTATAAAGAACTCCCTGAGAATGGGTAATTTATAAAGAAAAGAGGTTAAATGACTCACAGTTCTGCAGGCTGTACAGGAAACATGGTTGGGAAGGCCTCAGGAAACACAATTATGGTGGAAGGTGAAGGGGAAGCAGGAATATCTGCATATGGCCAGTAGGACAGAGAGAGAAGGGGATGGTACTACACACTTTAAATACAGAACTAGGGGGATGGTGCCAAACCACTAGAAACCACCTCTATGATCCAAGCACCTCCCACCAGGCCTCACCTCCAACATTTGGAATTACAATTCAAAATGAGATTTGGGTGGGGACACAGAGCCAAACCATATCACTACTCCAAGGTATAAAATAGTTACCTGTATTTTACTATAAATTATAAAGTTTCTTTTTTGACATTTAATTCCTGAATCTATCTAGGGTTATTTTTCGGATATAGTTTGAGAGAGATATTCAAGTTCATTTTTTCCCATATGAATAACTACTTTTTTCCACCTCCATTTGTTTATCAGCCTCCTCTCCTCACTGACCTCCTGTATCCTCTGTAATAAACCAACATTCTTTATTTGCATCCATCTTTTTCTGGGATCTTATTCATACCCCATGGTCTGTTTTTCTGTCTCTGCACCAAAACTACAGGGTTTTAATTGCTCCAGCCTCATAAAAGTCCAGACATCAATAAGGGAAACCCCTGATCACTACCTTTTCAGAAACATCCTATTTTTGGTCTTTTATGCTTTCACATAAGTTTAGAATCATTTTTTCAGGTTCTATTTTTAAAAAAATTATTAGGAATTTGACAAGAATTGCACTGAATATATAGATCAAATTACACTATTAAATTATATAATCCATGAACACAATATCTCTCTCCAATTACTTAGCCCTTTTTAATATCTCTTAAAGTTTTACACTTTTCCTTCTAGAGGTCTTGAAAATGTGTCCATTGTTAGGTTTATTCTAGGAGACTTGATATTTTAATTTTTTTTTTTTTTTTTGAGGAAGGGTCTTATTTTGTCATCCGGGCTGGAGTGCAGTGGTACGATCATAGCTCACCACAGCTTCGAACTCCTAGGTCCAAGTGATCCTCCTACCTCACCCTCCTGAGTAGCTGGGACTATAGGCACATGCCACTGTGCCCCACTAGATACCTGATGTTTTCTGATGCTGTTGTAAAGAATATTGTCTTTTAGCCTGGGCACAGTGGCTCATGCCTGTAATCCCAGCACCTTGGGAGGCTGAGGTGGGCGGATCACTTGAGATCAGGAGTTCTAGACCAGCCTGGCCAACATGGTGAAACCCCGTCCCTACTAAAAAAAAAAAAAAAATACAAAAATTAGCCATGTGTGGTGGTTTACACCTGTAATCCTAGCTACTCAGGGGGCTGAGGCACGAGAATTGCTTGAACCCGGAAGGCAGAGGAGGTTGCAGTGAGCTGAGATAGCGCCACTGCACTCCAGCCTGGGTGACAGAGTGAGACTCTATCTCAGAATTAAAAAAAAAAAATATTGTCTTTTAATTAAACTTTCTAGCTGTTTGATGTATGTAAATTTTATATCTTCACTAAATTTAATTGTTCTTAATCATTTGTTTATGGATTTTGGGCATTTTCTATATAAGCAGTCATACCTTATGTGGGTGATAATGGTTTCTTTCCCTCATAAGATGATTTTAAAAGTGAATGGGGTTATATAAACAAAGCAAACAACACAGTGGTTGGCAGCTAGTCAGTGCTCAGTAAATGCTTGTGACTACTGATATTATCGTCATTACTCATTAACAGAAGAATTTTAGAAATTTCTTTAACAAATTCCTTCATGTTGAAGAAAGAAACAGAGGCCCAGAACAAGTCCATGATTTGCCTGGGATGACATGACAACTCAATGCCAGGACTGCACCTGGAAAACCTGGGTCTTTGGGCTACAAAGTCAAGTGCCCTTTCTTTTAATCCCCAACAAATGCAGGCTTCTGTCTGGCATAAACTTTTGCAATTGTAGTGTTTACATGAATGGGGCTTTCTGGCACATCCATGAAAAAAAATCTATTAAATCAGCAGCATGAATTAAGCTCTTTCTGTGTGCTGGGCTTCCCACATTGCACACGCTTCTAGCAGAGGAAGAATTTACACCCTGCAACTCAGAGGGGCAGAAAATGATAATTTATTTCCTTTTAAATATTCTCTATATGGATCTCATCATTTCCTGTTGATGGCAGAGGAAGGAGGGAGAACCTTAAACTTGCCCATTGAAAGCAACTTAGACTCTTTTGGTCTAACTCACTTTCTTTTGGGTAAATACACAGTTAAATAAAAATTAAGATTTCCTTCTCAAAGGATGTCTCTTCACTCTCTATGTCCCAGGTTGGCAGCTGGAAGAGGGAAACAATTATGGATTCTCACAGTGTGGAGTGGTGCCTCTGAACTCATCCTGCCTTTGAGACATAGCAGGTGCTGATTGAGCTGGGCCTGGCCTGATCATGTCTTTGAGCATCCAATTCTGGGGCCACTAGGTCTAGCTGTCTCTGCTGGTGCTTTGGGACCTCCACTGCTCAGATCTTCCTGGCCCCAAAGATCTCTAAATCTCAGCTTTGTCTGTCATCTGTCTCTAGGCTCTGCAAAGGTGACCTCTCAGCAGTCTGGCTCGCAGCTACACCCTCTGGGGGCACGTAGAACACTGAGACCCCTTTCTGGCCACAGTGTAGCAGAGGAAGAGGCAGGCTGTGGGGCACATGTGAGGTATTCTCAGATACTAGCTCAGCCTTAACTTCTCTCATCTTCTCTTCTCTCTGCATCCCTCCCTCCCCAACTTGCCTCTTGGCCAGAAGAGTGTCTCCTTCCTGTTGGGTGGGGTTTCCCTAACTTGATGTCCTCTGTCTTCTCTTTATTCAGGCTTATAGCAAGCTCCACAGTCACACTGGCAAGGCCTAGCTCTTTGAAGATGAAGGGAACTTTCAGAATCTAGAATAATGTGTGTCCTCTTTCAACAAAACTTGACATTGGAAACCTGTTTCTCCATGGCCTCTAAAAATGTCAGTTTTGGCATGCAAATATTTTCTAAATATTATCCCAATTACCCATGGTTATGGCTGCCTTTGGGATTATGATGAAGACTGTAGTTGTGTAGAACATGTCATGCTCCTGACTCCCCTCTCGGGATATGGAGGCCACTGTCTTTGTGAGTGGATGGAGCTCCTTCCTCTGTCCATCTCTTAACTAATGAAAGCCAGGTCTGTCTGTTCTCAGCAGTCTTTCTCTGCCTAGCCACTGTACAGGACACTGTCACTAACACGTCCTCAAGGAATGACCTCTGACTTCTGGCCTGAAGATCTCTGTGGCCTCTATTCAACCTTTATTGAGAGCTTATTATGGTTACAGCTCTGTGCTCGTGAGAACCCAGAGAGAGCGAGACAGAATTGTCTTCAAGCTGCTCAAAGAGTAAAATCCATGCATAAAGACCTGGCTGTATCACAGCTGTGCTTATGATATTAGCAAAATCCAGTACAACTAGGAAGAACATGTACAGAGAAGGAAGGAAAGGCAAAACTGTTGGGTCTAGTTTTCTTGGTTCCTACATGAAAGAAGGCTGGGCAATATTTACCCTCGATAAAGTTCATTATGCCTTGGGTATAGTAAAAATCTGAAGTTTTGCCTCTGTAGACCACTATTCTGCCAGGGCTGGGTGCCAGAGTGTATTTTACAATGCTGACGCCTGTCCGAGACAGTGGGTTGTGGTTTCTGTTCCACTCTCCAATGCACTTTTGGGAAGGCAGGTGACTGGGATGGACCTGCTCTAGTCATCAAATGTGGCAGGCCCACTTTCCATTGCCAACAAAAGTTAAGTAAATTAAATAGGGCCCCAAAGGAGCTCTCTAGGAGTTGGTGTATCATGAAATGTGAAGTGGGCTTGCCCCTATGCAAGAACTAAAAGAAACACAATTTAGTTATCTTTGGCTTCTGAGGCATCGGCAGAGTTTTCTGCTGCCAATATGAGATTTCAGTGGAGAGTAGGGTTTCCCAAATCATGTTGAAACGTGACATTGTTTTCCTTAGGCCCACAGGGCCTTGGCCTGACACTGAGCATGTATTCGTGTGTGCACACACGACTGACCACTTTCTGCACGCTTCTTACACATCCGCCATGTGTCCGCCTCAGCCAGTGGAAGCCCTGTGCCACTCTTGAGATGCAGGTGGCTGTTTCTTGCTGCTGTCACTGTTACTGCTGCTGCCGCTTGCAGCCTAATTCCTCGCTGGTTTCAAAATGTGTCTCAGAGATTTCCCCAAATCCATTTCTCCAAATTCTGAGTTGTTCATCCATGGATAACAACAGGATGGCATGGATGTAGGCACTGGTAAAGAAGCACAGAAGCATGTACTGAGGGTGTTAATTCTGAACATGGAGAGACTGCATGTTCTGAAACACATCTTAGCATTTCTGTGTCCACATATGTGTATTGCATTTCAAGCATTTTTATTATTATTATTATTATTTTTGCTGGGTCGTGTCAATAGAACTGACAGCATCCTGTGACCATATCTTCACCTTTAGTGCTTTCTAAGTAAAACTCAGTGTCTTAATATAGCCAAAGGGAAGAAAATCCTAGTGAGAGAATGAACTTTTTCTGACATTCCTGGTTGGTGAAATGCAATCCTCTTTTCCTGGCATTTGGTGAGGATAATTGAATTTATGTCTGGTAACTAAGGGGATGCTCGGGAGCCTCAGGAACCATGAGCAGGAATGAGGATGGTCAGAAAGCACATTGGGTTATGTGGATTCAGTGACACAAACCCCAAGAAACCTGGTGGCTTTTGGCACTGCATGTGATTAGAGACAAATGATCTATTTTCATCTTCTGGAAAAATCAATAAATACATATATAAAAGAGTGCCTTCAAGTCCTTTGAGCTATTAAGAATAGCTAACGTTTTGATTGCTTATTGCATGTCTATTGCTGTTCTAAAGGCTACATATGTATTCACTCATTTCTTCTTATAACGTCCCTGTGTGGCCCACGGTCATGTTATTTTCATTCCCATTTTACAGATAAGAAAATGGAGGTCACGAGCTGGAGAACTCCTTGCTCAAGTTGCATAGCTAATAAGGGACTTAGCTGGGATTCCTGGCCAGCAATGTGGCTCCAGGCCTGGTTTCTAACTTCCCCTTCTTGGCAACCACCTTCACAGAGGAATGCAAGAGGTGAGTGGATTTGATGTGATATTTTATATCATGCCTATTTCTATCCACTTTCTCTGGAGTCCACTAAGATTAAAGAAGGAGAGAAATTCTCTAGTTCTACAGGAAGTGCGGGCTGTTTCCAGTGGGTCCTTGAAGTCCTTTGTCTGTTTCCAGTTTTTCCTTCAGGTCTTTTGAGCCCAGCTTCCCTCTGGCCAGCTCAGGCTCAGGGAGACGGGCATACACCGGTGGCCTGGGTGACAGTGTGCAGCTGATGAGCCACAGGACTTGGGCAGGCCATAGTGGGTCAGGAGAGACTGGACGCTTCGTCTTTTATGCTTCTGGGATTTCTGTTGTGGCTTCTGTTTTCACCGCATTTCAAATCCTTTAAGTTAGGTCATATGGGGAAAATGCTTGTGCTTCTCATTTATCTCCCTGGAGGCTAGCCTGGATCTCTGATGAGGAGGAGCACCAGGCCACTCCATAACCACCGGGCTGCAGGATCTCCAGGGCCACCCAGGAAGCCAAAATCAGAACAGAGCTCCTTGCTGTGGGGGCTTTGCTCACCCTAGTTCTGGGAGCCAGCCAGCTCTATCTTGGGGATATAACTTTCCAGGGACAAGAGATGCCTGATTTTGTGCAGACACCTGTGTCATGGAGAGTATTTCTTATGTTCCAAGCAGAGAAGTTCAAATTTACCAGTCTTCCTGTCACTCCACCCCCAAAATCTGGCGACCCCACTCAGCTGTTTTTCAGGGCCCACCCTCATGGCACCTTCTGGGGACTCCCTCTTTGCTACTGAGGTTGAGACCTAGCACTAGGTTTTGTGCTAGAAGCGCCTTGGGGGCAGAAACCCCCATATGCCAGCTGCCCAGGTCAGGACTGCATGTTTTCCTACTCACCGCCACCTTGCCTTGTATAGAAGAGGTGTGGCCACGTGCGGAATCCGCGGGCACAGGCAGCGAGGCCAATGAATGGTATCTTGCCTGCGGTCTGCTCTTGGGAAGGGTCCTCTAGTCCCGGTGTCCAGGGACCCACAGGCTACGTCACATAGTCTCCATGTCTTCTTGTGGGAAGGTACCGTGTGAGTCTTTTTAAAAAGTAATCTTAAAAGAGAACATCTTTGACTGGGCGCAGTGGCTCACGCCTGTAATACCAGCACTTTGGGAGGCCGAAGCAGGCAGATCACACGGTCAAGAGATCGAGACCATCCTGGCCAACACAGTGAAACCCCGTCCCTGTCGCTTGGAATCCCTGGAAGAAAGCAGAACCGAGAAGAGAAGCCCGGGTTTAACGCTGTGGTTTCTTTTTTGCAAGATAAAACCATGTGATTTAGATATATGCAAACAAATCTTGAGTTAAAGGAAACTGAGTTTCAAATTAGATAATTGTCTCTGAGAAAGGCATTCATATATCTCATATTTCATTTCTAACTTTTTATCATAGAACATCTTAAACATACACCAAAATAGAGAAAATTATAATGAGCTCCCATCTGTCACTTGCCTTCAACAATGATCAACTTATGGCCAATTATGTTTCAGCTACAACCCAATCTCGCCCCATTCTAATTTTTTTAAAGCATATCCTAAACATTGTATCATTTTATCTGTAAATATTTTAGTATATATCTCTAAATATATATGAACTCTTATTTTTAATAGACATAATCGTAATCATCATGATTTTAGGAAATGATTTTAATAAAAATCACACCCAATTCACGAAGTTAAAAAACCCTCCCAATATTCACACCCTTCTCATTACTCTTGGTTTTAAATGACTTTTCCTGTTGTTTGAAGCCTGCGTTGCAGTCTGACTCTGATCCTTCCAAAAACTGCTCCTAGAGAAGCTAGAGGTACACTCTGAGATTAAGCTACCTCAACTTCAAGCCTCTGGATTCTGGGAGGAGTTGAGTCCACCCTCTGATCTAGAGTTTCCAGGCATGGCTTTGTGAATGCACCTACCTTCTTCCCAGATTTTTGCCCGTCTGACCCTCTTACATGAGAACATCCCCATACATGGCTGTGGAAAATCCTCAAGTGCAATGAAGGCAAGACTGAAAACAGAGCCGCTGCCAAACAGAGCAGCAAGTTGAAGGGCAAGTGCCTGTCAACACAATCCCCTTGAAAGACTATAAAGAGCTGCCAAAACATGAGATGCATCTGACATCCAGATAGTATTAGCTGACTGCTTCCCAAATGGGTTAGCTGTCTACAGAAACGCCCTAGGTAGCTGATATGAATCGCAAATGTGCTGTGACTTGATTAATTTGTAACAGTCAGAAATTAGGTAGTTCAGTGCTAGTCATGCTCAAGCTTAGTAGTAGCTGGTTTAGTTGTTTTTTGTTTTTTGTTTTTTTCTGTGGGTAATTGGATCTAGGATGATAGTGTACCATCCCCCAGCAGTCATAGAAGACATGGTAAAAACTAGCTTTACACGGGTCCTGGACTTGAGGTCACGGGTGTGGAAGGTGATTCACTAGGGAGTTGGCTCTTAGCTTAGTGGGTCATGTATTTCTGAGAAGCTTCTTTCCTGAGGTTTACAGTCAGTTTCAGAGGTGAATGAACTGCTTCAGATGATCAGAAAGATACACTCTGTCATTATTCCCCCAAGAATAATCTTTGCTTCTGTAGTTACATTAAAGCTAAATTTTGCTGCCAGAGTAGGAGCCATCCATTATATTATAATCGATGACATGAATGTTTTGCTCAAGTTCAGATGTCTAATAAGAGTCATTTTCTTTCCGAGGGAGTGTTATCAGTTTCATGAATATGCGCTCTGTATTTCATTAGCATTCTTCTAGCAAAACATGATTCTGAGTCATTTCTGAAATATCTGCTCTCGCCTGCAACTTGTTTCTCAGTTTTTACAAAAATTGCCTTTTCTACTTACTGGCAGAAAAGTTTGATACCACACGAGCCTAAAATGGGTATGCTGAGAAAAAACACAGCACACCTATGGAACCGTGACCACAACAGTGCATCGGTCTCTGTCCCACCGTCTCATTCGAGGTTAATCCCTCTCCACAGGGCGGCACCTCAGCAGGGAAGGGCGAGTCTGAGGACTGAGGGTAAACAGTCATGACATGGGTATTCACTATCATGGCTTTCTTAGATTTTTAAGCCAGAATGAAGTTCAGAGAGCTTGTCAGAGGATGTTGAATGAACAGAAAAGGAAATTTGGAACCCATATGAAAAGAGCTGCTTTATGAATCACAGAGAGCTTTTGAGTTCCAGCTTACAGTAATTCAAATACCACTCACTTATATTCAACTGAGAGCAGCTCTGGCCCAGCCTTGTCCCCTGACCCCGGGGACACTTTCTCTAGGATGAACAAGAGAAGGTGTTCTCCACTGTACTAGCTGCCAGTGTGTTTCTTTCAACCAAGGAAGTATCCATGTCTCTTATTCTATGTCATTATTGTAAGAATGGTCTACCTTGATCCTTAGAAGCCAACCAGGATGGAGTCCCATTTTGCAGAGTCTGCTGTGACTGCCAGCCACCCCTGTACCATGGACTTCCACAGCAATGATGCTGTGCTGCATCTCCATCCAAAGGGATTGCATCTGTTTTAATTGCTTGACTTTCAAGGACACTCAGGGACAGGTACTCTTCCATAATTCTACGTCATCCCAGTTTCACAGGGGCGTGAATTCCCCATCCCCTGCAAGGTCTACTGCTCTCCAAAGTGTGTGTCTTTGAGATGGAGGCTCTTCACAGGGTTCACCACCTCTGCAAGTAGGGCTGTGACAACTCAGCCTTGTGCACTGCCACAAAAGGCCCTTCAAGAGCTTCTAGAAATTTCTGGCTCACAGAAGCCACTGGAATACTGTAAATGGAGTTGGTTTTGGTGGCTCTGTCCTTTGATGGGAGGCTCTGTCTCCTGAGGCCAAGATTGAAGGCAGGATCTGAAGATTGTGCGCCTGGATCAACTCTAATCCTTTCCAGCCCAAGAGAGTTGTTCTTGCTTCTTCTTGGACTGTTGTGAGAAACTTCCACACTGACTGCTTGGAAGTGTCACATGTTGGACCTCTTGGTACCAGTGTCTCTGACAGACTCATACCACTGGGAGCTCAGAGCGAGTGGCTGAGGCCAGCAGAGCTGAACACTTAGTGCCCTGTCCCTGCATTCTGTGGGATCAAGAATGAACTGGAAGTAGGATGCCGCCCTAGAGGAGGCACAGGTGCTACAGAGGCAGCTCAGCTCAGGAAGCGGACGTGAACCCCTTCCTACCCCCCATTAGTGCTGTGGCCATGAGGCCCCCTCACCTGAGGGGGAACACCTCTGTCAGCCTGGCTATCTGCCACCAACAAACACTTTTCCTGGGAAGGGGCCTGGATTCCTCCAGTTGAGCCTCCTTAGATGCACAGGTTGCACCAGGGTGGAGGCCACAGCCAAAACCAAACAGTGTAGCATGAACAGGCCAGGCTCCCAGAGTGGGAAGGGAGGACTGGCTGGAGGCAGCAGGAGGCTGGAGCCACATTTGCCTGCAAAAAGTCTTTTCAGACGCACATCTCAGGCCAGTTACGCAACTGGCTCCTGGATCCCTCTGCCCAGGCCCAGTCCCTCCCATTGCCTCTCAGTGTAAAGCAGGGAATGCTGCAGGATGGAGAGTCCTAAGCCTTAATCGTGGATCTTGGGATTCAGAGTCCAGAGAGGATAAAGAAGCAAATTCACAGTCAACACTTCCTTTTTTTGGATGTTTACCATAGTGAAGTTTTGTGCAAAGTGCTATGCGGACATGATCTGACACATCATGTTCCCCCACCCTCCCGGCCCAGGATCTGAAGGTCCAGCAGGAGAGGCAAGCCAATGCTAACCAAGGCTCAATCTGATACAGGGACACAGACTGCTCTGGACTTCCGTATATGCCTTTAAAAATATATATATATCTTTAGGCTGGGCGTGGCGGCTCACGCCTGTAATCCCAGCACTCTGGGAAGCCGAGGTGGGTGGATCACTTGAAGTCAGGAGTTGGAGACCAACATGGTGAAACCGCATTTATTTATTTTATATATATATAATTTTATTAATAAATACCCTGGAAGGACCTTGTTCCTTTAACGTGCTGGCACCTATAGCAGGGACCAAATTTGTACTTTTACAAACTGTCTGTACTGGTCTAAGGAGGAGCAGAGGCGCACATACAATAGCTGCTTATGCAGAATCACTGGAAAACAGGTGATTCCTGAACGTTGCTAGATGAATATAACTCAGAAATAACCCACAGCCTAGATTAGTAATCTGTGAAAGTTGGAGACCAAATGAAATTTGTTTAGCAATAAAATGCTTTTGAAGAGAATTTCTCTTTCTTTGATGTTCTTGCTCATTACTGTACACTCTAATGGTGTTGGGCTCAGAACTATTGCTCAATAGAGGTTTGATAAATGAATGCTCCAGAAGACACACAGAGGCTATCAGTGTGGTCGTTGTCAATGAGTGTCCCAGACATTAAATAAGAGCCTGCAATGCCTGAGAGCCATGCGCAGAGATCATGGGACTGACACCTGGGGAGAGGTTCTGAAGGGACCTAAGCACACAGACAGGAGGGAGGTGTCATCAGCAGATTCATCCAGCCCCATGTTTTGTAGATGAATAGTTCCAAGACACTTTTTAATAGTTATCCAATCCTGTATCTCCTGAGCATGCTCAGTGCCATAGAGCCTCAGTTTCCACATTTCCAAGCAGACTTTTCTGTTCTCTCATAAGCACATTTGAGAAAGGACTTGTTTCCCCTTGCTGTCATAAATGCCCTTGCTTTCAAGTTCAAGCCAAAAAGAAGCAGTGCAATTGTTCTTCAAGCTGATCCGGTGCAGAGGAACCGCAAATGCCAGCTCCAGCTATGGTTTCTAATTGAATATGACTTTCTTTGTAAATGCCTGTCCTTGCCCCCAGCAGCAAACTGACAACTAGGACTTGCCTTTGTGAGCTGAAATGATGTCGCTGATAACCAACAGCTTGTATTAATTTTTCCTGATAATCTCATAGTACTTTTAATGAGATTGGTGGCAAACATGCCATTCTGGGGCAAATTAATTTGTCCTTGCAAAACAGAGTGTCAGCGATTTTTATTTCCTTTGTCTGACGTGTAAATGGGTTGTTTCCAATGGCAATTGATACAACCTAGTATTTTCGGCTGCACTGAAGGGAGAACAAGATTTTGCCAAGAGCAACAAAATCAGCACAACCACAATTAAAGCAGATGATCGACATTTGGAAAATGGTCTGCTGATGTTTCTTCCTTCGTTTTCCATGCTGAAATAGGTTGTGATTTAGACAAGGGCCAAAGAGATGAACAAGGCAGCCAGCGGCTGCTCAGCCTCCATGTAGCCTGGTCATGGAGAAGCAAAATCGACATGAAATGTGACCCTCTCTCTTTTATGTGCTTTCACATGCTGTGGTCAGGAACCAAGTACTGTATTTGCATTCACTGCTCAGGCACTGTGCGGTGACCTGCTTTTATGCCACTTTGCATTGCTGAAGTGATGTGGGTGAAAACTGGAATCCTAGTTAGAAGGAAACATGGCATCCGACTCTTCCATTCTCTCATTTCCAATGTATTGTGTTGCCTCTCTCACCCGCCAAAGAAATGAAATGTGATTTTCTACCAGAGTTGGAAGAGTTTTGGCCACAATATAAGTCATTATGGCAGTTTCCATTTTCTTTGCTATACATTTTGAACAAGGAACCACAGTTCATGGAATTGCATTGAAAATTAACAGCTTTTTTTTTTCTTTTTTTTTTTTTGGCCAAGCTAGCCAGAAAGGAACTTGCATGAGAAATTCACTAATGCTAATGCAGTTTTTCAAGTGGTAATATTTCTAGAATTTTAATTAGGACTTTTTTTTTGCTTTGAAGGGTCCCATCACAGAAGAGAAAGGAATGCTAATATTTGTCTTTGATGGCCAGCAGGGTCCTGGAGGACATTAACGTTTTGCAAGCTGAATGAGGTCTTCCCACTGACACGAGCATAAAGAGCAGGTGGATTTAACAGCTTTCATTCCATTTTCTATTTAGTTTAATCAAGATACCAGTTAAGAACAAGGGGAGGCTGCTCCCAGAGCTTCTCTGTCCTTTTAGGGGTTGACCCTACTGGCTCGGCTGGCTGTGGATTAGACCACACCTGCTACAAATCAACAAATAATGAACTTCGGATGCTGAGAACCTGAAACACTACATAAAAGAGGGCATAAACAAACTCTTCTTTTTCAACATATGATGGGCGATTGAAGCGGTCAGTGGAAGATAGCTGTGCACAAGAATGTGGGCCTCCTCCCTTGAGCCAAGGTCTCAGTTTTATGATTCCTAACTTAGAGTTAAAAGAAGCAAGCCATACAGGTAAATGATTATCAGGCAGAGAGGCCTAGAATGCATTACAGTTATGCAAAACCTGGGTTTTTCATAGGTGTTTTTAATGTTGGTGTGAACAGTGGAGCCAAATAGCATCTTGTAGCCCCTACGTGGGCACGATTCTTTCCTGGGCGACACCGTCTGCATGCCCCATGGTGACATTCCTGTGCGCTTGCTACAGTTGGCTAGTAATCCTGGCTTTGAAGAAGGTTTTCCAGTGCCAATCACCATGTTCAAGACAATGTGTGGGCCAGTATTCTGGGTCATGCGTCTTCCCCAGGAGCTTTGGTTAAAGTGAGTTTGAGGAAAATATGGGTGCTCTCAGATGCTCACAGACCACGTGGATGTGAAATTTAGACTTTTATTTGGATGATAATAAAGACAGACTTTAAATGTTTTCAGAGTAACTGGACAGCTCTATCTGTCTCAATAACTGCAGGCAGTTCAAATTCAGCAGGAAACTACTCAGGTTCCTCCTAGCCCTGCCCCATTCTTTATAACATGGAAACCCTGATTCCCCCCGCCGAACACTTTCCTTCAGGTAGCAGGATTTTTGCTTCACCGTAAACACACCAGGATCACGGATGATGATAGCATTTATTGCTTGGAATAAAAAGTGATTTGCGGCCCTGTAAATAGGACAGCAAATAGTTTTGCTTTTGACCTAAGGCTCCCATGTCACTTCATGATTTCATTCATCTTCATATTCAAAAGAAGGATAAATAAACTGCTTTCCTGCTTAGTAGCTTGGTCATCTGAAATCCAGTATCTGACATCAATTCCCAGTGGGAGAAATTGTGCTTTGCTGCGTGTGTCTTAACTCAGTCTCTGATGTTCTGGTTCTGACTCAGGATGTTGGTGACAGCTGCACCACATATGCCACGTCTTTCATGCTAGACTAAGACCAGACATCTTTTCTGGTGCGCATGGAGTCACACTGTGACCTAGAAGACAGTGCTTTGAAATAATGACAAAGCACAGAGGCAAGGAATGAAGTTGACATTGCATACCAACGGCATCATCAAATTTGTCCTCAAATGTCACTGTGTAATGCTGAGTGATTTTTGGAATCTCCCTAGTTTCCCCCAAGCAAATTACATATCTTCATAGGCACATCGATATCAATGTTTTGAATGTAATATATTTTAATGAATATGTAAACATGTACAAATAAATATAATGAATATAACAAGTATGACTGTCCTATATGAGACATAGATATTTTCAATAAATGTATATTTATTATGAATATATATTTATAATATAAATATCAATACAATGTTGTTGAATGGGTGAATAAATCCTTTAAAGCAGCCTCAATGTTATAAGTAGTCACTGTGATTCATTCATCTCATACAAGCATTCTCTTTCTATGGATGTAATTAATACTTATGGCAAATTGACTTTTCTTGAGTCTCATGAAATAGAAAAATTCCTTTCTGACATTTTGACTATTCTAATATGGCACAATATTATAATTTTAGTGCATGTAATCTTTTCCACCCAGAAAATTGGCACTTTCTAAATTCCTGGTTTCTTATTTGAAAACAAAAAAGACAAAAATTATGACAAATACTACCAAATTAATATTTAAATTATATTTGAATGGCAAATTAATACTTAAAATTACATTGCTAAAAACTAATTCCAGATACGGAGCAAACTTAAATGAGAAAGATAAAACAATTTAAATTTTAGAAGAAAATATAGGAGGGCAACTTCATGATTTTGGCCAAGGCAAAGATTTCTTAATTAGGATGCCAAAAGCACCATTAAAAAAGTGGGTAAAATAAGGCATTGAAATAATATTGGGGGCTGGGCACGGTGGCTCATGCCTGTAATCCCAGCACTTTGAGAGGCCAAGGTAGGTGGATCACCTGAAGTCAAGAGTTCGAGGCCAGCCTGGCCAACATGGAGAAACCCTGTCTCTACTAAAAATAGAAAAATCAGTCAGGCATGGTGGTGCATGCCTGTAATCCCAGCTACTCGGGAGGCTAAGGCAGGAGAATCACTTGAGTCTGGGAGGCGGAGGTTGCAGTGAGCAGAGATTGTGCCACTGCACCCCAGCCTGGGACAGAGGGAGACTCTCTCGAAATAATAATAATAATAATAATATTGGGTACAGATAATAATTTCCTCCACATGTGTGAAAAAGAAGGTTATGAGAATCAGAAAGCAGGAATTTAGACAATATGTAGGGGCAGCAGATTTCCCTTGTTTTGTAAAACAGGCCTCAGAGAGGAGTATCAACTTGCAAATAGGTCAAAAACCCTTTGAGGGAAGGAAGTTTCTGGGCAGCAGAAGCTTTACCACCATCCACTGTCACATGGATAGGGATTGCAACATACTGGCCCTTCACTAATAACATCTCGTCCCATTTGGATGGCAACCCTGTGAAGTACATATGATCATGCTAGGGAAACTGAGGTTGAGTGAGGCCTGGTGCCATGCCCGAAGTTGGGCTGCTGTCCAGTGGTAAGGCACGGGCTAGCTGTGTCAGCCCTAAAGGGCACCCCACTACATATCCCCAAGATACAGGCCACGGGGCTGCACCCTCAGCCACGGCCCAGCGTCCCCAAGGCTCAGCATGAGTTTGCATCTGCTCCTTCCCTAGGAAGTCATTTATTTACATAAATGACTAATGATCCTGGGCAAGGGCTCCTGTTGGGCCACATGTTCTGCTTTTTAAAATTCAGAGCCTAGGTCAACTGTTTGATAGAAAAATGAAAACATAATGTAAATTCTAAATAAAGCTGATATGCAAAGAAACTGCCCTGTTAACTTACCTTACTTGTAGATCATATTTTCGGTGGAAGTCTGTTCAGTTTAAAGATAAACATGACATGATTAGAGGAGAAAGAGGATAGCCCCTCCCTTTAAGCTCCAAGATAATTCAAGACATCAGTTAACTATTGAGCGATTAGAGAAGGTGTTTTGGGAGCTGACCTTGACCTAGTATTCTCAAATCTCCTTCCCCTCCATAAGGCCTGGTATACTTCATGTTGCTGGCAGTCAACATCTGTCTGGCTTATGAAGAACGAGATAATCACACTCATTTTGGGGCCTCAGGCTATGAGCACCTGAGTGTGTTAATATCAATTAAAAACCCCAGTACCCATCTGTTGAGGTCAGGACTATTAAAAGTCAGGCGTGGCTGGGCGCAATGGCTCATGCCTGTAATTCCAGCACTTTGGGAGGCTGAGGCCGGTGGATCTCTTGAGCTTAGGAGTTCAAGATCAGCCTGGGCAACATGATGAAACCCTCTCTACTAAAAATACAAAAAATTAGCCAGGTGTAGTGGTGGGCACCTGTAGTCCCAGCTACCCAGGAGGCTGAGGTGAGAGAATCACCCGAGCCCCAGAGGATGAGGTTGCAGTAAGCCATGATCGTGCCACTCCACTTCAGCCTTGGTGATGGGAGTGAGACCTTGTCTCAAAAAAAAAAAAAAAAGAAAAAGAGTCACGAGTCAGGAGTCAGGTGTAAATGCCTGTATATCAGACTGTATTTTAGAAATTTGCTTTTAAAAGTTACCCTTGTGACTGAGACTCAAAAAGAAACTTCCAGGATGAATGTTCAAGCTTTTTTTTTACTTAATAAAAATACAGCTTTAAGGCTGGGCATGGTGGCCCATGCCTATAATCCCAGCACTTTGGGAGGCCAAGGTGGGAGGATCATTTGAGGTCAGGAGTTCAAGACCAGCCTGGCAAACGTAGTAAAACCTCGTCTCTACTAAAAATACAAAAATTAGCCAGGCACAGTGGCATGTACCTGTAACCCTAGCGACTCAGGAGGCTGAGGCAGGAGAATGGCTGAAACCCGGGAGGTGGAGGTTGCAGTGAGCCAAGATCACGCTATTGCACTCCAGCCTGGGTGACAAAGCCAGACTCTATCTAAAAAAAAAAAAAACAAAAAAAAACAAGTAAAACAAAAAATTTTGCCTGTGATACGATAATGAGTTTCTTTTAAAACTTCTGAGATTAGTGTCTTAGAGATTTAACTGTTGTGTTTTGCTGCTTTCAGCTTGTTCTCCCTTTAAAAAGGCCTGGGATCATTGCTGTCTCCTTTTCCTTTTTCATCAGCTCCTGTGACGTTTTCATCTCAACACTTTGGGAGGCTGAGATGGGCGGATCACTTAGGCCAGGAGTTCGAAATCAGCCTTGCCAACATAGCAAAACCATATCTTTACTAATATTACAAAATTAGCTGGGCATGGTGGTACATGCCTGTAATCCCAGCCACTCAGGAGGCTGAGGCATGAAAATAGCTTGAAAACTGGAGGCAGAGGTTCCAGTGAGCCCAGCCAAGATTGTGCCACTGCACTCTAGCCTGGGCAACAGAGCGAGACTCCATCTCAAAGAAAAAACAACAACAACAACAACAACAACAACAAAATGATCCCCCAAGAATCAATAATAACCAGAATAAGGAGCCATTATCAGATATTCTTTATTACTCTTAATTACTGTTAGGCTTCAGGAAGCCACTAGTTGGGTACAGCTGCCCAGGACTAAACCTGTTTCTTACAAGGTCCTACAGCCACAAAAGGTGGACACCACAACCTCCATTTATAAAACAGAAAACTTAAGGCTGTTGTTTTGCAAACACATAGATTAATAACATGGTTCTGTAGGTGGACCTAGGAGCATTAATTTTTCCCTCTCTTCCAATTATAATTTTCTTGTTTAACATCCTAGTAAAGTTTATGTCTTCTAAATTTCATGTAAAGATGATACGGTCTGTCATAAGTCTTCCAACCCATTCTGTCTTCTGACCCCACAAATGAATGCATCGTGCCATTGGGCCCCTTAGTTCAGGTACCAAAGATTTTTACTCCTCAAAGGCTAGGGAAGGCCTGCCCCCATAAAGTCAGCAGGAAGCACTTACAGAAAAGGGACTCTGCTCTTCTGCAGTCCCCTTAAGATTAAGGAGGAGTATCGAATCTCTGAGGGAGCAATGAGATAGGAGGTAGGTGGGACTCAACCCAGGACCAGATTGAAGACTGGCTGACACAAGGAAGAGACACTGGAAGCACCTGTCCATAACACATGCCCACCAGTGCCATATCAGTTTACCATTGCCATGGCAACACCTGAAAGTTATTGCCCATTTTCTAGCTATTTCTGAATAACCCACTCCTTTATTAGCATGTCATTAAAACTGGGGATAAATATGAGTGCAAAACTGCCCCTACGCTACTGCTCTTGGCACAATGCCTATGTGGTAGCTCTGTTTCACAAGAACAGTCACAAAGCTGTAACACTGCCACCTCAGTAAAGCTGTTTTCTTCTACCACCAGCTTACGCTGCATTCCTTCCTGAGTGAAGCCAAGAACCTGCCCTGCACCACTTTTGTCAAGTCAGTTGACATAAAATTACTCATAATATCCTCTCTTTATTTTTTGACTCCTGTAGGCTGTGTAATGACTTCTTCCTTTCCATTTATGATATTGTGTTTTGTGTCATTTTTCTTTCCCTCTTCTTTTTTTTTGAGACAGATTCTTGTTCTGTCACCCAGGCTGGAGTGCAGTGGTGCAATGTTGGCTCACTGCAACCTCCGACTCCCCAGTTCATGCCATTCTCCTGCCTCAGCCTCCCGAGTAGCTGGGACTCCACCACGCCCAGCTAACTTTTTTGTATTTTTAATGGAAATGGGGTTTCACCATGTTAGCCAGGATGGTTTTGATCTCCTGACCTCGTGGTCCGCCCGCCTTGGCCTCCCAAATCTTTCCCTCTTCTTTATACACCCTTCATCAAGTAGTCACAGGTTTCAATTCAGTTCTTTCTTGGTGGTAGTATGGCTCATGAAAAAAGCTGATTCTTCTGTGTTTGAGGCCATTCACCATGTTTATATGTAATACTGTAAAAAGTCCTGTGACATAAGCCTCTGCTTCACAAACTGACCGCTGTCAAACATCATCTCCCCACCAATAGATAATTTTTTTGTTCCTCACCAGTATAATTCACATAGGAGTAGAAATCTCAAGTTTAAAGTGTGGATTTGCACTTTACCACTTGGTGTATTCAAGAAGATGAATAATATTAATACATCAGTAGGGCCAGGCGCAGTGGCTCAATCCTACAATTCCAGCACTTTGGGAGGCCGAGGCAGGCAGATCACCTGAGGTCAGGAGTTTGAGACCAGCCGGGCCAACATGGCAAAACCCCGTCTCTACTAAAAATATGAAAATTAGCTGGGTATGTTGGCACACACCTGTAATCCCAGCTACTTGGGAGGCTGAGGCAGGAGAATTGCTTTAAATTGAGAGATGGAGGTTGCAGTGAGCCAAGATTGTGCCACTGCACTCCAGCCTGGGTGACAGAGTGAGATTCTATCTCCAAAAAAAAAAAAAAAAAAATCAGTAGCTTTGAATTTTAAACATCTATTTGACAAGAAATTCACAGTTCTTTCTCTCTTAAATAACGTAATAATTCTTTCAGTAATGAGCCTGGTTTGATGCCTCTCTCCCCAACATGATAAAAGTATCACATAAATCTATGAAAAATTCAATTTCCCTGTTCCTACAACTGTCTGGGATGGAAAACTTCTTCCCTTGCTCTAGTCCTTTCTTCTACACCTAGTTTCACCTAATCTGTGACTCAAAACAATACTTGTCAGGAAACATTCTGGAAAGAGCAAAAGGCTTCTAAGAGGTGTCAGAGATTCCTGGACCAACATCTGTCCATCTCTAGAGGGGGTTGTGAGTATGAGGAAGAGCAGAGCTTGTAAATCTTCTCCTTGCTTTCACTCCCACTGTATTTCCTAACAACAACAACCACAACCACATAATATCATAGAACAAGCATCTACTACTTCCAAGGCTTTGGTCTCAGTAAATCTTCTCTACCTCTATCACAGCATCTAGAAGGTTTGATACTCATACAAATAGTGCTGTAGCTTTCTTTTCATAACTGGAAAAGTGGGCAAGACTCAGTGTAATGCAGGCATTCCTTAAGCTACTTAGCATTCAGTTTTTAGATTATCATTGCACACATATACCCAGCATATGTCTAATATACATGTAAAAATCCATGAAGCAAGTGTTATATTAGCTTGTGTTTTCTATTGTATTAAATTTTTCTCTTATATCGTCTTCTCCTTTTTGTCATTAAAAATCTGTTCAAGTCAGTCAATTAATTATTGGATCATAAGTAGATAAAGTCTTTTATTTCATAACACATTGACTCAATGAATATGTTTCTTTGCAAGACACAGTCCTCATTTCCAAGAAAACAAGCCTGAAAAGATTATACTGGAGCAAGTCTACAAGTAATGATGGTAGTTTTTCCTTATTGTCAGTCCTGGGGCAAGAATAACATAAAAGATAACAAGGTAGAATAAAGATTACATAAGAAAGAAGGACAGCAACAGGACATGGGAACTATTTATAGGGTAACATTTAAATAATGGATGATGAGAAGTAATGCGTTAGACAGGGATGGATGGGAATGATTGAAGGTCTGAGTACTTTAGCACAGATTAAGATCAAATCATTAGGATTTTAAGAGTTGTGTACAGTTACTGAAGAAAATGCCTTAGAATTTAATTTGACTGTGGATAAAACATTCTTGGATTAGATTTAAGACTATTTTCCATGGTAAGTATATTTATAATGATGATGACTGTAGTGCTGAACATTTAAACAATGAAAACAAAATTAATTGCCACACACATAATGTCCTGAATACTACTGTAAATGTTTTATCTTATTTTCTTTAAACTGTCTACAGCACTGTAAGGCAGGTACCACTATTGTCACAGTTACACAGATATGGAAACCGAGACACAGGGAAGTTAAGTTACTTGATTAATTTCAAGCAATCGGGAAGCCATGGAGCATCTATGTCAGGGCTGCCAGGACATGTGACTGTAAACAGAAGTTTTTAACTCAAAGAGGGTATGTGTCTGGGTTAATGGAAAGCTTCAGGACCCTCAGAAAACATTACTAATAAGCAAATGAAAGGTGTATCTGGGCCGGGCGCGGTGGCTCATGCCTGTAATCCCAGCACTTTGGGAGGCCGAGGTGGGTGGATCACCAGGTCAGGAGATCGAGACCACCCTGGCTAACACGGTGAAACCCCGTCTCTACTAAAAATACAAAAAATTAGCTGGGCGTGGTGGCAGGCGCCTGTAGTCCCAGGCACTCGGGAGGCTGAGGCAGGAGAATGGCGTGAACCCGGGAGGCAGAGCTTGCAGTGAGTGGAGATCGCACCACTGCCCTCTAGCCTGGAAGACAGAGCGAGACTCCGTCTCAAAAAAAAAAAAAAAAAATGTGTATCTGGAAGATTAAGTTCTAACAGACTCTTCATTTCCATAGATCCAATAATGCACTTAGGGAGATGACTGGGCATATTGAGGACAGGAAGAGAGAAATGAAAACACAGCCTTTTATATTGTTCTTAACAGACTTGTGCCAAACATTATACGGGTGTATTTAGGTGATTGAAGAGAAGAAAGGCACAGGAGTGAAATTCTGTGAGCACAAGGGAGGAGTTCTACACTCAGACTGAGCCAACAGACTTTTCTGACCTGACAACCAAGGCGGCGCAGGATGCTCAGTGCAGAGAGGAAGAAGCAGGTGGTATCTGCAGCTGGAAGCCCAGCTCCCACCCCAGCTGCTTTGCATGTCCCTCCCAGCTGCCCTACCTTCCAGGGCCCATATCAATGCCTGGGTCAGAGCCCTGGGGAGGAACTGCTCAGTTAGGACCCAGACGGAACCATGGAAGCCCCAGCACAGCTTCTCTTCCTCCTGCTACTCTGGCTCCCAGGTGAGGGGAATATGAGGTGGTTTTGCACATCAGTGAAAACTCCATCAGGAGTTTTCTCTGATCAGCAAGAAATATAATTAAAATTCAAAGTAGATCAACAATTTTGGCTCTACTCAAAGACAGCTGGTTTGATCTAGATTACATGAGTGCATTTCTGTTTTATTTCCAATCTCAGATACCACCGGAGAAATTGTAATGACACAGTCTCCAGCCACCCTGTCTTTGTCTCCAGGGGAAAGAGCCACCCTCTCCTGCAGGGCCAGTCAGAGTGTTAGCAGCAGCTACTTATCCTGGTACCAGCAGAAACCTGGGCAGGCTCCCAGGCTCCTCATCTATGGTGCATCCACCAGGGCCACTGGCATCCCAGCCAGGTTCAGTGGCAGTGGGTCTGGGACAGACTTCACTCTCACCATCAGCAGCCTGCAGCCTGAAGATTTTGCAGTTTATTACTGTCAGCAGGATTATAACTTACCTCCCACAGTGATTCAACATGAAACAAAAACCTCAACAAGACCATCAGTGTTTACTAGATTTTACCAGCTGCTTCCTTTACAGACAGCTAATGTGGCCACTCAGTTTTAGCGTCTCTGCTCTATTTGGACATTTTGCAGTTCTAAAAAAAAATCATTGAATAATTTGGACTTTGATTCTTGGACTCTCTTCAACTGAGGCACCAGAATCCCAGGTTTCCAGAAATAGTGACTCACTGTATGAATCCTTATATAGCCTCAGTGGTTCTTAACTTTCCCAGTAGAGGTAGCTCAGTGCATGCTACACTGCTCCATTTGAATTTTGCAACATTCTAAGTAGTAGAAAATTCTATTTATTTATCCAAATAGTTGACTCAGTAAAAGCTGTTCATGTGAAGATACTACCATGGCTGAATAAATCCCATTCTTTTTCTTTCTTCAGGCTATCAACATTTCAGTGGCAAATGGTTATTATGGAAACATTTGCCATTTAAAAGTGAACTAAATTATTTCTTCAATTTTCTCTGTGATGCAGTAGACTGTAAAAAGATTAAAGTTTGTTAAAATAAAGTACATATTCGATAAGGAAGAAATAGATTATTCCTAATGACGTCTGCAATGACCTAGTAGAAGGAGTGATAGAAGCAGTTGTTTTCATTATTTTTGTCCAAAACTTCCTTCCAAATGGGATTTCATTGATCATATTCATTTATTACCACCTATAAGACATGTTGACATTATGTAACATCTGATGTGAAGCGCTGAGGATACATCTGTCTGTATTATTCTTGCCAAAAATTAATGGTGTGAATTGAATCAGTAGTAAACATCATATACAAACCCAACTAGGAGGACATTCTTCAACATACCTGGACAGTAAACTTCAAATGTTTGAAGGCCATGAAAGAGAAACAAAAGTGAAAAACTATCACAGATTTAAAGATATTAAGGACAGGATAACCAAATAAAATACAGAAACCTGAATTTTATCTTGTAACATAAAAAAAGTCATCAACGGGAAAAATCAGTGAAATCCATATGGTATTTTAAATGAGTTAACAAATAACATTATATCTATGTTCATTTCATGGTTGTGATACTTATGCTGTGGTTATTTATGATGCTGACATTAGAGCAAGCTGAAAGAGGCACATATGGGAATCATTTTTACTATATTTTTCAAATTTTAGGTCTAAAAGTATTTCACCTCTCTCCTGCATCCTGGGATTGCCTCCAATTAACTACCTGCTTACAAGACTTTTCTTTATTTTCTTTTTGCCTTTTATTCTTTACATGTAAAAGATGAGTCCATCTGGAGCTTATTTTAAAGCACAGTATGAGGACTGACATTGACCTGTTTTTTTAAATGAAATAACTAGCTGTCCCAACCCTGCTTGTTGGATAACACTGCTCTGTTTCAGGAGTACCCCCACTGTCATACACCCGTGGGTCCATACCCCTGGGCTCTCCATCTGGGCACTCCCCTGCCTGTGGCACCTCCTTCCTGAGGGCCGGCCTCACCCAGGGCCCAGCTGCCCTCTCCATGGCCTGTGTCTTCCTTTCCTGATGCCTCAGATTTCCCCCATTCTCTGGCACTCTTTCCATCCTCCTGGCCTCACTCTGCACCTCCCCTGAGGTGCAGGACTGCCCTGCCCCAGCCCCCAGCTTCCTCACTCCCAAAGCCTTGTGCCACTGAAGCACGAGCTCCAGAGTGCACCTGGATGGCAGCTTCTCTCCTGGCCAACAAACGCCTGGTGCTGGCTGCCCTCCCAGCATCTCCCCTCAACTCCTCAGCTCCACCCCAGGGCCTTAACACACACATGCATAGCACACACACATACAAACATATGCACACACAGACATGCACACAAATGTACATACGGACTTACACAGACACATACAAATGTGCACACACTCGTGCATACACAGATGTGTTCATGCAAACACACACGTGCACGCTCACAGGCACGTACACATGTGTAGGTTATGCTAAGAAATCCATTTTGTGTGGAAGACACTCAGGCTCAAATATGTGTCCAAAGTCACACAGCTATGGAGCGGCAGAACTCAGGTCTCTAGTGCACACAGCCCCGACTTACCGCAGTTCCACTTAACAGTTTTCAACTTTATAGTGATGCAAAAGCCATCCACAGTCAGCAGAAACCCTCGTGTGAGTCCCACACGGCCAGTTTTTCGCTTTCAGTACAGCAGTCAATGATTACATGAGGTATCCGACACTTGACTACAAAACAGGCTTCGTGTTGATGCTTCTGCCCACCGCAGGCTCAGGGCAGTGTTCTCAGCAGGCCAAGGTGGGCCCCCCCACGCTGTGCTATTCGGTAGTCAGGTGGACTCAGTCATTTTCCACTCGCAGCGGCCTTATCGGGCCGCAGCCAGGGGTAAGTTGAGCAGTGTCTGTACTTTTAGCTCCACCCTGGGTATTTTTAAGTGGCAGATTTACAACAAAAAATAAAAATAAAAATGAAAAAATACAGCGTTCCAAATAGTAGGGGCATAAAAGGAGAGAATGCACGTTGCGGTCAGCCCATGCCTGGGAGCATAAGCACTTCAGAGGCATCACCAGGCGTGACTGGCTGTTGTTCCTGCTCTTCCTGGCAGCAGCGGCCTGGGCCTGAGAGGGATCGCCCTGGCCACAGCTGTAGGCAAGGCTGCTGGGAGCCAGGAGCCGCCGCGCTCCGCGGTAGCGAGTCTGCGGCGCCACCTCGTGGGTGCTGCGTGGAACTCCCCGTGGTGCGGGCCGGGAAGGCCGGGTCCCCACAAAGCCGGAGCCCGAGCACAGCGGTGCGAGCTCGCCCCAGGACATCCCACAGCACCCGGAGACGGGGGCTGGTCCCCCAAAACCCTCAGGGGTGAGAGGAAGGAGGTCCCCAGCCTGCTGAGAGCTGTCCTCTGAGCACGCACTCGCGCACACTCACACGTGCATGTGTGCATCCTCAGGCACCCTGACGCGTTCACATGCACGTACACGCGTGTGCACACGCACAGTCTTTCACAAGAGTATGACGCATTCACACAAGAGTGTGACGCGTTCACACGCACGCACACTCCCTCTCCCTCGAGCCTGGAAGGTGCACTGGGCTCATAGGGGTGGAAACCTCTACCGCGGCAGAGGCACAGCACCAGGGCCAGGATGCTCGCTTTTATTTCAGACGTGAAAACCGAGGCCCGAAAGAGACAGCCAGTGTCCAACCCTGTCCAACGTCTCTGCTGATTGCGCCTCCTGTGTGTGGCCGGGGCCGGTGTGAGGGCAGCGGGCCCACCGCATGCCTGGCCCGCCCCAGGGCCTCGAGCCACTTCCTCAGGAGCTGCTGGCAGCTGCAGCGACGGCGCACCCAGAGCCCGAGGGTCCCATGGAGCCAGGCTTCCCAGCACACAGGCACGGTGGAGCCTCGGGGTGGGCATACACCCCGCGAGCTCGCGGGGGCTGGGCACTGCGGGTCCTCGGGTGGGGACTCTGGAGTTCAGTCTTGAAGGACACAGTCACTGAGGGTCAGGGAACCAGGAGGGTAGGGAGGGTAGGGAGGGGTGCCTAGGCCTAGTGGGAGAAGCATGTGAAAGTTCCCTAAGAGGGCTGGGGGTGAACAAGCTCTCGGCCCGGCCTCTCCGGGTAGACTGCTCTGGTGCCCTGGAGCCTCCCTTCTCCAAGGCCCCATGGACGCCCCCAGAGGGGTGACGCCCTCGCCCACGCTGAGCTCTGAGTGCTGCACGAGAACTCCCAGAGCCGTGTGCACACGCACTCCCCTTGTTATAACCGGCATTAAGTGCACTCACATTGTCGCATATCCCCTACCACCGTCCATCTCCAGAACTTCTTCATCTTCCCAAAAGGAAACCATACCCACTGAACACCAACTCCCTCCTTTTGTTAACCATTGCTCTTTCTGTATTTGAATTTGCCCATTCTGGGCCCCTCATGTAAGTGAAATCGCAATGTATTTGTCCTTTTGTGGCTGGCTTATTCCATCTAGCACAATGTCCTCAAGGTTCATGCGTGTTGGCACACCTCTCAGAATTTCCCTCCTGGCTGGGTGATATTATAGGCTCACGCCTATTATCCTAGCTGTTAGGGAGACAGAGGTAGGAAGATAGCTTGAACCCAGGAGTTCGAGACCTGCCTGGGCAATATAGCGAGACCGCATTTTCCACAAAAAGAAAGAAAAAAAAGAATCTCCTTCCTGGTAAAGGTTCAGTAACAGTCTACTGTATGCATAACCACATTTCGCTTGCCCATCCACTCACCCATAGACCCTCAGAATGCTTCTACCTTTTGACTCTTGTGAATCACGCTGCTTTGAACATGGGTGTGCAAATATCTGTGAGAGAGCCTGCTCTCAAAAAAATCCATATTCTTGGCACCATGAAGAATCACCTCTCACAGACACCAGCGAAAAGCAAGTCTGTCTGAGAGCAGAGGGTGAGGAGGGGAAAGCCGGGCTGCGGATCACAGTGGGCGGAGGAAAGCCCACCCTTGTGCTCCCATGTGTGGGAGGAGAGAGGAGAGATGCCCTCTAGTGAAGGAACTCTTGTAGCAGCCAGCTCCATTCCTGCTTGGCCTGTGGAGGGCCAGCTCAGGAACCCAGACCAGGAAGAAGTCAAATGACCGACAAGATCCATCAGGAAGCAGAAGTGTGCTGTGTCTCATCGGCAACAACAAACAGAGCTAGGACCAGCCACCCACCCCCCAACCCAGGGGAAATGCATCCACCACACAACTACCACCGCTGCGCTCATGACACTCTCAGAGACAGGCACGGGAGCTCCTGGCAAGGCACAACCAGGGCAAGTGACAGTTTGCCAGTCCTGGGCAAGCAGACACTTATCCTCTCTCCAGTCCCCAATCCCACCAGCCTGCACAAGCAGAGAAACATCCTGCATAAATTAAAAGATCATCCGGATCATCAAAAGATCTGAGCAAACAAAACGACTGAGACAAAAAACAAACAAAACAAAACAAACAAAAAACAGAACAACAACAACAGAAGAACACTCATTTTTACAGAGAGATTTGAGCCCATCCCAACAGAGTACAATGCTCTTTCCAAGCTCATGGATGGCGTTTGGGAAAATTTAGCTGTGCTAAAGGAGCAGGAAGCCTCAGCCCCTTTCCCAAGAATTGCTGTTACACAAATCACATTCTCTCACCAGGGTGCAACAAAATTAGAAACATGCAATAACAAAGACCATGTTAAAAGTGCATTTTGGGGCCGGGCACGGTGGCTCATGCCTGTAATCGCAGCACTTTGAGAGGCTGAAGCGGGTGGATCACCCCAGGTCAGGAGATCGAGACCAGCCTGGGCAACATGACGAAACCCTGTCTCTACTAAAAATACAAAAAATTAGCCAGGCATAGTGGCAAGAGCCTGTAAACCCGGCTACTAGGGAGGCTGAGGCAACAAAATCACCTAAACTTAGGAGGCAGAGGTTGCAGTGAGATGAGATTGTGCTACTGCACTCCAGCCTGAGTGACAGAGTGAAACTCTGTCTCAAAAAAGAAGAAAAAGTGTGTTTTGGAAACAAAGTTAGTTTTCACAATGAAAATTATAAAATGCCTGGAACTCAATAGCAATAGGGTATTACATATTAAAATTATGAAACTCAACAAAATTGACATTTAGGGAGAAATTTATATCCTCAGATTAATTTGTCAGAAACAGGATAAAAGGAGAAAGCTCATGATAATTTGAGTAAAAGAGAAAATAAAAACTAAAATGAAAAACTTTTCAGAAACAAACTACAATAAGTGTGTGACCTATCAAAATCTCTGGATGTGTCCAAAGCAGTTCTCAGGGGAAACGTTATAGCTGGAAGTGTTTGTTAATATGCTTCAACAGAAGACATATAAAATTATATAAACTAAGTAAACATACAAGAAGCTTTTTTAAGGGAAACAAGAAATAAATGTATTTAATTTTAAAACAGCCATAATAAAAGTAGACTTGATAAATAAAACCCAAAACCACTTCTTTGAAAAGACCGTTAAAAAAACCTCTGAGAAGTCAAGCAAAAGAGAAAGAAAAGGCACAAATTTTAAAATGTTAGATTTAGAAAAATGGCATAATAACCAACGTGGAGAAGCTGCTTCAAATCAAGGAGACGGGAGGCCAGCTTCATTCCATGGGAGGCCAGCTTCATTCCAGTAGGTTCCGTTTCACCTGGATGAAATGGAAGATTTTCTTGGAATGTATAAATTGGCTTAGCAGGAGGCAGAAAACCTGAACAAACAGAACAAACAGAAATGGTAAGCAGGTGCTCGAGGGGCTCCATCAGCCTCCAGGGATGGGCTGCTGTGTTAGGGAGGGCCAGAGCACAGGGGAAGTGGAGTGTAATTCTTTCTACAAGATTAGCAAGCTGAACTTGAATCTCACACACGCACACACACCACAGTGACGTGGAAAGAATCCACAGGACACTTATGAGAGGTAAAAATAGAAAGTTTCTGCACAAAACAATCGTGTGTGTTTAAAAGATACCATGTGGCAGAAAATAGTGATGTTTGTTTGCCAGTGTCTAGGAAGAAACCTTGAAGGCGCACGCCAGACTGGCGGCTGGGTTGGCTAGGGAGGAGACGATGGGGTGGGAGCAGCTAAGGACGACACACACTCTTTTAACTCTGTTCCTGCGTTGTCGGGACGTTTACAAACTGAAGATATATATTTTTAATTAATTATTTTTTTTTTTAAAATTTTACTTTAAGTTCTGGGATACATGTGCAGAACATGTAGGTTTATTACATAGGTATACATGTGCCATGGTGGTTTGCTGCACCTATCAATTTGTCATCTAGGTTTTAAGCCCTGCATGCATTAGGTATTTGTCATAATGCTCTCCTTTCCCTTGCCCCCAACCCCTGGATAGAACCTGGTGTGTGATGTTCCCCTCCCTGTGTCTACGTGTTCTCATTGTTCAGCTCCCACTTATGAGTGAGAACATGAGGTACAAACTGCAGATATTTATACATTACTTTAAAGTAATTAAGTTAAACTAAACTAAATGTAAGCCAACTACATGTAAATAAATAAAACCAATAATTAATAACAAGATAAAAATAATTAATACTTAAATAATTACTAATTTATTTCTCAGCTAAAAATTAAAAATTTAGAAAATGTGGAAATGTGTTTCATAATAGGAGGATATTTAAAATGAAAGGGCATTTCTGTAGTCAAAGGGGTAGGAGACTCACCCAAACAAGACACAACCTCAAAACCAAAAGGAAAACTATCAGGTTTGATTATACGAATACTGAAAACCTCTGAATACATGAAAGGCAAATTCTATATCCCATGAAACTACCCTTCAGAAATGAAGAGAGAAATAAAGACATTCTCAGAGGAAGAGAATATAGGAATTTGTCACTGGTCAATTTAGAAATGCTAAAAAGTGGCTACGGAAATATGTTCTGTCATTTCCACAATACAAAAAATTAAAACAAAAAAATCAAAATAAAAAAATGGCTATAGAAAGTTCTTATGCAGAAGGGATGAATATGGGACTATGGGAGGAGGGACAAAGGAAAGACGAGAAATGTGGATACATACGCGAGACAATCCACAGTTCTTAAAATCACATCTGACGACTGAAACAAAAACTATACCACCACCTAATACTCAAGCCAGTGATTTATACAAGTGGAAAAGGTAAAGAGACATAAATGCAAGGCAGGTTTCCACACTTTGAAGTGGTAAATACTGGTACCAGTAGACTACTATATTACAATACACATATTGTAACATCCAGAGCAAACACTTTAAGACTATACAAAGAGATACACGCAACAACATTTTACAGAAATAGATCAAGATGGAGGGAAAGAAAAAGGAAACAAAAAAGCAAATAATAAAAACATCAGGCATAAGCAATTATGTAACAATAAGCACCTTAAATGTAAATGGTCTAAATAAACCAAAAGACAGATTGATGGAGAGCCTATAATAAACACATGGCCCAACTAAATACTGTTCATGAGAAACTTCAAACTCACTTAAGGACCTAAGTAGGTTGAAAGTAAAAGAATGGAGAAAGATATCCTGTGAAATCATTAATTTTTTAAGGAAGCAGGAGTGACTATATTAATATTTCATGAAGTAGACTTCAAGCAAAATAATTTACCAGAGCTGGAGAGGGTCTTCGCTGAATTTTAAGATCTAAAATTTCCTATGCTGCCTTGACATCTTTGAGCCTCACAGGGCCCCAAAGGCCTAGCCGTGGGTTTTCCTGTTTCTACCAGACACCCCCTACCCCGCCACCCAACAGGAAAGGCTCCCCACCTGGCTAGTTCTTTTATCAGCCAGAACAGTTGCACCTCAGCCTAAGAAGTTTCGCTTCACCTGTCTGCCAGCCCATGAATTTATTCAAACAAGCCAATTGCATTCCCCCTCGGGAACCATTGGTCATCGTGTGCTCTTGTTACTACCAAGCCCGCCTGCTTCCTCAGCCCGCAGCCCTCACTCCACTACAGAGTGCGGTGCCCATCTGACCCTGTGTGGCATGCAGTGTCCTCCTCCGAGCTGTGGGTATATGCGACTAAAACACTGCTGTCAATCTCATCCATCCACGCCAGGTGTCATGTTCGGCCATCTCCTACACTTTAGGGCAGGGACCCCTCCTTCACCAATGGGGTGAAAAGGAAGTGACCATAACAACTGCTTAATGACAAAAGGATTAACCCACCAAGAAGACATCTACTTCAACATCCTCCTCTTAGCAACTGTTAAAACTAGGCAGAGGCCGGGCACAGTGGCTCATGCCTGTAATCCCAGAACTCTGGGAGGCAAAAACAAAGGATAGCTTGAGGCCAGGAGTTCGAGCCTGGGCAACATAGCAAGGCCTCATCTCTCCAAAAAATTTTAAATTTAGCCAGGTGTGGCGGCACACACCTATAGTACCAGCTACTCAGGAGATTAAGCCAGGGGGAGTACTTGACCCTAGGAAGTCAAGGCTGCAGTGAGTCATGTTCGTGCCACCGCACTCTAGTGTAAGTGACAGAGTGAAACTAGGCAGAAAAGGAGCAAGGATTTACAAAAGATCTGAACAGTCAACCAGCAAAATCTGACATCCGTATAACACCCCACTCCCCAACAGCAAAACACACACATTTTTAAAGCCAATAGAAATCTACCAAGATGAGGTACACTTGGGGCAATAAAAGAACTCACAGCAAATCTCGCTGTGTGCCCCTCTGCGCCGGCGCCGTGCCCCTCTCTGCGCCTTCTTTTCTCACCATGGGGAAGCGTTTGGGGGCCTCTTGAGGGACCCCCTAGATGCTTCTACTCAGAGCCCCCAAAGCCGGGGAGCCTCCACTCCTCTGTCTGCAGCCTCCCCTGTCGGTTCTCGCTACCCAGGGTTCAGTGGCCTGGGGGTGACGGAGGGGGTCGCCTCTGCCAAGGCCCCTCCCGGCGCCTCCCTGGCTCATCTAGCCCACCTTCCTCCCACGCTGGCTCACGCAAAGTGCTCTGGTCACCAGGAGCCCTTCCTGACCAGCCCCAGCCCCTTCTTGGCCTTCGCCCACCTGGCCTCCCCTGGAGCCCTGACCTGGGTGCCGGGCCTGCTGGGTCCAGAGCCCACCCCGCCCTGAACAACCCCGAGTCTCAGCCACCCTCGGTTCTTACCCTTTCACAGCTGGGGAGTGGAGCCTGGGCCTGCACCTCTCCGCGCCAGAGCCGGCGCCAGCGCCTCTCCGCGCCTGCGCCGCCGCTGCGCGCCTCGCCGCCGCTGTCTGCCTCTCCGCCGCTGTCCGTCTCTCCGCCGCGCCGCCGCTGTCCGCCTCTCCGCCGCGCCGCCGCTGTCCGCCTCTCCGCCGCTGTCCGTCTCTCCGCCGCGCCGCCGCTGTCCGCCTCTCCGCCGCTGTCCACCTCTCCGCCGCTGTCCGCCTCTCCGCCGCGCCGCCGCTGTCCGCCTCTCCGCCGCTATCCGTCTCTCCGCCGCGCCGCCGCTGTCCGCCTCTCCGCCGCTGTCCGTCTCTCCGCCGCGCCGCCGCTGTCCGCCTCTCCGCCGCTGTCCGCCTCTCCGCCGCTGTCCGTCTCTCCGCCGCGCCGCCGCTGTCCGCCTCTCCGCCGCTATCCGCCTCTCCGCCGCGCCGCCGCTGGCCGCCTCTCCGCCGCCGTCCGCCTCTCCGCCACGCCGGCGCCAGCGCTGTGTGCCTTTGCGAGGGCGGAGCTGCGTTCTCCTCAGCACAGACCCGGAGAGCATTGCGAGGGCGGAGCTGAGTTCTCCTCTGCACACACTTCGGAGATACAGCGAAGGCAGAGCAATGTTCTCCTCAGCAGAGACCCGGGCGGGCGGGCCGGTGGCACCGCGAGGGCGGAGCTGCGTTCTGCTCTGCACAGACCTTGGGGGCACTGCCTCGCTTTGGGACAACTCGGGGCCGCATGGACGGTGAATAAAATCCTTCCTGTTTGCAGCCCTGTTTGTGGTTGGTGGCAGCGATGGACACTGCAGCCAGCCAGAGCGTAGAAAGGCGTCGGGGTAAGTGCGCTATCCAGGCTGCACTGTGGGTGGCCTGGGACGGGTTGGGAGCCCTATCTCAGGCGTCACTGCCCGTCTTGGGTGGCCGGTTGGGTGTGCTATCTGGGGCTGTGCTGCCTGCACCGGGCGGGGGGTGGGGGGTGGTTTGGGGGCCAAACCGGGGCTGCACTGCCTTTGGTGGGGAGCCGGTTGGGGGCACTATCCCAGACTGTATTGCTGGCAACAGTGAGGTGGGCTAAGTGTGCTATCCGGGGCTGCACTGTGCGGCTGTCGGGGGGGTGGCGGTTTCGGGTTGAGGGCGCTATGGGGTGCTGTAATGCCCATGGTGTGGGGAGGCGGGGCAGTTTGGGTATGTTGGGTGTGCTATTGGGGGGGTGACACTGCTGGTGGTAGGGGGCAGGGTGGGTTGGGGGCCATATCAGGGGCTGCACTGATGGCTTTAGCTAGGATTTCTGGTACTATGTTAAACAACAGTGGTGACAGGGGGCATCCTTATCATGTTCCAGATCTTAGAGGAAAAGCTTTCCATTTTTCCCCATTCCATATGATTCTAGCTGTGGGTGTCTTTCCTGTAGTTTTTATTATGTTGCGGTATGTTTCTTCTGTGCCCGTTTCTTTGAGGATTTATAGCATGAAGGGATGTTGAATTTCATCAAATGCTTTTTCGGTTTCAGTTGACGTGATGATACTGTTTTTGTCGTTTATTTGGTTGATATGATGTATCACATTGTATGTTGAGTGACCCTTGGGTCCCAGGGATACATCCCACTTGATCATGATGAATTATCTTTCTAATGTATTACTGAATTTGATTCACTGGTATTTTGTTGAGGATTTTTGCATCCATATTAGAGATCCTGGCCTGTAGTTTCCTTCTTTGATGCTTTTGTCTGATTTTGGTATCACAGTAATAATGGTCTCACAGAATAAGTTTGGAAGTATTCCCTCCTGTTTTTCAAAATAGTTTGAGCAGGATTCGTACTAGGTCTTTAAATTGTTTGGTGTGAAGCCATCAGCAGTGAAGACATCAGTTCCTGGGCTTTTCTTTACTGGGAGACTTTTTCTGATGGCTTCAATCTCATTACTTGTTACCAATCTGTTCTGGTCTTGGATGTTTTCATTGTTTAACCTAAGTAGGTTGTATGCATCTAGGAATTTGCCAATTTCTACTAGGCTTTCCAATTTATTGGCATATAGTAGCCAGTTATGATCCTTTGAATTTCTGAAGTATTAGTTGTAATGTCTCCTTTTTTAATCTGTTGATTTTATTTATTTGAATCTTGTCTCTTTTCTTAGCCTGGTTAAAAGTTTGTCAATTTTGTTTAGCTTTCCAGAAAACCAACTTTTCATTTAATCTTGTATGTTTTTTATTTCAATTTTGTTTGTGCTACGATCTTATTTATTTTCTTATTTTCGGTTTAGTTTGTTCTTTACTAGTTCTTTAAGATGTATTATTTGAAGGTTTTCTTTTGTTTGGATGGTAGGCACTTATAGCTGTAAATCTCTGCCTTTGTACTGCTTTCTGCATAACAAGTTTTGGTATACTGTGTTTTCATTACCCTTTGTTTCATGAAATTTTTGAATTTCTGTCTTAGTATCTTCATTGATCCGCTAGTCATTTATTCAGGAGGGTAGTGTTTAACTTCCATGTGATTGTATTGTTTCCAAAATTGCTTTTCTTATTGATACCTAGTTTTATTCCTTTGTAGTGAAAGAAGATGGCCACGGAGACAGACAGCAGCGTGGTCAGAGTGGTAGGAGCCGGCCATCAGCGAGAGCTGCTCCATGCCTGGCTGCTGGGTCCTAGAGCCTGTGGCCCACTGGCTTGCCTCACTGTGGTTGGTGGTGGTGGTGACAGAGACTGCAGGACGACCAGATGGTAGGACAGGGGCTATCCAGGGCTGCACCTTTCGCAGTGTGGGGTGGGTTGAGGGCGCTATCCAGGGTGTCATTGCCTGCATTAGGGGTACTGGTTGGTAGCACTGTACAGGGCTGCACTGCCCACGGCAGGGAGGGTGGGTTATGGGTGCTTTCTGGGGCTGCAATGCCCATGGAGGAGGACAGGTTAGGGCACTATCGGTTATACGCTACTGGCGGCATTGGGGGACGGAGGTGGGGGGCGCTATTGAGGGCAGGACTAGCAGTGGAGCGGGGGCGAGTTCGGTGCTATCAGGGGCTGCACTGCTGGTGTCGGTCAACAGAGTTGGCATCCCAGGAAGGAGTGGTTCTCCTCTCCCTGACTCCACACTCCAGAGGGCGACCCACTCTTGGTCATACTGGAGTGCAGCAGGGCACGCAGCGTTTGCGTGGGAATCCTGAGCATGGCAGAGCCCCCACACCCACCGTGGTTCCTGGTTCCTGGGCCTGTGTACTGTGGGTCTGTGCCTCAGAGGCTGCCAGGCACCCCTGGGGACACCACGGGGGACAGGGCCCTGTGCGTGGAGGCGTCCGGAACAGGAATTGGCACCTGGGTGTGGAGGGCTGGCTGGGTCTGAATTTTTCTGCTTCTCCTGCTCCCCGAGGAGTGCAGCCCCAGTGGGCCCAATGGTTCCTGTGGAGTGGGGAGCTGGGTGCTGTGGTGTCTCCAGCACCCACCCCAGACCCCAGTTCCTGCCCAGCTTGGGCCAAAAGGAGAGGCTGGACTTTGGAGGGTGGGTGTGAGTGCCTTTGCTGAAACTGGCCCCTGCCACCCAGTGGCCGGCATGACAAGTTGAGGCTCTAACCCTTCCACCCCTCACGTCTTTCTCTAGGCTTTTCTGGCTTTGCCCGCCCAGCTGCTCTGTGCCAGGAAGAGGAGGAGACACCTAGAGCCTGCGACACCATGGCTCGCCTCGCTGCGGGTGGGCGGCAGTGACGGAGACTGCAGTGCGCCAGAGCGGTAGGAGAGCGGCTGCGCTAGGAGGGCAGGCGGCTGCAGCCAGGGTTGGGGGTCAGGCTTAGAGCGATGGACGGGCTGCAGCAGTGGCCAGATGGTAGGAGCCTTGTAAGGAGGGCTGGTGCATTGGCAATGGGCCTGGCTTTGCCCTGCGCCTGCCGTGGATCTGGCCCTGTACTGCCCTGCCTTGCCCTGTACCTGCCCTACTGTTACTTGGACTCTCGGCCCTGTCCTGCTCTGGTCCCATCCTGACCCTGTCTTGGCCCTGTGCTACCCTGTCCCTGCCCTGGTCTTGCCCTGGCACTGGCTCTGCCCTGAACCTGCACTGGCCTGACCTTGGCTCTGGCCGTGGCTCTGGCCCTGCCTCTTGTCCTGACCCTGGTCGTGTCATGGCACTGGCCCTGCCAATGGTCATGGTCCTGCTCCTGTTCTGGCCCTGACCTGGCCTTGGACATGTCCTGGCCCTGCTTTGGCCCATCCCTGCCCTGGCCCCACCATGGGCCTGCCTGTTCTGCCCTCTCCTGGCACTGACCTTGCCCTGTCATGGCCCAGTGGTGCCATTGCCCTGCCTTACCCTGCGCTGGTTGTGACTTGGCCCCGCTTGGTGCTGGCCGCTCCCTGGACCTGCCCTGGACCTGCCCTGACCCTGCCCTTGGCTTTTGCCCTGCCCTCACTGTGGCCTGGCCCTGGCCCTAGCCCTGGTCCTGCCATATCCCTGGCCCTGCCCTTATCCAGGCCCTGCCCCTGCTGCTGCCCTGGCCCTGGCCTGGAACCTGGTCCTGTCAAGGACCTGCCCTGACTCTGCCATGGCCCTGGCCCTGCTCTGCCTTGTTCCTGGCCCTGACCCAGACCCAGACCCTTTCCTGGCTCTGCACTGGACTTTCCCTGGCCCTGAGCTGGCAATGGTCTGCCCCTGGTCTTGCCATCACCCTGCCCTGCTGCGCTCTGGATGTGTCATCACCCTGCCCTGGCCCTACTCTGCCTTTGACCCTGCCCTGGCCTTACCTTGGCCCTCACCCTAGTCTTCGCTAGACCCTGCTCTGGAGCTGGCCCTAGCACAGACCTGGCCCTGATCCTGGCCGTGGTCTTTGTCCTGCCATAGCCCTGGCCCTGAAGTGGACTTGGAGGTGTCCTGGCCCCGGCATAACATGGCTCTGCATTGGCCTGTCCCTGCCCTGCCGCTACCATCTCCTTGCCCTGCTCTGTCCTGTCCCAGTACTGTCCCGGCCGTGCTATTTCCCTTCCCTACCCTGCCTTGGCTGTGCCCTGGCTCGGTTCTGGCCCTGGCCCCGGCCCTGCCCTGGACATGCTCTGACACTGCCTCAGCCTCGGCACTAGCCTGGCTCTTTCTTGGCATCAGCTCTGCTCTCTCTGTGGACCGGCTCTTGTCCTGTCCTGCACTGGCCATACCATGCCCTGCCCTGCCCTGCCCTGACTCAGTCCTGGCTCAGCCCTGGCCCAACCTTGGCCTTGGCATTGCCCCTGGTCATGCCATATTTCTTGCCCTGTCCCTACCCTGGCCTTGGCCCTGACCCTTACCTTGCTGTGGCCCTGCCCTTGCCCTAACGCAGCCCCTGGCCCTGTCATGGCCCTGCCCTGGACCTGTCCTGGCCCTGGCCCTTCCCTGCTTGAGAACTTGCCCTGGTTCTCCCCTGGCCCTGACCCTGAAATGCCTGGCCCTACCCTGGCCTTGCACTGCTCTGGCCCTTGCCCTGACTCTGGTCCTGTCACTGGCCTAGCCCCAGCCCTGTTGCTGGTCTTACCATGGCCCAGACCCTGCCTTGGCCCTGCCCTGACACTGTCCTGGACCCTGGCTGTGCCAAGAACCTGCACTGTCCTTGCCATTGTTTTGCTCCTGCCCCGAACCTGGTCTTCCCCAGGCCGTGGCCGTGGCCCTGGCCCTGGCCCTGCCCAGGTCTTGGCACTGTCCTGGCCCCGCCCTGCCCTGGCCCTATGCTTTCCTGGCCCTGCCTTGCCGGCCCTGGCCCTGCCTTGGCCCTAGCCTGGCTTTGACCCTGCCCTGGCCCTACCTTGGCCTTCACCCTAGCCTTACCTGGGCACTGTGTTGGACCTGGCCATAGCACAGACCTGGTTGTGGCCCTGGTCCTGCCGTGGCCCTGTCTCAGACCCTAGCCCTGCCAGGTACCTGTCCTGGCCCAGCTCTGGGCCTGGCTTTGTCCCTGGTTCTTAGATGAACCTGGTCCTGCTCCTGCCCTTGCTCTTGCCCTGGAACTGGCCTTGGACATGTCCATGGTCCTAACCCTGGCCCTGCCCAGGAGCTGCCACTGTCTTGGCTGTGCCCTGGCTCTGGCCCTGCCCCGGCCCCAACCATAGACCTGCCCTGGTTGGTCGTGAACTACCTTAACCCTGTGCTACCCTGGGCCTGCTCCACCCTGCCCTGGCCCTGCCCTCCCTTTGGCCCTGCCCTGACCCTGCCTTGGCCCTCACACTGGCCCTAGCACAGACCTGGTCCTATGTGTGGCCTTGGCCTGGCATTGACCCCTGCTCCTGACCCCGGTCCTGCCATGGCCCTGGCCCTGCCAATGACCCTGGCAGCCCTGGCCCTGTCTTGGCCCTGGCCCTGAACTGGCCCTGCCCTGACCCTGGCCCTGAAGTGGATTTGCAGGTGTCTTGTCCCTGATGTAACCTGGTCTTACCATGGCCCTGTCCCTCCCCTGGCTCTGTCCTGGCCTTCTGCTGACCCTGACCCAGACCTTGGCCCTGCCCCAGCCTTGTCCTAGATCTGGCCATGGCCCTGCGTCTGCCCTGGACCAGCGCTGGCACTGGCATGGACCCTGGCCCTGGCCCTTCGCTACTTAAGGCCATGCCCTGGCCCAGCCCTGGTCCTGACCCTGTCCTGGCCCTAATTTGGCGTGGCTCTACCCTGGCATGCTATTCTGGCCCTAGCCCTGACCCTGTCCCTGTCCCTGTCCTGGCCCCAGCCCCATTGCTGGTCCTGCCACGGCCCTTGTCCTGACATTGCCCTTTCCTGGTTCTGGCCCTGGCCCTGTCCCAGCCCTGCTCTGGCCCTGGTCTGAACCCTGGCCCTGCAATAGACCTGCCTTGGTCCTGCCCAGACCCTGGCTCTGGCCCTACCTCTGCCCTGGCCATACCCTTGCCCTGGCCTGGACCCCAGTCCTGGTCCTTGTCCTGCCCCAGCCGTGGCCCTGGCCCTGCCCTGCCTGTGCCCTGTTCTATCCTGGGCTGGCCCTGCCATGGCCTGGTCTTGCCATTGCCCTGCCCTAGCCTGCCCTGCTTGTGCCCTAGACCTGCCCCGGCCTTTGCCCCTGTCTTGGTTCTAGCCTTGACTGAGCCCTGGACCTTCCCTGATCTTGCCTCAGCCCTGGCACTACCCTGGCCTTGCCTTGGCATTTGCCTTACTCTCTCTATGGCCTGGCTCTGGTCCTGCCCTGCTCTGCTCTTGTTCTGTCCTGGCACAGCCCTGGCCCTGGCCCTGGCCCTGCCGTATCACTGGCTCTGGTCCTGCCCTTATGCAGACCTGACCCTGCCACTGCCTTGGCTTTGGCCTGGACCTTGGCCATACAGTGACCCTGCCATGACCCTTTCCTGGCCCTGGCCTGGAACCTGGCCCTGCCAAGGACTCGCCCTGGCTCTGTCATGGCCCTGGCCCTTTCCTGGATTTGGGTGTGTCCTGTCCCTTATTTGCCCTGGCCCTTCCCTGGCTCTGCCATACCCCTTCTCTGGGGTAGGGCCAGGGTCAGGACCAGACCAGGGCAGGGTCAGGACCAGGGTAGGGCCATGGTAAGGCCTGAAGATGGGAAGGGCCAGGGCAGCGGCTGGACCAGGGAAGGGTCAGGGCCAGGGATGTAGTAGGACTAGGGGCAGAGCCGGCACTAGGGCTGAGCCAGGACAGAGCAGGAGAGATTACATTGGGCTATTACGTAAAATTTTTATTTTAGATTTTTAAGATAACTATAGTAGTAGTAATGTCTATACTATATTGTTTGTAATAGTAATAATATTTGCAGTAATCACTAAATTTTAACTAATACTATCTTTGCTTCCAGTAGTGTTCTATGAGTATAATTTTATCAATATGTTAATATGTGAGGCATTGATTCTCACAATAATTCTATGTGCTAGGTACTTAAAGCATCCCCATTTTCCAAATGTAGGAAACAGGCATAAAGAAGTTAAATACTTGGCCAGATTACTCCTGTAATCCCAGCACTTTGGGAGGCCAAAGCAGGCAGATGGCTTGAGCTCAGGAGTTTGGAACCAGCCTGGGCAACATTGTGAAACCCCATCTCTACTAAAAATGCACAAAAAGAACTAATTTAAGTTTCTTGTAGGATTCTGGTTACAAAACACTGGTCAAACACACAGGGCATGGATAGGGCAGGGCCAGGGACAAGGTCAGGCCAGGAAGGGGCCAGGGCCAAGGCAGGGCCAGAGATGGACTTGGAAGTGTCCTGGTCTGATTTGCCCTGCCCCAACGTTGGCCCAGCCCTGCTCTGGCACTTCCTGTCATGCCCTGTCCCTGGCCTGAGCACTGGCCCTGGCCCTGTCCTGCTTCTGGCCCTGCCCCGGAGTTGACCAGGCACTGCCATGGCCCAGTCCTGCATTGCCCTGCCCTCCTCTGCCCTGGTGCTACCATGGCCCTGCTTGGGCCCTAGCTCTGCCTCTACTCTGGACCTGCCCTGACTCTGCTCAGCCCTGGATCTACCCTGACTCTGCCTTGGTGTTGCCCTCCCATCTCTATGGCCTGGCTCTGGCTGTGCCTTGCATAGATCATGCTCTGCCCTGCGTGTCCCAGCCTGGGCCCAGCCCTTGTCCTACCATATTCCTGACCCCAGCCATACCCTTCTTCTGGCCGTGACCCTGCCGTGGCCCTCTCCTGGCCCTTCCTTGGTCCTGCCCTGCCCTTCCATGCCCTGGCCTTGCCCTCACCCTGCATTGGCCCTGCACTGGTCCTGCCCTGCCCTGGCACTGCCTTGGCCCCGGCCCTGCCTTCTCCCTGGTCTTGCCTTTGCCCTGCCCTGGCCTGACCCCAGGCCTACCGAGTCCATGAAATGGCCCTGGACCTGCCTTGCCATCGTCTGTCCTGGCCCTGTATTGTCCCCACCATGCTCTGGTCCAGCGCTTGCCCTGGCCCTGTTGCTAGTCCTGCCACTGTTATGGCCCTGCCCTGTTTTTGGCCATGCCCTGTGCTACCCTAGCCCTGCCCTGCCTTGGCCTTGGCCCTACCATGGCCTTCTCCTACCCTGGCCTGGCCCTACACTGGCCTTTTCTACCCTGGCCTTGCCCTTCCCCTGGTCTTGCCTTGCCCTGGCCTTGCCCTGCCCTGGCCTTGGCTTTGCCTTATCCTGGTCCTGGTTCTGCCCTGACCCTGGCCTTGCTCTGGATCCTCTCTGGTTCTGCTTTCTCCCTGGCCCTGCCCTTGCTCTGGCCCTGTCCCTGGCCCAGCCTTGACCCTGACCCTGGCCCTGACAATCCCCAGGTCTGACACTGGCCATGCTTGGCCCTGGCCCCTCCTTTTGGCCCTGCCCTGGCCCTGCCTTGGCCCTGTGCTATCTTAGTCCTGCCCTGGCCCTGAACTCACCCTGGCCCTACCCTCACCCTACACTGGCCCCGCCCTACCCTGGCCTTGCCCTGCCCTGGCCCTGCCTTTGGCCTGCTCTGGCTCTGGTTCTGCCCTGGCCTTGCCCTTGCCCTGGACCCTCCCTGGCCATGTTTTTTCCATGGTCCTTCTCTGGCCTTGCCCTTGCCCTGTCCCCTTTCTGGTCCTGCCATATTTCTGGCCCTGTCCTGTCCATGTCCTGGACCTGACTCTGGCCCTGGACCTCCCTGTCCCTGCCCTGCCATACCCTGGCCCGTTCCTTGCTCTACACTGACCCTGCCCTGCCTTGGCCCTGTGCTACCCTAGCCTTGCCCTGGCCTTCTGCTGACCCTGATCCTGCCATGGCCCTGGCCCTGCCATGTCCCTGCCCTGGCCCTGGTTCTGCCCTGCTTCTGGCCCTGGCCTTGGTCCTCTCATGTCCCTGGCCGTGACCCTGCCCCTGGTTTTTCTCTGGCCATGACCCTGCCCCTGTTCTGTCCTATCCCTGGCCCTGTCTTAGTTCTGTCCTAGCCCTGGCTTTTCACAGTACTTTATGCTTAGTAAGGGCTCCATGGTGTCTGTGAGTTGAATGTTGTGTTCATAGTATCTGCCAAAACAGAAAGAAAAAAAACAAAATATTTTGATAAGAAGTTAAAGCTTTGTATATAATATGCCTTGAATTGTAAATGCCTGTTATTAGTTGTATTACATATAGGTCATGGTTTTGTACACATAACTCCAAACCATTGATACTGTTAAAAGAATATATGAATATATGAAAGAATGTGTAAATGTAAGAATGTATCAGTATCTAATTACCTTTCCAAATTAATTTTTATTTTTAGCTCTATTAGATTTTTCTCAGTGTAACAAATGTTTATTCCTATGTAATTAAGGGCGTATTTCCTGTACAGAATATTCATATTACCTAATTGAAAATTATATGATACAAAAATATAATACTATTTTTAGGCCAGGCATGGTGGCTCATACCTGTAATCCCAACATTTTGAGAGGCCAAGTTTGGAGAATCATTTGAGTCCAGGAGTTGACCAGCCTGGGCAACATAGTGAGACCTTGTCCTTATTAAACAAATAAATAAATAGGTTGGGCACTGTGGCTCATATCTGTCATCCCAGCATTTTGGGTTGCCAGTGCAGGAGGATTGCTTGAGCCCAGGAATTTGAGACCAGCCTGGGCAGAATAGCAAGACTCCATCTCTACAAATAATAAAATATTAACCAGGTGTGGTGGTGCGCACCTGGGGTCCCAGCTACCTGGGAGGCTAATGTGGGAGGTTTTCTCGAGGCTGCAGTGAACTGTGAATGCACCACTGCATTCCAGCCTAGGCCACAGAACAGGACCTTGTCTATGAATAAAGAAATAAGTAAAAATATAAATAAAAATAAGTAAAAAGAAATATTAGTAAATATAAATATAAATACATATAAACATAAAAATGCATGCATGAAAAGAAACAATTTTTAAATTTAACATCACTGAGGGCATCCTATCCATTTCATTTCATGATTCCATTATGTCATTTCACTTAGATGAAATGATAAGATGACTTGAGATGAGATGAAATGATGAGATGAAATGACAAAATGATGAGATGAGATGAGATGATGAGATGAAATGGAGAGTGGAAATGAGATGAAATGATGAGACGAAATGACAAAGCTGAAAAGAAATTGAAAGGAGATGAGATGAGATGAAATGAGATGAAATGATGAGATGATGAAATGATGAGATGAAACGAGATGAAATGATGAGATGAAATGAAATGAAATAATGAAATGATATGAAATAATGAAATTGAAATGAGATGAGATGAGATGAAATAATGAGATAAAATGAGATGAAATGAGATGAACGATGAGATGACATGATGAGATGAAATGAGATGAAAAATGATGAGATGAAAAATGAGATGAAATGAAATAATGAAATGAAATAATGAAATGAGATGAAATGAAATAATGAAAGGAAATTATGAAATGTAATGAAATTGAAATGAAATTGAAATGAGATGAGTTGAAATGATGAGATGTAATGATGAAATGAAATCATGAGATGAGATGAAATGAGATGAAATAATGAGATGAAATGAGATGATGAGATGAGATGAAATCATGAGATGAAATGATGAAATGAAATGAAATGATGGATGAAATGATGAGATGAAATGAGATGAAATGTAATGAGATGAAATGAAATGACATAATGAAATGAAATAATGAAATGAGATGAAATGAAATAATGAAATGATGAAATAATGAAATGAAAATGAAATGGAAATGATGAGATGAGAAGAAATGATGAGATGAGATGAGATAAAATGAGATGAAATGATGAGATGAAATGAAATGATGAGATGAGATGAAATGAGATGAAATATGATGAGGTGAAATGACATAATGAAATGATGAAATGGAATAATGAAATGGAAATGAGATGAGATGCAATGAGTTGAAATGAGATGAAATGATGAAATGATGAGATGAAATGATGAGATGAGATGTGATGAAATGATGACATGAAATGACATAAAATGAGATGAAATGTAATGATGAAATGAGATGAAATGATGAGATGAGATAAAATGATATGAAATGATGAGATGAATGATGAGATGAAATGATGAGATGAGATGAGATGATGAGATGAAATGATGAGATGAATGATGAGATGAAATGATGAGATGAGATGAGATGATGAGATGAAATGATGAGATGAACTGATGAGATGAAATGAAATGAAATAATGAAATGAAATTGAAATAAATAAAATTGAAATGAGATGAGATGAAATGATGAGATGATGAAATAAAATGATAAAATGATGAGATGTGATGAGATGAAATGATGAGATGAGATGACATGAAATAATGAAATGAAATAATGAAATGAAATTGAAATGAGCTGAGAAGATACGAGATGAAGTGATGAGATGAAATGATGAAATGATAAGATGAAAAGAGTTGATGAGATGATAAGATGAAATGATGAGATGAAAAGATGAGATGAAATGAAATGATGAGATGAAATGAGATGAAATGAAATTAGACGAAATGTAATGAGATGAAATGAAATGACATAATGAAATGAAAAAATGAAATAATGAAATGAGGTGAAATTAAATGAGATGATGAAATTAAATGATGAAATGAAATAATGAAATGGAAATGATGAGATGAGATGAAATGACGAGATGAATGATGAGATGAAATGAGATGAAATGATGAGATGCAATGATGAGATGAAATGATGAAATGATGAGATGAGATGTAATGATGAGAGGAAATGATGAGATGTAATGAAATGAGATGAAATGAATGAGATGAAATAATGAAAGGAAATTGAATTGAGATATGAGATGAAATGAGATAAAATGAGATGAAATAAGAAATGATGAGGTGAAATGAAATGCTGAGGTGAGATGAGATGAAATGAGGAGATGAAACGATGAGATGAAATGAAAGGATGAGATGAAATGATGATATGAGATGAGATGAGATGAAATGAGATGAAACGAGATGAAATGATGAAATGATGAGATGAGACGAGAAGAAATGATGAGATGAAATGAGATGAGATAAAATGAGATGAAATGAAGTGAAATGAAATGAAATAATGAAATTGAAATGAGATGAGATGAAATGAGATAAAATGATGAGATGAAATGATGAGAAGAAATGAGATGAAATGATGAGATGAGATGATGAGATGAAAAATGATGAGATGAAAAATGATGAGATGAAATGATGAGATGAATTGAAATGAAATGAAATAATGAAATGAGATGAAATGAAATGATGAAATGATGAAATAATGAAATGAAAATGAAATGGAAATGATGAGATGAGAAGAAATGATGAGATGAGATGAGATAAAATGAGATGAAATGATGAGATGAAATGAAATGATGAGATGAAATGAGATGAAATATGATGAGGTGAAATGACATAATGAAATGATGAAATGGAATAATGAAATGGAAATGAGATGAGATGCAATGAGTTGAAATGAGATGAAATGATGAAATGATGAGATGAAATGATGAGATGAGATGTGATGAAATGATGACATGAAATGATGACATAAAATGAGATGAAATGTAATGATGAAATGAGATGAAATGATGAGATGAGATAAAATGATATGAAATGATGAGATGAATGATGAGATGAAATGATGAGATGAGATGAGATGATGAGATGAAATGATGAGATGAACTGATGAGATGAAATGAAATAATGAAATGAAATTGAAATAAAATTGAAATGAGATGAGATGAAATGATGAGATGATGAAATAAAATGATAAAATGATGAGATGTGATGAGATGAAATGATGAGATGAGATGACATGAAATAATGAAATGAAATAATGAAATGAAATTGAAATGAGCTGAGAAGATACGAGATGAAATGAAGTGATGAGATGAAATGATGAAATGATAAGATGAAAAGAGTTGATGAGATGATAAGATGAAATGATGAGATGAAAAGATGTGATGAAATGAAATGATGAGATGAAATGAGATGAAATGAAATTAGACGAAATGTAATGAGATGAAATGAAATGACATAATGATATGAAAAAATGTAATAATGAAATGAGGTGAAATTAAATGAGATGATGGAATTAAATGATGAAATGAAATAATGAAATGGAAATGATGAGATGAGATGAGATGAAATGACGAGATGAATGATGAGATGAAATGAGATGAAATGATGAGACGCAATGATGAGATGAAATGATGAAATGATGAGATGAGACGAGAAGAAATGATGAGATGAAATGAGATGAGATAAAATGAGATGAAATGAAGTGAAATGAAATGAAATAATGAAATTGAAATGAGATGAGATGAAATGAGATAAAATGATGAGATGAAATGATGAGAAGAAATGAGATGAAATGATGAGATGAGATGATGAGATGAAAAATGATGAGATGAAAAATGATGAGATGAAATGATGAGATGAATTGAAATGAAATGAAATAATGAAATGAGATGAAATGAAATGATGAAATGATGAAATAATGAAATGAAAATGAAATGGAAATGATGAGATGAGAAGAAATGATGAGATGAGATGAGATGAAATGATGACATGAGATGATGACATAAGATGAGATGAAATGTAATGATGATATGAGATGAAATGATGAGATAAAATGCTATGAAATGATGAGATGAATGATGAGATGAAATGATGAGATGAGATGAGATGATGAGATGAAATGAGATGAATGATGAGATGAAATGATGAGATGAGATGAGATGATGAGATGAAATGATGAGATGAACTGATGAGATGAAATGAAATGAAATAATGAAATGAAATTGAAATAAATAAATAAAATTGAAATGAGATGAGATGAAATGATGAGATGATGAAATAAAATGATAAAATGATGAGATGTGATGAGATGAAATGATGAGATGAGATGACATGAAATAATGAAATGAAATAATGAAATGAAATTGAAATGAGCTGAGAAGATACGAGATGAAATGAAGTGATGAGATGAAATGATGAAATGATAAGATGAAAAGAGTTGATGAGATGATAAGATGAAATGATGAGATGAAAAGATGAGATGAAATGAAATGATGAGATGAAATGAGATGAAATGAAATTAGACGAAATGTAATGAGATGAAATGAAATGACGAAATGAAAAAATGAAATAATGAAATGAGGTGAAATTAAATGAGTTGATGAAATTAAATGATGAAATGAAATAATGAAATGAAATAATGAACTGGAAATGATGAGATGAGATGACATGACGAGATGCATGATGAGATGAAATGAGATGAAATGATGAGATGCAATGATGAGATGAAATGATGAAATGATGAGATGAGATGAGATGTAATGATGAGAGGAAATGATGAGATGTAATGAAATGAGATGAAATGAATGAGATGAAATAATGAAAGGAAATTGAATTGAGATATGAGATGAAATGAGATAAAATGAGATGAAATAAGAAATGATGAGGTGAAATGAAATGCTGAGGTGAGATGAGATGAAATGAGGAGATGAAACGATGAGATGAAATGAAAGGATGAGATGAAATGATGATATGAGATGAGATGAAATGAGATGAAACGAGATGAAATGATGAAATGATGAGATGAGACGAGAAGAAATGATGAGATGAAATGAGATGAGATAAAATGAGATGAAATGAAGTGAAATGAAATGAAATAATGAAATTGAAATGAGATGAGATGAAATGAGATAAAATGATGAGATGAAATGATGAGAAGAAATGAGATGAAATGATGAGATGAGATGATGAGATGAAAAATGATGAGATGAAAAATGATGAGATGAAATGATGAGATGAATTGAAATGAAATGAAATAATGAAATAATGACATGAGATGAAATGAAATGATGAAATGATGAAATAATGAAATGAAAATGAAATGGAAATGATGAGATGAGAAGAAATGATGAGATGAGATAAAATGAGATGAAATGATGAGATGAAATGAAATGATGAGATGAGATGAAATGAGATGAAATATGATGAGGTGAAATGACATAATGAAATGATGAAATGGAATAATGAAATGGAAATGAGATGAGATGCAATGAGTTGAAATGAGATGAAATGATGAAATGATGAGATGAAATGATGAGATGAGATGTGATGAAATGATGACATGAAATGATGACATAAAATGAGATGAAATGTAATGATGAAATGAGATGAAATGATGAGATGAGATAAAATGATATGAAATGATGAGATGAATGATGAGATGAAATGATGAGATGAGATGAGATGAGATGATGAGATGAAATGATGAGATGAACTGATGAGATGAAATGAAATGAAATAATGAAATGAAATTGAAATAAATAAATAAAATTGAAATGAGATGAGATGAAATGATGAGATGATGAAATAAAATGATAAAATGATGAGATGTGATGAGATGAAATGATGAGATGAGATGACATGAAATAATGAAATGAAATAATGAAATGAAATTGAAATGAGCTGAGAAGATACGAGATGAAGTGATGAGATGAAATGATGAAATGATAAGATGAAAAGAGTTGATGAGATGATAAGATGAAATGATGAGATGAAAAGATGAGATGAAATGAAATGATGAGATGAAATGAGATGAAATGAAATTAGACGAAATGTAATGAGATGAAATGAAATGACATAATGAAATGAAAAAATGAAATAATGAGGTGAAATTAAATGAGATGATGAAATTAAATGATGAAATGAAATAATGAAATGGAAATGATGAGATGAAGTGACGAGATGAATGATGAGATGAAATGAGATGAAATGATGAGATGCAATGATGAGATGAAATGATGAAATGATGAGATGAGATGAGGTGTAATGATGAGAGGAAATGATGAGATGTAATGAAAGGAGATGAAATGAATGAGATGAAATAATGAAAGGAAATTGAATTGAGATATGAGATGAAATGAGATAAAATGAGATGAAATAAGAAATGATGAGGTGAAATGAAATGCTGAGGTGAGATGAGATGAAATGAGGAGATGAAACGATGAGATGAAATGAAAGGATGAGATGAAATGATGATATGAGATGAGATGAAATGAGATGAAACGAGATGAAATGATGAAATGATCAGATGAGACGAGAAGAAATGATGAGATAAAATGAGATGAGATAAAATGAGATGAAATGAAGTGAAATGAAATGAAATAATGAAATTGAAATGAGATGAGATGAAATGAGATAAAATGATGAGATGAAATGATGAGAAGAAATGAGATGAAATGATGAGATGAGATGATGAGATGAAAAATGATGAGATGAAATATGATGAGATGAAATGAGATGAATTGAAATGAAATGAAATAATGAAATAATGAAATGAGATGAAATGAAATGATGAAATGATATTGAAATGAAATTGAAAGATGAGATGAAATGATGAGATGAAATGGTGAAATGTTGAAATGAAATGATGAAATGAATAGATGTGACATGAAATGAGCTGAAATGATGAGATCAAATGAAATGAAATGAGATTAAATGATGAGATGAAAAATGATGAGATGAAAAATGATGAGATGAAATGCTGAGATGAAATGAGATCAGATGAACTGAGATGAGATGAGATGAAATAATGAAATTAGGTGAAATAATGAAATGATATGAAATAATGAAATTGAAATGAGATGAGAAGAAGTGAGATGAAATGTTGTAATGAAAGGAGGAAATGATGAGATGAGGAGATGAAATGATGAGATGAATTGAGATGAAATGAGATGAAAAATGATATGAAAAATGATATCAAAAATATGAGATGAAATGAAATGAGATTATATGAAATGACAATGAAATAAATGAAATTAGATGAAATGAAATGAAATAGTGAAATGAAATGATGAAATGAAATAATGAAAATGAAATGGAAATGCGATGAGATGAGATTTGGTGAAATGATGAGATGAAATGATGAGATGATATGAAATGATGAGATGAGATGGGATGAGATGAAATGAGATAAAATGATGAGATGAAATGATGAGATGAAATGATGGGGTGAAGTGATGCACTGTCACGTGTGTGTCTATTCTTTTTCCCAAGCAACAAAAATTATAATTCATTAATTTTAATTTTATTATTTAAGAATATTCTTAAGAGTTGAAGGAAAAATAATATCTGTACATTATGGGTTACAATCTAAGTATAAATAATACATAAATATATTAAAACTTACAAAGAATATGTTTTGGAATCGAATATACCATGCTTCTGTGATGACAGTTATTTCATGCTGGTTGTCACAATTTTACATGAAAAACTAATGAAAAAATGTTTTTAACTGTTTCTAAAAATAACAGTTTCCAAAACAGTTTTACATTCGAAATATGAAAAAGTTGTCTTTGTGTTCCTTAATCTGATGAGATTTTCACACTCTGCACATGATAATTGTTAGATTTTTATTGTGTTGATAAATTGTATATCAAATAAAAAATGTTATTACCTCTTAAATTAGGATTTTTAGGTGATATAGGCAGAAAGGACAGCAAGTTTTTATAACTTTGTCTAAATGAACTTTCTAAATGCCTGAGTATTAAAAGATAGCATGTCTATAAATCACAATGTATATATTACTGTATGACCTAGGACCAATCAAAACCGTTACCTCTGATAACATTATATTGTGCCCAGTATAAAATAGATATAATAATACCTCAAACTTAAATCCGGGCATTGTCATTGAATATCTTAAGAATATGCAACAAAGGTGCTTTTAAAAATACAAGCTAGTGATTGTACCAAATTTGTAAATCACATAGGATAGTGGGTCATTTTAAGAATATTAGTTATTTCAATCTATAAACGTGGATGTCTTTCCTTTTTTGTGTTTTCTTTAATTTCTTTCATTAATATTTGTCATTTTTGTTGTCGAAATCTTTTACTTCCTTGGTTAAATTTATTTCTAAGTACATTTTTGTAGCTATTGTAAAAGGAATTGCTTTCTTAATTTCTTGTTTCAGCTAGTTTACTATCAATATATAGAAATGCTACTGATTTTTGTATGTTGATTTATATCCTGCAACTTTATTAATTTCATGTATCACCCTAAGAAGCTTTTGGTAGAGTCTTATTTTTTTCCATGTATAAGATCACATTGTCTTTAAACAGGGACAATTTGACTGTCTCCTTTCCAATTCAGATGTCCTTTATTTCTTTCTCTCACCTAATTGTCCTGGCTAAGACTTTCACTATGTGAAATATGATTGGTGAGAATAGGCATCCTTTTCTTGTTCCAGTAAAATCTTTTTCTTGTTCACAGTAAAAGCTTTCACCTTTTCCACACTCAGCATGATCTTAGTTGTAGATTTGTCCTTTATGTCCTTCTGTTTTAAGGCATATATTTTCTATACTAAATTGTTGAGAGGTTTTTTGTCATGTAAGAATATTTAATTTTGCCAAACGCTTTTATTGTGTTTATTAATTTAATCATATGGTTTTCAGTATATATCCAAAGGAAAGAAAATCAGTATATCAAAGACTTACCTGCACCCCCATGTTTATTACAGCACTATTCACAATAGCCAAGATATGGAATCAGCAAAAGTGTCCATCAACAGATGAATGGATAAAGAAATGTGATATACATATATAATGGAATACTATTTAGTCATAATAAAGAACAAAATCCTGTTATTTGTGGCAACAAGAATGCAAGTGGAGGGTATTATGTTAGGTGAAATAAACCTGGCATAGAAACATAAACACCACATAACTACGTGTTCTCACTTATGTATGGAAGCTAAAATTTTTAATCTCGTAGAAGTAGATAGTAGAGTTTTGGTTACCATATCCTGGAAAGAGTAGGAGAAAGAAGAGTATAAGAAAAATGTGGTTAATACATACAAAATTACAGCTGGAGAGAAGGAAGAAGTTCTAGTTCTCTACAGCACTGTTGGGTGACTGTAGTTAACGGGAATTTATTGTGTGTTTTCAAATAACTAAAATAAAAGATTTTAAATATTCTCACTGCAAAGAAATAATACATGATTTAGGTAATGGATATGATAATGACTCTGACTTGATCTTTACGCATTGCATAAATATATCAAAATATCACTCTGTACCCCATAACATGTACATTTATTATATGTCAATTAAAGTAAATTTAAAAGAGAAAAAATGAGGTAAAGGTAAATATACATAATTTAATTACTTTTTCTTCTATAAAACCCGAGTCAGTACCAAGAAGAGTCAATTTATTAGTTTTCTAAAATAAAAAAAATCAAAATCACCAAAAAAGAGCAATATCCAAGAAAACATTGAAAATGAAACACAACATTCAGTAAGAATAGAAAACTTGGGCACCGTATCACCCTGTTCCTAGATACCGATTTACTGATGGCCATTTAAATAGAATTTTATTCTATCTAATTCATTTATACTCCCAGAGTTCGAAATTACATTTTACCTACAATAAATGAGATAACACTTGTAAATTATATGGTACTCTGCCTAACACACGTTAATAACTCAATACATGTTAGCAATAAGCTTTTAATATAGTAGTCAAAGTATTAATTTCTCACATTGCAATTTCCTTCAAAGACATGAATACAACCTTTCTAATGACTCCTTGTTCATCAAGATACCTCTTCAAATTATTCTATTTGTTTCATTCAGTATATTATCTGTGTATACCGATATTACACTCTTTTCTTTTTTTGAGATGGAATCTCATTCTGTTACTGATGCTGGAGTGAGGTGGCATGATCTCGGTTCACTGCAACCTCCACCTCCCAGGTTCAAGCGATTCTCCTGTCTCAGCCTCCCAAGTAGCTAGGACTACAGGTACATACCACGATGCCTGGCTAATTTTTGTATTTTTAGTACAGTCAAGAGTTTCACCTTGTTGTCCAGGCTGGTCTCGAACTCCTGACCTCAGGTGATCCACCCACCATGGCCTCCCAAAGTGCTGGGATTACAGGCATAAGCCACCGCACCCAGCCTGATATTGCACTCTTGGATTTTGAACACTGAATATCTTTTTGAAAGATTACACCTCTTTACTTTGTGCTTCAGAAATTATTTTCCTTCAAGTGTTCTAAGAGTCTAATGAAGAATGAAGTCATGTTTTATCACTTTTGTCCTTAAAGATTTCAGACATGCTGAAACTGATTGAAGTATCATTTGCTACTAGATAGATTAATTATCTCCAGTTGTAGGAGTGGATACATCTTTAATGGTATATTTTGGGTTATTGTCTTATTTTTGATGCAGTATTCTATAAATAATTTATTAAACCTGGCATCCTTGGGTGAGCACAGATTTTTCAACTTTGGTGTTATATTGTGTTTGCTTTTAAAAACTGCTTCTGAGGCCAGGTATGGTGGCTCTTGCCCATACCCAGCACTTTGGGAGGCCAAGATGGGTGGATTACCTCAGGTCAGGAGTTCAAGACCAGCCTGGTCAACATGGCAAAACCATGTCTCTACTAAAAACACAAAATTAGCCAGGCATGGTGGTGCATGCTTGTAGTCCTAACCACTCGAGAGGCTGAGGCAAGAGAATCACCTGAACCTGGGAGGCAAAAGTTGCTAGGTTGCTGTGAGCCAAATTCGCACCATTGCCCTCCAGCCTGGGTGAAAAGAGCAAAACTCTGTCTCAAAAAAAAAAAAAAACCCACCAAAAACTGCTTTTGAATGGAGTTGTACATATAATTTTTATGAAAAAAATTAACAAGTGCATAAGTTCATAATAGAAAAACCAATAATACTCCAGGCACAAGTTAGTACTAAAAAAATTATGTTGAATATTCTCTAATACAACATGCTTTTTCCCTTCATGAACAATTTGTGTTTTACTGAGAAGAGTCACTGTTTATGGTAGACATTAGACTACAGATGAATATGTACTTTAAACACTCTTAGTTGCTTTCTTAATTTTATATCTGCTGCTTTATGCTTCTGTTTATTTTCATTCTTTCCAATGTCCACATTCTAGTAAATTTGAATATTTTAATCCAAGTTTATATACTATTTAATATTGCTTGTATAGTTTAGTATTTTTAAGACTCAAAAAGGTTTACAGAAAGAAGAAAAAGATCAACATGTTATTAATCATTTAAAGATCATTTTGAAATCTTTGACCTTTATATTTTAATGAATAAAATATTAGTAGTTATTAGTATAAAATAATTTATGTCTTTTGGACTTAGCATCCAGTATTTCTTTTTTAATAAAGAAAATAATTATTCTCTTGCAATGTACTATGTTTATCTGGGTTTTGAAAAGTGATGTTTCCTAATATGAGAAAGCCATTTACAGTTTTAAATCTACAAAGGCAAATGGAATGGTACTAAATTATTTACATAATAATGTTTAGATGGTGGCCCTTATAACATTCTTTCTATACTTCCTACAGAGTTGGGGATATGCAATCCTAGAATATTTCTGGGAGCTAATCCTTTAGCTTGATGAATGAAACAAGACTTTTAAATAAAATTAAACTTTCAAATTATCCAGGTAATGGGCCTGTCTTTTAATTCAATGGATATGGAGCATAATGAATTAACCCCTGTTCATTGGGTAATAAGTTCTCATTCTTATAATACTCAAAATGTCCTTTAATTTTTAATTTTTGATAGTCATATCATTATCCCTAGGTATTTTAGCTTCTATCTTAAATTCTAAAATAATTTTGAAATAGGAGAAAGTATTCTTTATTACTATATGTATTAAACATCATGGTTTTCAAATTGAACTGCAAATGTATCTTTTCATTGCTTCTTGATGACACCCTTCACCCTATCCATATTGTCACTACCAAGTGGTGATTACTTTTCAGGTTCACATACTTATTCTTCAGAAAAATCTTCTCTGTGCCTTATAAAGAATATGATTGTTGGCATTCAAAAGCCAGCGAAGTATACATTATTAGCCTGTTGCCTAACTCATTTCTTTAAGAAACTACACTAATTACCCACATACTTATGTTTTTATTTCCTCATTATTTCTGGAGAAAACAAATACTGCTAACATGATATTTGTAAGAGAGAAAAAAGTCTTTTCTTGAAAAGTGCTGTCATTGTAGTACTAACTTATAGTATCAACTTCTTTATAAACTCCTTAGACACTTTTTATTCTGAGAGAAATAAAAAAGCTAAAAGTCAAATGACTTTTTTTACTCTCCTTATTATAAGCACCCATCTTGGTAATTTAGGGTCTTTATAGTTAGGGTAAGTTGTGTCATACCGAGGTTACAAAATAAAAAGTATTTTGTCTTTTTGGGCCTTTCCTTATTCAGTAATACTGTCAGTTTGGCTTTTTTTGTAGGTCAACTTATTGAACTCAGTATTCTGAAATAATATGTTTACTATCTTTTGAGAAGCACTTAAAATATTAGATTTATTGTTACTCTTCTGCCTTTATTGGGCTGGAAGAATAATTGTTTCACTCCACAAAAGGCAAGTTGCGGAGAAAAACACATAGACATTCAACCGCAAAGCAGAGAAACTTGACTATTTTCTGCAATTTTAAAGTGTATATTGAATAAAACCATCTTTTTATTTTCTTTTTTGCTCACTGGCAAATATTAACAACATCAAGTGTATTATTATAATGTTATCTAGTTAAAAATCTCAAAAAGTTTTCATAATTACCATTTTAAAGTATATAAATAGGTGACCTAATGTTAATTTTTATTGTCTGAGACCATGTCTGTTATTTCACTCTTTAAATTCAGTTAGTAGTGCAGAACCTAGCACTTAGTAGATACTCAAAAATTATTTGCTGAATAAAAAAAGGTTAAACATGTAATATATACAAAATGTACTGGAAAAAAATGCACCAAACAATTTTGTTATACCAGTTTAATGTAAATATTGCCTTTAAAAGATAATATAGTTTTCAGGTGTCTACAGTGATTTTGTAATATTTGTGCACATATAAAATAATATTTCCAAAAATGTAATCCAGTGGGGAAATATACTTTCTAAATTCTAGATTTATAATTTAGGGTTTAAATTATAAAATCATTAAATAAGACACAAGTGAAATGTAGTCAAATATCCCCTTGGAAAAAAATTAAGTGGCCTCTAAAGTGAGGTATTCATATATGTAATTTTACAATCCTCTAGTGATAGAATTAATTAAATACACCACCAAATTGATTAATTCCTACTGTGTTAAAAGAGAAGCACTAACAATGCCAGTTACCATGTAACATGGATTTAAGCTACAAGTCATAGAAATGTGATGAGAAGCCTCAGCGCTGTAAAACAGAGGGTGGAGGAAAGCTTTTCCTCTCTCAAATGAGCTTTGCGAGGTATACTTCTTGAAGGATAGGAAGTTGAAGTGTTCAGGACTTTTATGTCTATTCTACTTTGGCTTAGTTTACATGATTCGTAGTTTATTAGCCTAGAAATGGCCAAGAAAACTTAAGGTTCAATAATTAGTTATAAATATGAAATATCCCCGATTTTTAAGATAAAAACAACTTATAAATGTATTTGTCTGTAAAAATTGTGTATATTTTTACAGAACATCTATTTCTTTTTTTATTTTTTTATATTTATTTATTATGCTTTAAATTCTAGGGTACACATGCACAGTGTGCAGGTTTGTTGCATATGTATCCATGTGCCATGTTGGTGTGCTGCACCCATTAACTCATCATTTATATTAGGCATATCTCCTAATGCTATCCCTCCCCCCTCCCCCCACCCCACAACAGGCCCTGGTGTGTGATGTTCCCCTTCCTGTGTCCAAGTGTTCTCATTGTTCAATTCCCACCTATGAGTGAGAACATGTGGTGTTTGGTTTTTTGTCCTTGCGATAGTTTGCTGAGAATGATGGTTTCCAGCTTCATCCATGCCCCTACAAAGGACATGAACTCATCATTTTTTATGGATGCCTAGTATTCCATGGTGTATATGTGCCACATGTTCTTCATCCAGTCTATCATTGTTGGACATTTGGGTTGGTTCCAAGTCTTTGCTATTGTGAATAGTGCTGCAATAAACATACGTGTGCATGTGTCTTTATAGCAGCACAATTTATAATCCTTTGGGTATATACTCAGTAGTGGGATGGCTGGGTCAAATGGTATCTCTAGTTCTAGATCCCTGAGGAATGGCCACACTGTCTTCCACAATGGTTGAACTAGTTTACAGTCCCACCAACAGTGTGAAAGTGTTCCTATTTCTCCACATCCTCTCCAGCACCTGTTGTTTCCTGACTTTTTAATGATCGCCATTCTAACTGGTGTGAGATGGTATCTCATTGTGGTTTTGATTTGCATTTCTCTGATGGGTCTATTTCTTTAAAACAAAGGGAGGGGAGTCTCTCATTTGCATTAGTTTTTTTCATAGCCTTTTGAACTTCACAATTTCTATGTTTCAGAACCTATTTCTTACAGTTTTTCTATGCTAAACTCTGTCCTAGTCAGTTCTAGAGTGTATGAAGAACCAAATGATGTAATAGTATGCCACCTGGCTGTAGTGGAACAAATTTGACTCTTAAGTATGCAGGCTCTAATTTTCCTGTCTGGTTTTGGCAAGTATTCCTTACATAGGTTTTTTCTTTGAAAATCTGGGATTGAGAGGTTGATGAATGAAAATTAATCCTTTCACTTTTTTGTATATAGGTTTGCAATAATTAGGTCAGAGTGGAGTTTTAAGGTCACGGAGGGGTCTGATGACTTACAAATAATGGGCTCTGATTGGGCAACTACTCATCTGAGTTCCTTCCATTTGACCTAATTAAGCTTGTGAAATTTACACTAAGCCATGAGCTCATCTTTAAAAAGTTTTATTAAAAGATTTTCAGCTGTTCCAAATGGGACTTATTACTGGAATGTGTTTTAAAGGATCATATCAGATGAATGAAAGGTATTTGATCCTTCGTTTCCTTAATAATAAAATGATGGTTTGGAAAAATAGGCTACAGTCTAACCACAGTGCTATTATTAGGCTTTCTTGTTAAACATAGGTCTAAGCCTAAGTATGTCAATACAACAAATACTTACTGTTTCATTTCTAGTAATGAAAAAAAAAAAAAAAACAAGTCTTTCTGGCATAAGGATGATTTTCATCTGGTTATTTTGAAACATTTTTGTAAAATAAATTTCCATCTATAAAGAACATTTTTATTTGTAAGGAGGGGTATGTCTCTGTGCACTGGAAGAGAGGGAGGACTAAATCACTGGGAAGTCTTATGATAAAGAAGCCATTGGCTTAAATCAGCGAAGCAAGCCGTCCCTTGGTTTAAGGTGTTTTTCCTGGCCATCCTGTCTTGACTAGAACTTTACCTACACCTTCCTTTTTGGTTTAGGCAAATTATAGTATCTAAAACTAAAGTCTCAGCTCTGTGTCTTTGACATATAAATGTTCTACCATGTCTTCTCTGGAATCTGATAACTATCTATCTCTTTAAAATGCAAGTCTAGGGAGATGACTCATCAGAAAAAGAAGAAAAAAGAGGTATTTGGAAATTGTGCAAATTAAAGCAGCCCCTGATGTCAAAGTCTACACATTCCTGAGTGAGTCAGTTCTGGCCAGTTCTAGCTGGATCAAGAGAGCTCTTCTGGGCAGGCCTGAAGAGCACCTGAATGGCAGCCACCTGAGGAGCCAGGTGCCTGAAACTTCCTTCACCTGCTTGAGGAGCGCCAAAGCCCAGGTGCTGGCTGGACAACCACTTCTGGCTGCCTAAGCAGATGGCAGAAGAAGGAAACAAGGTCAGAGGCAGAGTATTGAACCCTGCCTCCCAGGTGGGTGGAAGATGCCTGTCGCCAAACTAGGGCCCAGCTTGCCGGGTGAGATGGGTGAACTGGTGATCCCCCGAGAGAGTGGACGTCAGAACTACATGTTCCTGGACTTCACCTCGGCCAGCGAAGGAGAGAGAGGGTTAATGTTAACTGCACGAGGCCCACTCTAGCCTTAAATTCTGTAATTCAAACCCTTCCCTTGGAGACAAAACAAACATGACAAGGAATTCTGAGGTCAGGGGACAAGAATCACAAAGTGGGAGATTGAGGAGGCAGTGTCCTTCCTGCCCTTGGTCTACTGGCTAAGAACCTTCCTCAGCCTGACCTTTGCACATTGCACTTTCAGCTCTGTTTGCAATTTTCCTCCTTTAGTGCTGAGGGAATCCCAGTGTTCCATCCTGAAATCTATAGGTTCCTAATGGGTGGTTAAAAAAAAACCTCAGCGAGAGAAGCAGAAAATGTTTCCTCTTCCTGAAAAACTGTAGAAAGGCAGGCACCATTCTGGGTGAGGACATGGTCCTTGCAAATGTCTTTGTGTTGTTTTTGTTTTTGTTCTTGTTTTTGAGATGAAGTTTTGCTCTTGTTGCCCAGACTGGAGTGCAGTGGTGTGATCTCTGCTCATTGCAACCTCCGCCTCCTGGGTTCAAGCAGTTCTCCTACCTCAGCCTCCCGAGTAGCTGGAATTACAGGCACCTGCCACCACACCTGGCTAATTTTTTGTATTTTTAGTAGAGATGGGGTTTTGCCGTGTTGGCCATGTTGGTCTCGAACTCCTGACCTCAAGTGAGCCACCCGCTTCTGCCTCCCAAAGTGCTGGGATTACAGGAGTGAGCCACCGCGTCCAGCCTGCAAACGTCTTTAAAGACAGCGTGTTTCAGAGGCTGTGACAGTGCCCTGTGAACATGCCAATTCTCACAGTCCCGGGAGCTCTGAGGAGCAGGCCCGGCTCCTTGCCAGGCTGATGGTACTGAAACTCTGCTCTCCAAGACATAACCTGATGGCCATGCAAGATTTCTTAATCGACTGTGGACCGTGAGAGTCTGCATCTCATTTTAATTAAGATGGGAAAAGAAAGAACAAAAGAGCAACTCCCAGGTTATAGAGAAAGTGGATTTTAGTATAATATTCAAGTGTAGCATTGCTAATAATAACAAACCTTTCCCCTCCCAAACGGTAAACACTTGCACTGCCTATTATACAAAAATTCAACCACCCTCTCTGTTACCCCGATATCTCCTCCCCAGTGACCCCCCCTCTCATGCGGCCTCATGAGCCTGGCCAGTGGTGAATGGCACTTTCATGGGCATGAGACTCCACGTGAGTGGGACTCAGCTGGGACCCCTCTCCACGTGGGAGCTGGGGAAGCCACCCTAGTAGCAGCTCAAAGTGTCCGTGATGTCCCTGCTGCTGAGGTAGGGGCCGCCTCTGAGCTGGTCTCGGGGTGTGAGCTGCTGCTGGTAGTGGGCTCTGCCCTGAGGGCCTGGTGGCTGGTCAGAAGGGCAGGCACACATGGGTGACTCCCCAGGAACTCAGGCCACCTCCCCACCACAGCCCTGCACTGTGTGCTCCAGGCATGTGCTGAGTGCCTGGTCAATCACCAGTGCCCTATTGATCCCAGTCTCCAGAGAGAGCATTTAGTGTCACTCCACAGAGGGGAAACTCGGCCCAGAGAAGTAAAGTGACTCTCCCCAGTCACAGGGCTGGTCAGCAGTAGGATGGGAGGCTAGTCCCTTGCTGTCTGACTCCCTGAGCCCACCCATATCCCAAGGCAGCCAACCTCTGCCCGCCCTGGTTCAGGCCCCGACTGGCCCCTGTGGTGGGTGATGTCTATCTTCCTGGCCTTTGTGCTCCCAGCCAACTGGGATGGAGCCTCCAGCTGGCATGACAGGTTGTAGCTACGGACAGAAGAGTGGCTGTGAGGCTGCCAGGAATCTCACCAGGGCCCCCTCCCAGGGCCTGTCCAGAGTGAGGTCTGGGTACCCCAGGCATTGCCAGACCACAGGATCTGATGTTGGCCAAGAGGCCATGGCCACAGGCTTTCTGAGGCTGGCCCCCAGGGAGAGTTCAATCCTACTATCCCAATTCCTGTCCTGGCCTTACCTCTCAGTCTCACCGAGCCACTTCATGGTCCCAAACCAGGACCCAAAGTGCTGCTTGGGCTCAAGGTTGTAATTATTTGCAGCCAACTGGAGCAGTGGACCTCCTTGCTTACTTTGAATTCCTGGGTCCAGAGGGAAAAACTGGGTGATGACAGGGACTGGACAGGGATGCCACAGGGGCCCTGTGGGGGTGTTAGATGGGGTGGTGGCCAGTCTTTGCTCATAGGGGACCCCCTCCTCCTCTCCAGTCCTGTCCCCACCTGTTCTCAGAGCTGGCTCAAACAGCAGCTCCTCCAGGAATGTGTCCTTGGTTTCAACCTGGTACTCCCACCTGCAGGTCTTCCTGGAGTGTCTCCTCTTTCTCTCTGTCTCCCCATAAATCTAAGACGAGGGGGATGGATCTGCCCACTGCTACTCACCGTATGACTCTTGTGAGGTTGATCAGTCTCCCCTGGAAGGCCAACAGCTGAAGTCCATCAGAAAGGGTCCTCTGGCCCAGAGCCAGCCCCTGCCCACCCCTGTCTTGCTGCACCCAGGGTGCAAGACCCAGATCAGGTCTGGGTGACAGGAGGGGTATAGAGGGGCTGAGGCTCAGGGGCCTTCTAGCCTAACTTGTCTGGAGACAGTTGGGGAAACTGAGACCCCAAGCAGGGAGGTATGGCTCCGAGAGATTATTCTCATTAATCTGGAACATTTTTGCAAGCTGTTAGGTATAGGAAGTCTGTCACAGGTAAGAGAAATGCTTTTTAAGAGCATGAGAGACAGCAGGGTTGTGACAATATTGAAACACCACCGTGCAGATTCACCAATTGCCACCACCGGGAGCCCCCTGAGAGTCATTGCAGATGCACAGCCCTCCCCTGCAACCCCTGGACCTCCCCGTGGTCTGGCACCTAAAGGGTTATGCCTCATGGCAGGAATCAGGACCCTCAGGGTGCCCTGCCCACTCCAAGGTCTGCCTCTGCTCTGATTGGTCACTGACATTCAGATTGTCACCCAAATATAAGGACATTAGCAGAAAGACTCATTCAATACAAGTGGACTCAGACATAGATAGGAATTGGGTTGCAAGAAGCCCCTTTTGTTTCTTTTATTTTATTTTGGAAAAAACTTTTATTGTGAAAATTCACATATATATATATATATATATATATGTATATATAAACTCAATCAATGCAAAAGGATAGACAATGAACAAATGAATTCCCCTTCCACTCCAGATCCCCAACTCAGATCCAGACCTCCTGAGCCCACTTCCCCCATCTCATCACAGATCCAGACCTCCTGAGCCCACTTTCCCCATCTCATCACAGACCCAGACCTCCTGAGCCCACTTTCCCCATCTCATCACAGATCCAGACCTCCTGAGCCCACTTTCCCCATCTCATCACAGATCCAGACCTCCTGAGCCCACTTTCCCCATCTCATCACAGATCCAGACCTCCCCCACTTTCCCCATCTCATCACAGATCCAGACCTCCTGAGCCCACTTCCCCAACTCATCACCAGTGATTTCTTGGGCTCTGCATTAGTTTTCTATTGCTGCTGCAACCAACAGCTACAGACTCAGTGGCTTCCATTTCTGTCTTATAGTTCTGGTTGCCAAAAGTCCTAAGAGGATCTCACTGGGCTAAAGTCAAGGTGCTGGCGGGGCTATGTCCCTTCTGGAGGCTCAAGGGATGAATCGGGTCCCTGCCTTTTCTAGCTTCTAGGGGCTCCAGCTTCTAGGTTTGTGGCCTCCTTCCTCCATCCTCAAAGCCAGCAACAGCAGGTGAAGTCCTCGCCCATCATGCATCACTCTCCCTTCTTCCTCCTTCAACTTTTTTTTTTATATTTAGGGGGAACGAGTACCGGATTCTTACATAGTCAAAAAGCTCCTTATAGAGAAGCTCGGAACTTTCAATACAACTTTGCCTTTTCTGCCATTTTAATTTTCCATTTAATTTAAATGTATTCTCTCATTTGACCTTCATACTCTGTGGAGAAATATTCCTATTTCGGCTTGTATTGACAAGCTGTTTTCACACAGCCCCCACATCACCCAACCAACCAGCAAGAAACAGATAAAGAAACTGAGGCCCAGGGAGGCTAAGAGTCCTGCCAGGATCATTCACCTTTCAAGGTAAGGAGCCAGTTCCAGACCTGGGTTTGTGCAGCTCCAAGCTCCCCCGTCTTTCTACAATGCTAGATTTAGACTATAGCAATCTAGCAAGTGTGGCCACACAATGATCAAGTTGGATTTAGATGATGTTCCCTATAAATCCATTCTCCTCTCCCGTGTAAGCAAGGCAAAGTCCTCCAGGCCATGGGGAGTCCCTGAAGACTCGATGAACTGCAGTGGCCACATCAGGAGGTTGCAGGTTGACCAGAACTCACCGACACAGCAGGAGAGCAGCTTGGAACCTGCAACCTAGCCAAAACCTAGTGCCTTGGATTGGGGGAGAAAACAGGCAGCCATTCCTCTCTCTCTGCTGGCTAGAGGGGATTCTGGCTTTTCCTGCCAGAGCCACCCCTTTCCCTCCTCCTAAAGTTGATGGTGGTTCTTTAAGGAAAGGGAGAAGTGCACGGTGTGATAGGGCAGGAAGAGAAGAAAATGGAGGAGAGGAGGGGACTTTCCCATAAGCAGGCAGAAGAAAAGGCAGCTGTGGTGTGTGATGGACATGGATGCAGTGGTGTCCAATGTGGGGTCAGCCCTAGAGGAGAGACAGAGAGAGAGACAGAAAAGTGAGAGTCCTGACCCTTACGATTAACATGGGATCTGCCTGCAAATGCTGTTTAGGGCCATCGCCTCTTCCTGTACTGCTATTTTTGAGAGTGATGCTCCTGAGCCCCATGACCCAGTCAAATTTGATGTCCCCTCGAGCCAGATTCAGTGCTGGGAGTCCAGTGTGATCTGCCTGGATCTTGCTGCATTGAGAACAGGCCAGTCTTGACCCCAATACAGGGGCTGGATATGAACAGGCAACAGCTGGGTTTCTGAGTCAGAAAGACTTGGTTAATTGCTAATTGCTTAGGCGAGTAATTTAATTTTGTTGAGTCAGATTCTTCAGCTACAAAATGCAGATGACAGTACTTATTCCTCCAGGTTGTGGGGAAAATGGAGATTCTAAGCACGATGTCCATTTCACAGAAAGGTACCAATTTGGTGGCTTATTTTCCTTTCTACCTTCAGAAGTGGCTATCCCTGCCACCCAAACAGACCCTTGACTCTCAAGTGGACGGGGTCCCATTTGCACAGGGGGAGACCTTACAGCCTACGTTGAGTCTATACTTACCACTTAGTGAGCATTGTGTCCGCTCAGGGGCCTCTGTGGGCATCCGTCTCCTCTGCAGCATCTTTCCTCCCCACTGCTGGGTCTGCACATGACCCCCTCCTTGGGTTAGGCCTCTGATCAGTGATGACCTTGGTATGGTGGTGATGGTCAGTCTTGGCATCAAATGAGCCAGTTTATATCATCAGCTATTCAATAAAATACTAATCTAGGTGTCACCGTGAAAGTATTTTGTGACATTGTTATGTACGTGTTGTTACAAATGTGCATGATGCATTTACTACAGCATAGAATTTTGCCTGGGTGCCAGCCTGAAGTCTGTCCGACAGATCATAGCCATGTTAGTCCCACAGTCACAGGGGCCAATTGATTAAATTATTTTATCTCCCTTGAAAACTAAAAATAAAATCCTAAGCCCCCCACCCGACTTAACAGACCCCCTGTTGGCCAACGGAACCTCAAATAAATCTTAAAATTCAGTTCTTGGCCATGACAGGACAGGAGGTCAGACATACCTCCCTGTACCTCCCTCCCTCTTATGGTTTAGACCCCACAACTGAACAGCATTAATGTTAAAATAGAGATCATGAGACTGACAGAACAGACTCTTTGTGGCAATAAGACCTCAAATTATAAACAGGAGCTAGGGCCATGCCAGGCGAGCGTTAAGTCTTGTACCCTACTCTTAAAGAATTAACTAGATTCTAACTACCACGTGGGTTTTATTTTTCTCTAGCAACCAAGCAAGCACTGGCTGTGAGAGAAGCAAGATTAAAACAATTACAACTCACCCAGTTCACAGACGCTGAGTAACTGATCTCCTGCCCCACTAACCTTAATGACAGCTTTCTCTGGACAAGGGACTGATTTCAGTAACTTTCTCCTGATAAGAGACCATCCTCCATGGACTGGTTCTGGCCAGTTTTGGAGGCTGTGCCTGTACAGAGGCTGAGTACCTTCATGTCCCTGCTTCACTTTTTGATGTGTAGGGCCTAATTATAATACATTTAAATGTCAAGTCTCCACCCCAGAATGAACATGCATGTTTATGGAATATGCATGCATTAGGACCTCTTTTATGAGTATTCTCATAAAATGATATAGCTCCTCTGATATCCTATTGAGTATGTATATGTAGCCAATTCATTTGGCTCAAATTCCTGTCCTCTCCTTCCCTCCCTGGAAATGCCTGCCTCTGGCCTTGGCTGTAGGCCACACTTCCCAGCCTGTCATAATGGCCACCTTGCAGACTGCAAACCTATATAAGAAATAAAGCTCTCTTTTCTAAATTTATAAAATTGTGTGATTTTTCAGTTGATGCTCTCTTTCTACACACACACACACACACACACACACACACGCAATTTATACAGAAGGAAATCTGGAGAATATATGTGGGAATGGATATTAAGTGTGTGGCACCGTGGTGGAAGTAACATAAAGTTGGATTAGGCTAAATTTATTAATGTTGGCCCACTAAACAGAGATTCTGGACTCAGGGTTGTAGGTCAAAGCTTTAGAAAGGGCTCCAAGGGTTGGTTTGATCGGTTACTTGGTTGGTTGCTTGCTTGGTTGGTTGGTGCTTGCTTCCTTGCTTGGTTGTTTGGTTGGTTTGTTGCTTGCTTGCTTGTTGGTTGATTGGTTGGCTGTTTGCTTGTTTGGTGACTTGGTTGGTTGGCTGAAACAGAATCAGAGTTTACCTAAGGTACATAAAGTTGAGATGCCACAACTTCCTTGGTTTATGTGTACAGAAAGGTATGCAAAAACTCAGGGAGACTGGATTTATTATGTCAGACCTGCTCACTCACACTGGAGGGTCTACGGAACATACTCCTCACAACGATCATGAGAAAGAATATTGTGAGAGGAGCCCAGTATCCTGGAAGAGCTTTGAGCTTGTGCTCTCAGTAGGCAAAATGTTACAGCAGGAACTGCAGCCACTGGACTGGGATCTTTAAGTAAAATGAGGATAATTGAATCCTGGGGTGGCAGGGAACATGGGCTGTCCTTAATCACCAAAGATGAGGTGGGTGTGGTCACCACAGTGGAAAGCAGTGTCAAAGCAGCAGTCAGAATGGTTTGACTCACAGACACCCACGGCATTGTGTAGTCCATGGTATCCACAGGGAGAGCTAATGGGCTGTACCAAAGTCTTAGTTGTTCTTTAAAAAATGAAGAATTCTAGGTCAACTGAATAAAAGACTAACTCAAATTAATGAAACACAGATCTAAAACCCTCAATCAATTCCCAGACTTGAGCCAGTTCACAGGCCCACAACCCCTTAAGTGAAGGGGAGGCTGGGTGATCTTGGGGAAGTACGCTGCTACGTTGCCAAAAATTTACATTGTTAATCTTTTTCCCAGTCTTCCCCAAAGGGACTTACAGCCTTCTGCCAGGATGACTGTGACTTAAAGAAAAGAAAATTCTCAGATATTTGGGGAATTACTGGACACTGGCTCTCATTTGACACTATTATCACTATGTTGCCTAGGATGGATTCATGCTCCTGGGTTCAAGCAGTCCTCCTACCTCAGCCTCCCAAAGTGCTGGGATTACAGACATGAGCCACTGTGGCCAGCAGAGCTTTGAAACTAGAACATGGAGGTCCAGTGGTAAAGATTTGACAAGTCTGGGAAGAGATTGGGCCAAGGCAATGTTGATGATTCTTTTTTTTTTTTTTTTTTTTTTTTTTACAACAGAGTCTTGTTCTGTTGTCTAGGCTGGAGTGCAATGGCGCGATCTCGGCTCACTGCAACCTCTGCCTCCGGGGTCCAAGCAATTCTCCTGCCTCAGCCTCCTGAGTAGCTGGGATTACAGGTGCCCACCACCACACCAGGCTAATTTTTTATTTTTTTGTGTTTTTTGAGACAGAGTCTCACTCTATATCGCCCAGGCTGGAGTGCAGTGGCGCAATCTGGGCTCACTGCAAACCCCGCCTCTCAGGTTCATGCCATTCTTCTGCCTCAGCCTCACGAGTAGCTGGGACTACAGGTGCCTGCCACCGTGCCTGGCTAATTTTTTGTATTTTTAGTAGAGACGGGGTTTCATTTCACCATGTTAGCCAGGATGGTCTTGATCTCCTGACCTCATGATCTGCCCGCCTCGGCCTCCCAAAGTGCTGGGATTACAGGGATGAGCCACCATGCCCAGCCACACCAAGCTAATTTTTGTATTTCTTTTTTTAGTTGAGACAGGGTTTCACCATGTTGGCCAGGCTGGTCCCTGACCTTGTGATCCACCCGCCTCAGCTTCCCAAAGTGCTGAGATGACAGGCATGAGCCACCGTGCCTGGCCAATGTTGATGATTCTAAACAGCAGCCGTTAATGTGAAAACCATCCAACTGGAAGCCCTGGCCTTGCCCAGAGGACACAGTCTGGGTGGTGGGCAGAGACTTCAGCTGCCTTCCAAGGCAAGCAGCTCCTTGCTGCCCGCTTGCTGGGGATTTTACTTACAGGGCAGAAGCTGGCAGGTGATTTGGGGGCAGGAATTGCTTCCTGGATGGTATAGGATGAACCACACTCCCCAGGAAGGCACTCATCCTGGTGGCCTAACAGAAGCAGCCCTCACCCCAAAAGGCAATGCTGCTCCACTAGTTTTATGGGGTGACTCCTTCCTGTAGGTTCCTTCCAGCTTTACCAGAAACACAGAACATCTTTCCTGACAGGGCATTGGTTTTGTTTTTGAACAGAGAGATCCTTCTTTTAAAAAGTTAGTTTTTTGTTTTGTTTTGTTTTGTTTTTTGTAATGGAATCAACCTAGGTCCTAAGCCTAGCAGGTTGTTATTATTATTTTTATGATTATTTTTTGAGATGGAGTCCCACTCTGTGGTCCAGGCTGGAGGGCAGTGGCACGATCTCAGCTCACTGCAATGTCTGCCTCCTGGGTTCAAGAGATTCTCCTGCCTCAACCTACAGAGGAGCCAGGATTACAGGCATGCACCACCATGCCCGGCTAATTTTTGTACTTTTAGTAGAGATAGGGTTTTGCCATGTTGGCCAGGCTGATCTCAAACTCCTGACCTCAGGTGATCCACGCACCTCAGCCTCCCAAACTGCTGAGAATACAGGTGTGAGCTGCCATACCCAGCCACAGGTTATTTTTGCTGATCTTCTCCCTCCTCCCACCCTCAAAGAAAACGCGGTACATCTACACCATGGACTACTACGCAACCCTGAAAAGGAACAAAATCACGGTTGGTTTTTTTTTTTTTTTTTTTGCAGCAACATGGATGTAGCTGGAGGCCATTATCTTTTTTAATTATTTTTATTATTTTTTTTCTATTCTACTTTAAGTTCTGGGGTATATGTGCAGAATGTGCAGGATTGTTACATAGATATACATGTGCCATAGCGGTTTGCTGCACCCATCAACCCATCATCTACATTAGATATTTCTCATAATGCTGTCCCTTTCCCAGTCCCCCACCCCTGCAGTAGGCCCCAGTGTGTGATGTTCCCCTCTCTGGGTTGATGTGTTCTCATTGTTCACTTCCCACTTATGAGTGAGAACATGCACTGTTTGGTTTTCTGCTCCTGTGTCACTTTGCTGAACATGAGGGTTTCCAGCTTCATCCATGTCCCTGCAAAGGACATGAACTCATCTTTTTCATGGCTGCATAGTATTCCACAGTGTCTATGTGCTACATTTTCTTTATCCAGTCTATCACTGATGAGCATTTGGGTTGGTTCCACATCTTTGCTATTGTGAACAGTGTGGAGGCCATTATCTTAAGTAAATTAATAGAATGCTGCGTGTTCTCACTTATAAGTGGGAGCTAAATGTTGTGTATATGTAGACACAGAGAAGGGAACAGATATTGGGGTCTAGTTAGGGGGAGAGAGGAAGGTAGAAGGACAAGAGTTGAAAAAACCAACTGTGGGGTATTATGCTCACTACCTGGGTGATGGGATCACTCATACCCCAGACCTCAGCATCACACATCGTACCCATGTAAGAAACCTGTACATGTACCTCCTGAATCCAAACTGCTCCATCATTTGCACCAGCAATTCCAAGACTGGGCATCTACCCAAAGGAAAAGAAGTCATTCTACCAAAAAGACACATGCATGGTAAAGTTCCTTTTTTTTGTTTGTTTTTTGAGATGGAGTCTCGCTCTATTTCCCATGCTGGAGTGCAGTAGCAATCTCGGCTCACTGCAACCTCTGCCTCCAGGGTTCAAGTGATTCTCCTGCCTCAGCCTCTTGAGCAGCTGGGATTACAGGCATGCGCCACCATGCCTGGCTAATTTTTGTATTTTTAGTAGAGACAGGGTTTCACCATATTGACCAGGCTGGTCTCGAACTCCTGACCTCAGGTGATCTGCCCACCTTGGCCCTCCAGAGTGCTGGGATTACAGTGCCTGGCCCTGTAAGGTTCATCACAGCACGACTTACAATAGGAAAGTCATGGAATCAACCTAGTTGCCCATCAGTGGGGTACCGGATAAAGCAAAAGTGGTTCTTCTACAGCATCGAATACTACACAGCCATGAAAAAGAACAAAATCATGTCCTTTGCGGCCACATGGATGTAGCTGGAGGGCATTATGCTTAATGAATTAACACAAGAACAGAAAATCAAATACCACATGTTCTTGTCTGGATAAAGCAATTGTGGCCCTTCTACACCATGGAATACTGCACAGCCATGAAAAAGAATAAAATCATGTTTTTGCAGCCACGTGGACACAGCTGAAGGGAATTATGCTTAGTGAATTAACGCCAGGAAAAGAAAATCGAATACCACATGTTCTCCACTAGATAAAGCAAATGTGGTCTTTCTGCATCATGGAATACTACACAGCCACGAAAAAGAATAATGTCATGTCCTTTGCAGCCACATGGACACAGCTGAAGGACATTATGCTTAGTGAATTAATGCCAGGAACAGAAAATGAAATACTACATGTTCTCAACTGGATAAAGCAAATGTGGCCCTTCTACACCACGGAATACTACACAGTGATGAAAAAAATAAAATCATGTCTTTGCAGCCACATGGATGCAGCCAGAGGGCATTATGCTTAGTGAATCAATATGAGGAACAGAAAATCAAATACCACATGTTCTGCACTAGATAAAGCAAATGTGGTCCTTCTGCATCATGGAATACTACACAGCCATGAACAAGAATAAAATCATGCCCTTTGCAGCAACGTGGATGAAGCTGAAGGGCATTATGCTTAGTGAATTAACGCCAGGAACAGAAAATAAAACACCACATGTTTTTGCTTATAGGTGGGAGCTAAACATTGCCTGCACCTGGACACAATGAAGGGGCACCACAGACCCTCAGGACTAATAGAGTAGGAAGCAGGGGCGGGGGTACAAGGGTTGAAAAACTACCCTGAGATTCTTTGAATTTCAGGCAGAAGGCAGCAACTGGAGAGATCTTTGGGTCACGGATTTTTCTGTTGCATTTTCTTGCTTGTTTGTTTTCTATCTCTCTCTCTCTCTTTTTTTTTTTTCTTTTTTTTGAGATGGAGTCTCACTCTGTGACCCAGGCTGGAGTGCAGTGGTGCAATCTCGGCTCCCTGCAACTTCTGCCTCCTGGATTCAAGCAATTCTTCTACCTCAGCCTCCCAAGTAGCTGGGACTACAGGCACCTGCCACCACACCTGGCTAATTTTTGTATTTTTAGCAGAGACGGGGTTTCACCATGTTGGCCAGGCTGGTCTCGAACTCCTGACCTCAGGTGATCTGCCTGCCTTGGCCTCCCAAAGTGCTGGGATTACAGGCATGAGCCACTGCACCTGGCCCTCTTCTTATATATTTCTAGAACTCCTCTCGAATTTGGGGTTTGTTTTTCTTAATTACAAGGAATCAAGTTGAATCATTAGTGCATATATAAATATACATTTTATTTTAGTACACATTATATACCTCAGGAATGTACAATGCTCAGCGCCTGGGTGACGGGATTATTCATACCCCAAACCTCAGCATCGTACAATATCCCCAGGACACAAAGCTGCCCGTGGATCCCCTGAATCTATAATAATAATAATTAATAATAATAATAATAATAAATAAAAAGTGACTTTGTCATTCGCAGGGAAATGTGAATGACATTCACTCTGCCTCTCAGGCCCTTGGATTCCCAAAGTTTGTTTTCCTCACGCCCAGGGGACACTCAGAATGTCGTTTGCAGAACACGGGTTGTTTTTCTTAGAAACGCCTTGCAAAACAAAATAGGAAGCAAAATCTTTCTCACTCCTTCCACTCCATAATAGACAAAATAAAATGAGGGGGCAGGAATCCAGAGACTTTGACCACAGTTGGCAGATTTATTGTGGTACAGACATGAAGGCAAGCAGTGTTCTCTCTGATTCTACGAACCGTACAGCCCGGGCCAGCTGCCTTCTGCTTTCTGGATGGTGCAGGCGTGAGCTCCAAGCCCAAATTTCACTGGAGCTCCAAGAATCGAGCCTGGCCCAGGCACTCACTGCACGGGGGCCAAGCGTGAAACCAGTGATCGCTCCAGCAAGGTAACAGGACAGCTTGGTGATCCTTCTTGCCGGCCACAAAAGGTTATAGCCAGAATTCCACCGAATGTGGTCTTTCTGTGTCTCTCCCCAGATAGTGAAGCTGCACAAACCTGGGGGTGGGGGGTGGGGGGTGCTGACCTCAGTGGGGTGTCCTGGAGAGGCAGGAACCAGAGTTTACAGGGTGCAGATCCTACTGAAGCAAATGGACGTGGCATCCGTGGGCAGAGCTGGCTGTGGCTGGCCTTCCAGCCTGGATGTCTCCCCCCCCCCCGCCTGGGGTGTCACCAAATGCACCCAGAGACCCCTTCTAAACCTGGGGGGATGTGCTGACCTCAGTGGGGTTTCCTGGAGAGGCAGGAAGCTGGGTTTCCAGGGTACATATCCTACTGAAGCAAATGGACGTGGCATCCTTGGGCAGAGCTGGCTGTGGCTGGCCTTCCAGCCTGGACGTCTCCCCCACTGCCTGGGGTGTCACCAAATGCACCCAGAGACCTCTCTTCTGAAAGCCCATTCATGGGAAGCCTCCAGGTCTCCTCAGCAGGCAGCATCACGTCTGATTTCACTGCGTTATCAGGTAATGCAGGCCTGTTCTACCTGTGTGCGTGAGCGCGTGTGTGCCGTGTGGGAGTGTGTGTGTTGATGTGGGTGTGGGTGTGTGCTTGTGTGGCTGTGTGTGTGTGCCTGTTTATGTGATGATGAGTGTGTCTGTGAGTCTGTAAGACAACGTGTGTTTCCATGCGTGTTTCTGTGTGAGCGTGCATTCCTGTGTTTTATGGAAGTGTGTTTTTGTGATGGTGTTTTTGTGTGCACCTGCGTTTATCGTATTTGTGTGTTTGTGAATATGAGTGTATGTGTGTGAATCTGTATGGCAATGTAGAAATTCTTTTTTTTTTTTTTTTGAGACGGAGTCTCGCTCTGTCACCCATACTGGAGTGCAAAGGCTCAATCTCAGCTCACAGCAACCTCCACCTCCCGGGTTCAAACGATTCTTCTGCCTCAGCCTCCTGAGTACCTGGGATTACAGACACCCACCGCCACATCTGGCTAATTTTTCTTTTTTGATATGGAGTCTCGTTCTGTCACCCAGGCTGGAGTGCAGTGGCGTGATCTTGGCTCACTGCAACCTCTGCCTCCCAGGTTCAAATGATTCTCCTGCCTCAGCCTCCTGAGTAGCTGGGATTACAGGCATAAGCCACCACATCTGGCTAATTTTTGTATTTTTGAGTAGAGATGGGGTTTCACCATGTTGGCCAGGCTGGTCTGGAACTCCCGACCTCAAGTTATCTGCCCGCCTCGGCCTCCCAAAGTTCTGGGAGTACAGGCGTGAGCCACCTTGCCCGGCCCCAGTGTGTGAATTTTTATGTTTGTGTGTCTACATGATTATGTGAGTCTTTTTGTGACTGTGTTTCCATGAGTGTGTGACTGTATTTATGTGTTTGTGTGTGCTTGTGTGATTCTGAGTGTGTCTATGAGTGTGTATGACATATGTGAGTGTCTGTGTGGGTGAGTAGCCATCCACGTGTTTATATGAGAGTGTTTTCATGATTCTGTTTATGAGTGACTTTGTATGTATACGTGTTTGTGTGCTTTGTGAGAATGTCAATGTGCATGTGCACCCACGTGTGCAAAAAACCCACACATTTTTGTAATTGTGTTTGTGTGTGTGTCCCTGCATTTGTGTGAGTGTGCATGTCTTCGTGTGTCCATGTGTTTCTATGAGTGTGTTTTGTGATTCTGTCTGTCTTTGTGTTGATGTGTGTTTGTGTAAGTGTGTGGTTGCATTTGTGTCAGTGATTCTGGAGCAGGTGAGCTGATCACAAGTCTGAGCCGAGAATCCATGGAGCTCATTTACAACAGAAGCCGGGACCCTGTGCAAATCCTTCTGAAATATCCCCGGTTTACAGAGCTCCTAGGGGTGGGGAAGAAAAATTCCCTGACTTTTCGGCCTCAGGGAAAGAGAGAGACACCCCGCTGGCCGTACACCTCTGCTGTTTCTCAGAAAACAGGTGGGGTATCACTCTTTCCTAAATGACGGTGATTTTAAGAACGGTTCACCTTTTGAAGAGACGTTTCTGCCCTGGCGATCCATACATATTGAACCCAAATGAATATTTTTTAATTAAAAATTTTTATATAAATATACATTGTGCATACTTTATATTAATATATTGATATAAATATATTTTAATATAAACATGATTTTTATAGTTCATATAAATAAAGTTATATATAGTGTATATGTAAAATATACTTTTATTTGTGATACATAATTTTATAGATTAAATTTTATATACTAAGCAAAGTTACATGTGATATATACATGCCATATAACATCATTTATATAATATATCTTTATGTAAATAAGTATATAATAAAATTGATCTTATATTTGTTAATACATAATTATGTATATATACTATGTAAAAATAAAATTATATATTGTATGTGCATAATTATATTTCTATAAATACACGCTTATGTGTGTATTTATACATGAATGCCTGTGTTTGTGTGAGTACATCAGTGAGTGTGTGAATGTGTGTGCATGTGTGCCTGTGTTTGTGTGAGTGTAAGAGTGTTGTACATTTATACACTCACATTTTGTTTTCTGGTTAATAACAAGATCTATCTTTGATTTAGGATATGAAGAATTCTTATAAGCAACCCCCCACACAAAATTTGTATTTATTTTAAAATATTCTTAAAATATGGGTTCTTTTATTTTTGCACAAACAGACAAGAGTGTTTTTTCTTTCCAAAACTTTTATTTCAAATTCTGACCCTGAGGAGCAGAAAAAGAAGAAAACATTGTGTAACCTTATATACATTAGAAACATAAGTAGTTACTAAATGCAATACAGATTTTGACAACATGCATTTAGGAAAAATGAGGAATTCAAACTCGTAGCTGCCTCAATATTGAACTTTCTAAAGTTTAATTTTTTTTAATTAAAAAATATTCATTTGGGTTCAATATGTATGGATCTCCAGGGCAGAAATGTCTCTCCAAAAAGTGAACCACTCTGAAAATCACCGTCATTTGGGAAAGGGTGATGCCCCAGCTGTCTTCTGAAAAATAGCAGAGGCTTCCGGCCAGTGGGGTGTCTCTCTCTTTCCCTGAGGCCGAAATGTCAGGGAATTTTTCTTCCCCACCCCTAGGAGCCCAGTAAATGCAGAATATTTCAGAAGGATTTGCACAGGGTCCCGGCTTCTGCTATTTATGAGCTCCATGGATTCTTGGCTCAGGCTTGTGATCAGCTCACCTGCTCCAGAATCACTTCCCATCTTAGCTTCTGGGCTAAGACACCTCAAAACCAGCAAAGGAAAGTCCTCACTGGTCAACGCGTCCATCCCAACTCCCCCATCTCCCCTTAGGGTGGGTTTGGGGTTCGGGACTGCTTTACTGTTCCTTTCAAAGCAGACTGGGAGGTAAGATTTTATTCTGCTTCCAGAGGTTCAGGATTTCTGCAGACGGTCAGCAACTCTTTGCATCCTACTGGTAAAAGTTTTATATACTTTGTATTTATAGAAATACGCATTGTGTATATTTTATATGAATAGATTGATATAAATTATTTTAGTAACTTAACCATATGACTTTTATATTTTTATATAAATAAAGTTATATGTAGTGTATATGTAAAATACTTTTATTTCTAATACATAATTTTATAGATTAAATTTAATATATTAAGCAAAAATATATGTAACATATATAACATATAACATCATTTCTATAATATATAACTTAATGTAAATAAGTATATAAAATTGATATTATATTTGTTAATACATAATTATACATATATACTGTGTAAAAATAAAATTACATATTGTATATGCATAATTATATTTCTATAAGTACAATTATATACTATGTATAATTATGTATAAAATAATTGTATAATAAAATTATATAATAAATTTTGAAACGTTATAAATTATTATACATAGTATTTTATTGTATTAAATTTAGAAATGTGTTATATGTAATAAAATTTTATTATAATAAATGTAGATTATATAAAATCTTATTTATAATAAATTACCTTATGTATAATTATAATATGAGAAAATAATTACATATCATTGTATTATAATAAATTTAGAGATGTTATACATTATTACATATAAAATTTCATTATATTAAATTTAGAAATATATGTAATAAAATGGTATTATGTTAAAATTTTTATGTAACATTTTATTATACATGTATAATTTTATATAATGTTTTATAATATATAGAATATAAGTACACAGAATATAAGTACAAAAATATTTATATACAGCTACACGTAATATAAATACATCAGTGTAAGATGTTTTGTGTGTGTGAGATGGAGTCTCGCTCTGTTGCCCAGGCTGGAGTGCAGCAACACGATCTCGTCTCACTGCAACCTCTGCCTCCTGGGTTCAAGCGATTCTCCTGCCTCAGCCTCCCGAGTAGCTGGGATTACAGGCATGCACCACCACACCCAATCAATTTTTGTATTTTTAGTAGAGATGGGGTTTCACTGTGTTAGCCAGGATGGTCTCAAACTCCTGACCTCAGGTGATCCACCCGCCTCGGCCTCCCAAAGTGCTGGGATTACAGGCATGAGCCACAGTGTAAGATACTAGCTATTAAAAAATAAATATATATATATACTGCAACAGCTGATTTGTCTGGAAGAGTTTGGTCAGAAGACAGTGTATTAAGAAGACTGTGAGTTCCCAGAGGAATATAAGAATATACATCATGTTGATATATTATATATAACATAAATAGCTAACTACATCTGTGTATATAGTATAAACAAAAGTACAAAAATATTTGTATATAACTATATGTAATATAAATATATCAGTGTAAGATATTAGCTATTAAAATATATATATATATAGAGAGAGAGAGAGCAACCGGTGATTTGTCTGGAATATTCTAGTCAGAAGACAGTGTATTAAGAAGACAGTGAGTCCCCAGGAGAATACAAGAATGTGCATCATGTTAATATATTATATATAACATAAATACCTAACAACATCTGTATATATAGTATAAACTTAAAGTACAAAAATATTAGTATATTACTATATGTAATATAAATATATCAGTGTAAGATATTAGCTATTAAAATATACATATGTGTGTATGTATGTGTATATGTGTATATAAATATTATATATATATATAGTAACCGCTGATTTGTGTGGAAGACTTTGGTCAGAAGACAGTGTATTAAGAAGACAGTGGGTCCTCACAGGAAAATAAGAATATACATCATGTTTATATTATATATAACATAAACAACTAATTACATCTGTATATACAGCATAAACATAAAGTACAAAAATATTTGTATATAATCGTATGTAATATAAATATACCAGTGTAAGATATTAGCTATTAAAATATACATGTGTGTATGTATGTGTATATGTGTACATATAATATATATACATATATAACATATATAATATATAAGATATAGCATAATAATATAATATATTATATATAATATGTAATATGTAACATATATTATATAATTAATATATTCTATGCTATATAATATATAATATATTCTATGCAATAAAATATATAGCATATATATATATATAGCAACAGCTGATTTGTCTGGAAGAATTTGGTCAGAAGACAGTGTATTAAGAAGACAGTGAGTCCCCAGAGAAATATAAGAATATACATCATGTTTATATTATATATAACATAAATAGCTAACTACATCTGTATATATAGCATAAACATAAAGCACAAAATTATTTATATATAATATAAATATATCAGTGTAAGATATTAGCTATTAAAAAATATATATATATAGCAACCGGTGATTTGTCTGGAAGACTGGTCAGAAGACAGTGTATTAGGAAGACAGGCAGTCTCCGCAGGAAGCATGGTGCAGGTGGGATCTGGAGGTGACTCTGGGCTGCCAGAAGACGCCCCACTGCTTTGCGGCAGACACAGGTGGAGAGGTCCTCTCTGTAGCTTCAGCATGGACAGTGTGTGTGTCTTGCTGTGGGAACACTTCTTTCTGCTTCCCTCTCCACTGTGACCCCATCACACTCACTGACCTGCCCTCCTCCTTCCTCTCGCTCTCCGGGGCCCCTGTGGAAAGAGGGTCTTCCCTCCGTGCAGCAGGAACCCCCAGGACCATCCCCATGCTCCTGGGTTCTGAACTTCAGGGACATATGATCCTACCTGACCGGGCACAGGCTCTGTTCACCCTCAGGAACCCCTGTCCTCCCAGGCCACCGTGGACTGGAGAACTGGCCTCCTGAAAATCCAGAGAGAACTTAGCACTCACAACTTCTTTCTTTTTTTCTTTTTTCTTTGAGACTGGATCTTGCTCTTTTCCCCAGGCTGGAGTGCAATGGCATGATCTCAGCTCACTGCAACCTCCTCCTCCCAGGTTCAAGCAGTTCATCCTGCCTCTGTCTCCCGAGTATCTGGGATCACAGTCATCCACCCCCGCGGCCAACTAATTTCTGTATTTTTAGTAGAGACGGGGTTTCACCATGTTGGCCAGGCTGGTCTCGAACTCTTGACCTCAAGTGATCCACCCGCCTCGGCCTCCCAAAGTACTGGGATGACATATATTAGCATGATGTATATTCTTCTATTCCTCCGGGGACTCACTGTCTTCTTGGGCAGTAAACCACTGTGCCCGGACTTCTCTGTCCACATCTGCACACATCTAAACCTCTGTAGATTCTGAATTGTTTTTCCTTTTGCACAGAATGAGAGGAACTGAAGTCGGGAGGCCCAGCCCCAACACGGTCCCTGTGGCTCTGTGCTCAGGTGGTTTATGGCTGAGAAGGACTTGGGGGGTTGAGGGCTTCCTATCAGCCCAGGAGACATTACCTGGGTCTGGGAAGCCTGCTCTGCACTTGTGGGTCTCGAATTGTCTGTTGCATTTACCTGCCTCATTATTTTTTCTTCCTGTCTCTCTTCTTACATATTTCTTTCGAATTTGGAGCTTGTTTTTCTTAACTACAATCAACTTGAATCATTACTGCATATATAAATATAAATTTTATATTGAGTAGACATTATATACTCAATCTACTACACATTCCAACACGGGCCATATCTAAGACGAATATTTATATTTAATGTTTAAAATATGTTTACATTTCATATAGAAAAATATATTTATATTTAATATATATGTGTATATTTAATACAGGAAATATATATTTATATTTAACATATAAAAATATATGTTTATATTTAATATGGGAAATATATGCTTTGTTTAATATACATAATACATGTTGATATTTAATATAGAAAAGGTATAGTTATATTTACTATGCAAAATACATGTTTATATTTAATATAGAAAATATGTTTATATTTAATGTACAGGATACATATTTACATTTAATATAGAAAATACATATTTATATTTAACATACACAGTATTTATATTTAATGTATAAAATATGTTTACATTTAATGTGCTGAATATATGCTTATATTTAATGTCTAAAATGTCTATATTTAATGTACTGTATACATTAAATGTACCAAATGTATTCTTATATTTAATGTATAAAAGAAGTTTATATTTAACATATAAGATATGTTTACATTTAATGTATAAAATGTTTATGTTTGATGTATAAAAGATGTTTATATTTAACGTATACAATTTATATTTAATGTACCAAATATATTATTATATTTAATGTCCAAGCCAGCCAAGCCAGTCAGCCAAGCCAGCTAAGCCACCCACCCAGCCAAGCCAGCCAAGTGAGTCAGCTAGCCAGCCAGCCAAGCCAGCCAAACCAGCCAAGCCAGTCAGCCAGCCAAGCCAGCCAAGCCAGCCAGCCAGCCAAGCCAGCCAAGCCAGCCAAGCAAGCCAGCCAGCCAAGCCAGCCAGCCAGCCCAGGAGCCCCAGCCAGCCAGCCAACCCAAACAGCCAAGCCAGCCAAGCCAGCCAGCCAGCCAAGCCAGCCAAGGCAGCCAAGCCAGCCAAGCCAGCCAGGCAGCCAAGCAAACCAAGCCAGCCAGCCAGACAAGGCAGCCAAGCCAGCAGGCCAAGCGAGCCAAGCCAAGCCAGCCAAGCCAGCCAGTTAGCCAGCCAAGCCAGCCAAGCCAGCCAGCCAGCCAAGCCAGCCCAGCCAGCCAGCCAGCCAGCCGAGCCGGCCAAGCCAGACAGCGAGCCCAGCCAGCCCAGCCAGTCAGCCAGCCAAACCAGCCAGCCAGCCAAGCCAGCCAGCCACCCAGCCAAGCCAGCCACCCAGCAAAGCCAGCCAAGAGACCCAAGCCAGCCAGCAAAGCTGGCCAAACCAGCCAAGCCAGTCAGCCAAGCCAGCCAAGCCGGCCACCCAGCCAAGCCAGACAAGCCAGCCAACCAGCCAGACAGCCCAGCCAGACAGCCAGCCCAGGCAGCCAAGAGACCCAAGCCAGCCAGCGAAGCTGGCCAACCCAGCCAAGCCAGTCAGCCAAGTCAGCCAAGCCGGCCACCCAGCCAAGCCAGCCAAGCCAGCCAAGCCAGTCAGCCAGCCAGCCAGCCAAGCCAGCCAAGCCAGTCAGCCAGCCAGCCAGCCAAGCCAGCCAAGCCTCCCAGCCAGCCAAACCAGCCAAGCCACCCAGCCAGCCAAGCCAGCCAAGCCACCTAGCCAGCCAGGCCCGCCAGCCAGCCAGCCAGCGAGCCAAGCCAGCCAAGCCAGCCAGCCTGCCAAGCCAGCCGGCCAGCCAAGCTAGCCAATCCACTCAGCCACTCAAGCCAGCCAAGTCACCCGGCCATCCAAGCCAGCCAAGCCAGTCAGCCAGCCCAGACAGCCAAGCCAGCCAAGCCAGCCAAGCCCGCCAACCAGCCAAGACAGGCATGCTAGCCAAGCCAGCCAGGCAGCGAAGCCAGCCAAGCCAGCCAGCAAGCAAAGCCAGGCATGTCAGCCAAGCCAGCCAGGCAGCCAAGCCAGCAAAGCCAGCCAAGCCAGCCAGCCAGCCAAGCCAGGCATGCCAGCCAAGCCATCCAGCCAGCTAAGCCAGCCGGCTAGCCAAGCCAGCCAAGCCACCCGGCCAGCCAAGCCAGCCAGCCAAGCCAGCCAAGCCTGCCAAGCCAGCCAACCAGCCAAGCCAGCCAGCTAGCCAAGCCACCCAGTCAGCCAGCTAGCCAAACCAGCCAAGCCACCCAGCCAGCCAAGCCACCCAGCCAGCCAAGCCAGCCAAGCCACCCGGCCATCCAAGCCAGCCAAGCCAGTCAGCCCAGACAGCCAAGCCAGCCAAGCCAGCCAAGCCCGCCAACCAGCCAAGACAGGCATGCTAGCCAAGCCAGCCAGGCAGCGAAGCCAGCCAAGCCAGCCAGCAAGGAAAGCCAGGCATGTCAGCCAAGCCAGCCAGGCAGCCAAGCCAGCCAAGCCAGCCAAGCCAGCCAGCCAGCCAAGCCAGGCATGCCAGCCAAGCCATCCAGCCAGCTAAGCCAGCCGGCTAGCCAAGCCAGCCAAGCCACCCGGCCAGCCAAGCCAGCCAGCCAAGCCTGCCAAGCCAGCCAACCAGCCAAGCCAGCCAGCTAGCCAAGCCACCCAGTCAGCCAGCTAGCCAAACCAGCCAAGCCACCCAGCCAGCCAAGCCACCCAGCCAGCCAAGCCAGCCAAGCCACCCGGCCATCCAAGCCAGCCAAGCCAGTCAGCCAGCCCAGACAGCCAAGCCAGCCAAGCCAGCCAAGCCCGCCAACCAGCCAAGACAGGCATGCTAGCCAAGCCAGCCGGGCAGCCAAGCCAGCCAGGCAGCGAAGCCAGCCAAGCCAGCCAGCAAGCAAAGCCAGGCATGCCAGCCAAGCCAGCCAACCAGCCAAGCCAGCCAGCTAGCCAAGCCACCCAGCCAGCCAGCCAGCCAAACCAGCCAAGCCACCCAGCCAGCCAAGCCACCCAGCCAGCCAAGCCAGCCAAGCCAATCAGCCAGCCAGGCAGCCAGCCACCCAGCCAGCCAAGCCAGCCAAGCCAGCCAAGCCAATCAGCCAGCCAGGCAGCCAGCCACCCAGCCAGCCAAGCCAGCCAAGCCACCTAGCCAGCCAGGCCCGCCAGCCAGCCAGCCAGGCAGCCAAGCCAGCCAAGCCAGTGAAGCCCGCCAGCCAGCCAAGACAGGCATGCCAGCCAAGCCAGCCAGGCAGCCAAGCCAGCCAAGCCAGCCAGCCAGCCAAGCCAGGCATGCCAGCCAAGCCATCCAGCCAGCTAAGCCAGCCGGCTAGCCAAGCCAGCCAAGCCACCCGGCCAGCCAAGCCAGCCAGCCAAGCCAGCCAAGCCAGCCAACCAGCCAAGCCAGCCAGCTAGCCAAGCCACCCAGCCAGCCAGCCAGCCAAACCAGCCAAGCCACCCAGCCAGCCAAGCCACCCAGCCAGCCAAGCCAGCCAAGCCAATCAGCCAGCCAGGCAGCCAGCCACCCAAGCCAGCCAAGCCAGCCAAGCCAGCCAAGCCACCTAGCCAGCCAGGCCCGCCAGCCAGCCAGCCAGGCCCGCCAGCCAGCCAGCCAGGCAGCCAAGCCAGCCAAGCCAGTCAAGCCCGCCAGCCAGCCAAGACAGGCATGCCAGCCAAGCCAGCCAGGCAGCCAAGCCAGCCAAGCCAGCCAGCCAGCCAAGCCAGGCATGCCAGCCAAGCCATCCAGCTAGCTAAGCCCGCTGGCTAGCCAAGCCAGCCAAGCCACCCGGCCGGCCAAGCCAGCCAAGCCAGCCAACCAGCCAAGCCAGCCAGCTAGCCAAGCCACCCAGCCAGCCAGCCAGCCAAACCAGCCAAGCCACCCAGCCAGCCAAGCCACCCAGCCAGCCAAGCCAGCCAAGACAGCCAGGCAGCCAGCCACCCAAGCCAGCCAAGCCAGCCAAGCCGGCCAAACCAGCCAACCAGCCAAGCCAGCCAGCCATCCAAGCCAGCCAAGACAGCCAGCCAGCCAAGCCAGTCAAGCCAGCCATACAGCCAAGCCAGCCAAGCCAGGCAAGCCACCCAGCCAGCCAAGCCATCTAGCCATCAAGCCAGTCAGGCCAGCCAGCCAGCCTGCCAAGCCGGCCACCCACCAAGCCAGCCAGCCATCCACGCCAGCCAAGCCAGTTAGCCAGCCAGCCAAGCCACCCAGCCAGCCAAGCCAGCCAAGCCACACAGCCAGCCAAGCCACCCAGCCAGCCAAGACAGCCAAGCCACACAGCCAGCCAAGCCATCCAGCCAGCCAAGACAGCCAAGCCAGCCAAGCCATCCAGCCAGCCACGCAAGCCAAGCCAGCCAGCCAGCCAAGCAATCCGTGCCAGCCAAGCCATCCAGCCAGCCAAGCGAGGTGTCCGGCCAAGCCACCCCACCAGCCAAGCCAGCCAGCCAGCCAGCCAGCCAGCCAAGCCACCCAGCCAACTAAGCCAGCCAAACCACCCAGCCAGGCATGCCAGCCAAGCCACCCAGCCAGCCAAGCCTGTCAGCCAGCGAACCAGCCAAGCCAGCCATGCCAGCCAGCCAGCCAAGCCATACAAGCCAGCCAGCCAGCCATGCCAGGACGAGACTCCATCTCAAAAAAAATAAAAAAAAAACAGCCTGGCCAACATGATGAAACCCCGTCTCTACTAAATGTATAAAAAATTATCTAGGCGTGGTGGCACACGCCAGTAATCCCAGCTACTCGGGAGGCCCAGGCAGGAGGATCGCTTTAACCAGGGAGGTGGAGGTTGAAGCGAACCAAGATTGCACCACCTCATTCCAGCCTGGGCAACAGGGTGAGACTCAATCTCAGAAAAAGAAAAAAAAAAAGGCCAGCCTGGCCAACACGGTGAAACCCCATCTCTACTAAATATGAAAAGAAATTAGCTGGGCGTGGTGGCACATGAATGTAATCCCAGCTACTCGGGAGGCCCAGGCAGGAGGATAGCTTGAACCCTGGGGGTGGAGGCTACAGCGAGCCAAGATTGCACCACTGCACTCCAGCCTGGGCAACAGGGCGAGACTCCATCTCAGAAAAAATAAAATAAAATAGACCAGCCTGGCCAACAGGGTGAAACCCCATCTCTACAAAATATACAGAAAAATTAGCTGGGGGTGGTGGCACACACCTGTAATCCCAGCTACTCGGGAGGCCCAGGAAGGAGGATCGCTTGAATCAGGGAGGTGGAGGCTGCAGCGAGCCAAGATTGCACCACTGCACTCCAGCCTGGGCAACAGAGTGAGACTCCATCTGAAAAAACAGAAGCATTCCAGCCTGGCCAATAGAGCGAGACTCCATCTCAAAAAAAAAAAAAAAAAAAAAAAAAACACCAGCCTGGCCAACATGGTGAAACCCCGTCTCTTCTAAATATACAAAAAAAATAGGGCCAGGCGTGGTGGCTCATGCCTGTAATCCCAGCACCTTGGGAGGCCGAGGTGGGTGGATCACGAGGTCATGAGATCGAGACCAGCCTGACCAACATGGTGAAACCCCGTCTCTACTAAAAATAGAAAAATTAGCTGGATGTGGTGGCACATGCCTGTAATCCCTGCTACTCCGGAGGCTGAGGCAGGAGAATTGCTTGAACCTAGGAAGCGGAGGTTGCAGTGAGCCGAGATGGCGCCACTGTACTCCACGGTGGTGTCAGAGTGATACTACATCTCAAAAAAAAAAAAAATAGCTGGGTTTGATGGCACACACCTGTAATACCAGGTACTCGGGAGGCCCAGGCAGGATGATCACTTGAACCCGGGAGGGGGTGGTTGCCGTGAACCAAGATTGTACCACTGCACTCCAGCCTGGGCAACAGGGCGAGACTCCATCTCAGGAAAAAAAAAAAAAAAAGACCAGCCTGGCCAACATGGTGAAACCCCGTCTCTACTAAATATAAAAAAAATTACCTGGATGTGGTGGCACATGCCTGTGATCCCAGCTGCTCGGGAGGCCCAGGAAGGAGGATCGCTTGAACCTGGGAGGTGGAGGCTGCAGCGAGCCAAGATTGCACCACTGCACTCCACCCTGGATAACAGAATTAGACTCTATATGAAAAAAAAGAAGAACTCCAGCCAGGGCAATAGAGTGAGACTCCATCTCAAAAAAAAAAAAAAAAAAAAAAAAAGACCAGCCTGGCCAACATGGTGAAACCCCGTCTCTACTAAATACACAAAAAAATTAGCTGTGCGTGGTGGCACACGCCTGTAATCCCAGCTACTCGGGAGGCCTAGGCAGGAGGATCGCTTGAACCCGGGAGGTGGAGGTTGCAGCGAACCAAGATTGCACCACTGCACTCCAGCCTGGGCAACAGAGCGAGACTCCATCTCAGGAAAAAAAAAAAATATCAGCCTGGCTAACATGGTGAAACCCCGTCTCTACTAAATATACAAAAAAAATTAGCTGGGCGTGGTGGCACACGCCTGTAATCCCAGCTACCCGGGAGGCCCAGGCAAGAAGATCTCTTGAACCCAGAAGGTATATGCTGCAGCGAGCCAAGATTGTCCCACCGCACTTCCGCCTGGGCAACAGAGCGAGACTCCGTCTCAGAAAAAAAAAAAAAAAAAAAAAACAAGAACAGGTTGGCCAACATGGTAAAACCATGTCTCTACTAAATATACAAAAAAATTAGTTAGGCATGGTGGCACACGCCTGTAATCCCAGCTACTCGGAAGGCCCAGGCAGGAGGATCGCTTGAACCCGGGAGGTGGAGGCTGCAGCAAACCAAGATTACACCACTGCACTCCAGCCTGGGCAACAGGGCGAGACTCCATCTCAGAAAAAAAAAAAAAGACCAGCCTGGCCAACATGGTGACACCCCGTCTCTAGTAAATATATAAAAAAATTAGCTGGGCATGGTGGCACACGGCTGTAATCCCAGCTACTCGGGAGCCCCAGGCAGTAGGATCGCTTGAACCTGGGAGGTGGAGGCTGCAGCGAGCCAAGATAGCACCACTGAACTCCAGCCTGGGCAACAGGGTGAGACTCCATCTCAGAAAAGAGAGAAAAAAATTAAAAAAAGACCAGCTTGGCCGACATGGTGAAACCTCATCTCTACTAAAAATACAAAAGTATTAGCTGGCCGTGGTGGCACACGCCTGTAATCCCAGCTACTCGGGAGGCCCAGGAAGGAGGATTGCTTGAACCTGGGAGTTTGAGGCTGCAGCGAGCCAAAATTGCACCACTGCACTCCACCCGAGTGAGACTCCATCTGAAAAAAAGAACTCCAGCCACGGCAATATAGCGAGACTCAACCTCAAAAAAAAAAAAAAAAAAAAAAAAAACACCAGCCTGGCCAATATGGTGAACCCCGTGTCTACTAAATATACAAAAAAATTAGCTGGGTGTCACGGCACACGCCTGTAATACCAGCTACTTGGTAGGCACAGGCAGGAGGATCGCTTGAACCCGGGAGGTAGAGGCTGCAGTGAGCCAAGATTGCACCACTGCACTCCAGCCTGGGCAACAGGGTGAGACTCCATCTCAGAAAAAAAAAAAAAACAAAAAGAGCAGCCTGGCCAACATGGTGAAACCCCGTCAATACTAAATATACAAAGAAATTAGCTGTGCATGGTGGCACACGAATGTAATCCCACATACTCGGGATGCCCAGGAAGGAGGATCGCTTAAACCCGGGAGGTGGAGGCTGCAGCGAGCCAAGATTGCACCACTGCACTCGAGCCAGGGCAACAGGGCCAGACTCCATCTCAAAAAAAAAAAAAAAGACCAGCCTGGGCAACATGGTGAAACCCCATCTCTACTAAATATACAAAAAAATTGCTGGGCGTATTGCTACACACCTGTAATCCCCGCTACTTGGGAGGCCCAGACAAGAGGATCACTTGATCCCGGGAGGTGGAGGCTGCAGCGAGCCAAGATTGTACCACAGCACTTCAGCCTGGGCAACAGAGCGACACTCCATCTCAGAAAAAAAAAAAAAAAAAAAAAAGAACAGGTTGGCCAACATGGTGAAACCCCATCTCTACTAAATATACAAAATAATTAGCTGGGCGTGGTGACACACACCTGTAATCCCAGGCAGGAGGATTGCTTGAACCTGGGAGGTGGAGGCTGCAGCCAGCCAGGATTGCACCACTGCACTCCACCCTGGGCAAAATGTGAGACTCCATCTGAAAAAAAAGAAGCATTCCAGCCCGGGCAATATAGCGAGACTCCAACTCGAAAAAAAAAAAGACCAGCTGGCCGACATGGTGAAACCCCATCTCTACTAAATATACAAAAATATTAGCTGGGCGTGGTGGCACATGCCTGTAATCCCAGCTACTCGGGAGGCCCAGGAAGGAGGATCGCTTGAACCCGGGAGGTAGAGGCTGCAGCGGAGCCAAGATTGCACCACTGCGCTCCATCCTGGGCAACAGAGTGAGACTCTATATGAAAAAAAAGCACTCCAGCCTGGGCAATAGAGCGAGACTCCATCTCAGAAAAAAAAAAAAAAAGAAAGACCAGCCTTGCCAACATGGTGAAACCCCGTCTCTACTAAATATACAAAAAAATTAGCTGGGCGTCATGGCACACGCCTGTAATCCCAGCTACTCGGTAGGCCCAGGCTGGAGGAATGCTTGAACCCGGGAGGTGGAGGTTGCAGCAAACCAAGATTGCACCTCTGAACGCCTGCCTGAGCAACAGGGTGAGATTCAATCTCAGAAAAAAAAAAAAAAAAAAAAAAAAGAGCAGCCTGGCCAACATGGTGAAAACCCATCAATACTAAATATACAAAGAAATTAGCTGAGCATGGTGGCACACGAATATAATCCCAGCTACTCGGGAGGCCCAGGTAGGAGGATCCCTTGAACCCGGGAGGTGGAGGCTGCAGCGAGCCAAGATTGCACCACTGCACTCCAGCCTGGGCAACAGGGCGAGACTCCATCTCAAAACAACAACAACAACAACAACAACAACAACAAAAAACAGCCTGCCCAACATGGTGAAACCCCGTCTCTACTAAATATACAAAGAAATTAGCTGGGCGTCATGGCACACGAATGTAATCCCAGCTACTCGGGAGTCCCAGACAGGAGGATCGCTTGAACCTGGGAGTTGGAGGCTACAGCGAGCCAAGATTGCACCACTGCACTCTGCTCTGGGTAACAGAGTAAGAGTCCATCTGAAAAAAAAGAAGCACTCCAGCCTGGGCAACAGAGAGAGACTCCATCTCAGAAAAAAAAAAAAAAAAAAAAAAAAAAAAAAGACCAGGTTGGCCAACATGGTGAAATCCCGTCTCTACTAAATATACAAAAAAAATTAGCTGGACGTGGTGGCACAGGCTTCTAATCCCAGCTACTGGGGAGGCCCAGGCAGGAGGATCACTTGAACCTGGGAGGTGGAGGCTGCAGCGAGCCAAGATTGCACCACTGCACTCTGGCCTGGGCAACAGAGTGAGAGTCCATCTGAAAAAAAAGAAGCACTCCAGTCTGGTCAACAGAGCGAGACTCCATCTCAGAAAAAAAAAAAAAAAAAAAAAAGACCAGGTTGGCCGACATGGTGAAACCCCGTCTCTACTAAATACACAAAAAAATTAGCTGGGCGTGGTGGCACATGCCTGTAATCCCAGCTACTCGAGAGGCCCAGGCAGGAGGATCGCTTGAACCTGGGAGGTGGAGGCTGCAGCGAGCCAAGACTGCACCACTGCACTCCGGCCTGTGCAACAAAGTGAGACTCCATCTGAAAAAAAAAGAAACACTCCAGCCTGGGCAATATAGCAAGACTCCATCTCAAAAAAAAAAAAAAAAAGGAAAAAAGAGCAGCCTGTCCGACATGGTGAAACCACGTCTCTACTAAATATGCAAAAAAATTAGCTGGGCGTGGTGGCACACGCCTGTAATCCCAGCTACTCGGGAGGCCCAGGCAGGAGGATCGCTTGAACCCGGGAGGTGGAGGTTGCAGCGAACCAAGATTGCACCACTGCACTCCAGCCTGGGCAAGAAAGTGAGATTCCATCTGAAAAAAAAGCACTCCAGCCTGGGCAATATAGCAAGACTCCATCTCAAAAAAAAAAAAAAAAAAAGACCAGCCTGTCCAACATGGTGAAACCCCATCAGTACTAAATATACAAAGAAATTAGCTGAGCGTGGTGGCACACGATTGTAATCCCAGCTACTCGGGAGGCCCAGGCAGGAGGATCGCTTGAACTCGGGAGGTAGAGGCTGCAGCCAGCCAAGATTGCACCACTGCACTGAACCCTGGACAACAGAGTGACACTCCATCTGAAAAAAAAGAAGAACTCCAACCAGGGCAATGGAGCGAGACTCCATCTCAGAAAAAAGAAAAAAAAAGAGCACCTTGGCCAACATGGTGAAACCCCGTCAGTACTAAATACACAAAGAAATTAGCTGAGCATGGTAGCACACGAATGTAATCCCAGCTACTCGGGAGGCCCAGGCAGGAGGATCGCTTGAACCCGGGAGGTGGAGGTTGCAGCGAACAAAGATTGCACCACTGCACTCCAGCCTGGGCAACAGAGCGAGACTCCCACTCAGAAAAAAAAACAAAATGAAAAAAAACACCAGCCTGGCCAACATGGTGAAACAACGTCTCCACTAAATATACAAAAAAAATAGATGGGCGTGGTGGCACTCATCTCTAATCCCAGCTACTCGGGAGGCCAACGCAGGAGGATCACTTGAACACAGGAGGTGGAGGCTGCAGCTAGCCAAGTTTGCACCATTGCACTCCAGCCTGGCAAACCAAGCCAGCCAAGCCAACCAGCCAAGCCAGTCAAGCGACCCAGCCAGCCAGCCAGCCAGCTAAGCCACCCAACCAGCCAGCCTGCCAAGCCAGCCAAGCCAGCCAGCCAGCCAGCCGGCCAGGCAGCCAAGCCAAGCCAGCCAAGCCAGCTAGCCAGCCAAGTCAGCCAAGCCAGCTAGCCAGCCAAGTCAGCCAGCCAAACCAGCCAAGCCACCCAGCCAGCCAAGCCACCCAAGACACCCAGCCAGCCAGCCAGCCAAGCCAGCCAAGCCACCCAGCCAGCCAAGCCAGCCAAGCAAGCCAGCCAAGCCAGCCAAGCCAGCCAAGCCAGGAGCCAGCCAAGCCAGCCAAGCCAGCCAAGCCTGCCAAGCCTGCCAAGCCAGCCAGCCAGCCAAGCCTGCAAAGCCAGCCAGCCAGCAAAGCCAGCCAAGTCAGCCTGCCAAGCCAGCCAAGACAACCAGCAAGCCAAGCCAGCCAAGCCAGCCAAGGCAGCCAAGCCAGTCAGCCAGCCAAGCTAGCCAAGCCAGGCAGCCATCCAAGCCAGCCAGCCATCCAAGCCAATGAAGCCAGCCAGCCAGCCAAGACACACAAGCCAGCCAACTCAGCCAGCTAGCCAAGCAAGCCAAGCCAGCCAGCCAGTCAAGCCAGCCAAGCCAGCCAGCCAACCAGGCCAGCTAAACCAGCCAGCCTGCCAAGCCAGCCAAGCCAGCCAGCCAGCCAGGCCAGCCAGCCAAACAAGGCACCGCAGCCAGCCCAGCCAGCCACACAAGCCAGCCAAGTCAGCCAGCCAGCCAAGCCAGCCAAGCCAGCCCGCCAAGGCAGCCATGCCAGCCAGCCAGCCAAGCCAGCCAAGCCAGCCAAGCCAGCCAGCCACCCAGCCAGCCAAGCCAGGCAGCCACCCAGCAAGCCAGGCCAGCCTGCCACCCAGCCAGCCAAGCCAGACAAGCCAGCCAAGCCAGCCAGCCACGCAGCCAGCCAGGACATCCAGCCACCCAGCCAGCCAAGCCATGCAAGCCAACAAGCCAGCCCAGACAGCCAAGCCAGCCAAGCAAGCCAGCAAGCCAGCCAGCCAAGCCAGCCAGCCAAACCAGCCAAGCCACCCAGCCAGCCAAGCCACCCAAGACAGCCAGCCAGCCAGCCAGCCAAGCCAGCCAACTAGCCAAGCCAGCCAAGCAAGCCACCAGCCAAGCCAGCCAAGCCTGCCAGCCAGCAGAGCCAGCCAACCAGCCAAGCCAGCCAGCCAGCCACTTAAGCCATCCAAGCAACCCAGCCAGCCAAGCCAGCCAAGCCACCGACCCAGCCAAGCCAGCCAAGCCACCCAGCCAGCCAAGCCAGCCAAGCCAGCCAAACCAGCCTGCCAGCCAAGCCAGCCAAGCCATCCAGCCAGCCAAGCCAGCCGGCCAGCCAAGCTAGCCAATCCACTCACCCACTCAAACTAGCCAAGTCACCCGGCCAGCCAAGCCTGCCAAGCCAGCTAGCCAGCCCAGACAGCCAAGCCAGCCAGCCAGCCAAGCCAGCCAAGCCAGCCAGCCAGCCAATCTAGCCAAGCCAGCCAAGCCAGCCAAGCCAGCCAGCCAGCCAAGCCAGCCAAGCCAGCCAGCCAGCCAAGCCAGCCGGCCAGCCAAGCTAGCCAATCCACTAAGCCACTCAAACCAGCCAAGTCACCCGGCCAGCCAAGCCAGCCAAGCCAGCCAGCCAGCAAAGCCAGCCCAGCCAGCCAGCCAGCCAGCCAGCCGAGCCGCCAAGCCAGACAGCGAGCCCAGCCAGCCCAGCCAGTCAGCCAGCCAAACCAGCCAGCCAGCCAAGCCAGCCAGCCACCCAGCCAAGCCAGCCACCCAGCAAAGCCAGCCAAGAGACCCAAGCCAGCCAGCAAAGCTGGCCAAACCAGCCAAGCCAGTCAGCCAAGCCAGCCAAGCTGGCCACCCAGCCAAGCCAGACAAGCCAGCCAACCAGCCAGACAGCCCAGCCAGACAGCCAGCCCAGGCAGCCAAGAGACCCAAGCCAGCCAGCGAAGCTGGCCAACCCAGCCAAGCCAGTCAGCCAAACCAGCCAAGCCGGCCACCCAGCCAAGCCAGCCAAGCCAGCGAACCAGCCAGACAGCCCTGCCAGACAGCCAGCCCAGGCAGCCAAACCAGACAAGCCAGCCAGCCAAGCCAGCCAAGCCAGCCAGCCAGCCAAGACAGGCCAGCCAAGCAAGCCATGGAAGCCAGACAGCCAGCCAGCCAAGCTAGCCAACCCAGCCAGCCAAGCTAGCCAACCCAGCCAGCCAAGCCAGCCAAGCCAGCCAAGCCAGTCAGCCAGAAAAGCCAGCCAAGCCTGCCAGCCAGTCAAGCCAGCCAAGCCAGCCAGCCAGCCAAGCCAGCGAAGACACCCAGCCAGCCAAGCAAGCCAAGCCACCCAGCCAGCCAAGCCTGCCAAGAGACCCAGCAACCCAAGCCAGCCAAGACACCCAGCCAGCCAAGCTAGCCAAGACACCCAGCCAGCGAAGCCAGCCAGCCAGCCAGCCAAGCCTGCCAAGCCACCCAGCCAGCCAAGCCAGGCAAACAACCCAGCCAGCCAAGCCAGTCAAGCCACCCAGCCAGCCAAGCCAGCCAAGCCACCCAGCCAGCCAAGCCGGCCAAGCCACTCAGCCAGCCAAGCCAGCCAGCCAGCCAAGCCGGCCAAGCCACTCAGCCAGCCAAGATGGCCAAGCCACCCAGTCAAGCCAGCTAAGCCAGCCAGGCAGCCAAGCCAGCCAAGCCAGCCAAGACCTCCAGCCAGCCAAGAAAGGCATGCCAGCCAAGCCAGCCAGGGAGCCAAGCCAGCCAGCAAGCAAAGCCAGGCATGCCAGCCAAGCCAGCCAGGGAGCCAAGCCAGCCAGCAAGCAAAGCCAGGCATGCCAGCCAAGCCAGCCAGGCAGCCAAGCCAGCCAAGCCAGCCAGCCAGCCAAGCCAGGCATGCCAGCCAAGCCATCCAGCCAGCTAACCCAGCCAGCAAGCAAAGCCAGGCATGCCAGCCAAGCCAGCCAGCCAGCCAAGCCAGCCAAGCCAGCCAGCCAGCCCAGCCAGTCAGCCAGCCAAACCAGCCAGCCAGCCAAGCCAGCCAGCCACCCAGCCAAGCCAGCCACCCAGCAAAGCCAACCAAGAGACCCAAGCCAGCCAGCAAAGCTGGCCAAACCAGCCAAGCCAGTCAGCCAAGCCAGCCAAGCCGGCCACCCAGCCAAGCCAGACAAGCCAGCCAACCAGCCAGACAGCCCTAGCCAACCCAGCCAGCCAAGCCAGCCAAGCCAGCCAAGCCAGTCAGCCAGAAAAGCCAGCCAAGCCTGCCAGCCAGTCAAGCCAGCCAAGCCAGCCAGCCAGCCAAGCCAGCGAAGACACCCAGCCAGCCAAGCAAGCCAAGCCACCCAGCCAGCCAAGCCTGCCAAGAGACCCAGCAACCCAAGCCAGCCAAGACACCCAGCCAGCCAAGCTAGCCAAGACACCCAGCCAGCGAAGCCAGCCAGCCAGCCAGCCAAGCCTGCCAAGCCACCCAGCCAGCCAAGCCAGGCAAACAACCCAGCCAGCCAAGCCAGTCAAGCCACCCAGCCAGCCAAGCCAGCCAAGCCACCCAGCCAGCCAAGCCGGCCAAGCCACTCAGCCAGCCAAGCCAGCCAGCCAGCCAAGCCGGCCAAGCCACTCAGCCAGCCAAGATGGCCAAGCCACCCAGTCAAGCCAGCTAAGCCAGCCAGGCAGCCAAGCCAGCCAAGCCAGCCAAGACCTCCAGCCAGCCAAGAAAGGCATGCCAGCCAAGCCAGCCAGGGAGCCAAGCCAGCCAGCAAGCAAAGCCAGGCATGCCAGCCAAGCCAGCCAGGCAGCCAAGCCAGCCAAGCCAGCCAGCCAGCCAAGCCAGGCATGCCAGCCAAGCCATCCAGCCAGCTAAGCCAGCCAGCAAGCAAAGCCAGGCATGCCAGCCAAGCCAGCCAGCCAGCCAAGCCAGCCAAGCCAGCCAGCCAGCCCAGCCAGTCAGCCAGCCAAACCAGCCAGCCAGCCAAGCCAGCCAGCCACCCAGCCAAGCCAGCCACCCAGCAAAGCCAACCAAGAGCCCCAAGCCAGCCAGCAAAGCTGGCCAAACCAGCCAAGCCAGTCAGCCAAGCCAGCCAAGCCGGCCACCCATCCAAGCCAGACAAGCCAGCAAACCAGCCAGACAGCCCAGCCAGACAGCCAGCCCAGGCAGCCAAGAGACCCAAGCCAGCCAGCGAAGCTGGCCAACCCAGCCAAGCCAGTCAGCCAAGCCAGCCAAGCCGGCCACCCAGCCAAGCCAGCCAAGCCAGCGAACCAGCCAGACAGCCCTGCCAGACAGCCAGCCCAGGCAGCCAAACCAGACAAGCCAGCCAGCCAAGCCAGCCAAGCCAGCCAGCCAGCCAAGACAGCCAAGCCAGTCAAGCCAGGCAAGCCAGCGAGCCAGCCAAGCCAGCCAACCCAGCCAGCCAAGCCAGCCAAGACAGCCAGCCAGCCAAGCCGGCCAAGCCAGCCAGCCAAGCAAGCCATGGAAGCCAGACAGCCAGCCAGCCAAGCCAGTCAAGCCAGCCAGCCAGCCAAACCAGCCAAGCCAGCCAACCCAGCCAGCCAAGCCAGCCAAGCCAGCCAAGCCAGTCAGCCAGAAAAGCCAGCCAAGCCTGCCAGCCAGTCAAGCCAGCCAAGCCAGCCAGCCAGCCAAGCCGGCCAAGCCACTCAGCCAGCCAAGATGGCCAAGCCACCCAGCCAGCCAAGCCTGCCAAGAGACCCAGCAACCCAAGCCAGCCAAGACACCCAGCCAGCCAAGCTAGCCAAGACACCCAGCCAGCGAAGCCAGCCAGCCAGCCAGCCAGCCAAGCCAGCCAAGCCACCCAGCCAGCCAAGCCAGGCAAACAACCCAGCCAGCCAAGCCAGTCAAGCCACCCAGCCAGCCAAGCCGGCCAAGCCACCCAGCCAGCCAAGCTGGCCAAGTCACTCAGCCAGCCAAGCCAGCCAGCCAGCCAAGCCGGCCAAGCCACTCAGCCAGCCAAGATGGCCAAGCCACCCAGTCAAGCCAACTAAGCCAGCCAAGCCACCCAGCCAGCCAAGCTGGCCAAGCCACTCAGCCAGCCAAGCCAGCCAGCCAGCCAAGCCGGCCAAGCCACTCAGCCAGCCAAGATGGCCAAGCCACGCAGTCAAGCCAGCCAAGCCAGCCAGGCAGCCAAGCCAGCCAAGACCTCCAGCCAGCCAAGAAAGGCATGCCAGCCAAGCCAGCAAGGCAGCCAAACCAGCCAGCAAGCAAAGCCAGGCATGCCAGCCAAGCCAGCCAGGCAGCCAAGCCAGCCAAGCCAGCCAGCCAGCCAAGCCAGCGAAGACACCGAGCCAGCCAAGCAAGCCAAGCCACCCAGCCAGCCAAGCCTGCCAAGAGACCCAGCAACCCAAGCCAGCCAAGACACCCAGCCAGCCAAGCTAGCCACGACACCCAGCCAGCGAAGCCAGCCAGCCAGCCAGCCAGCCAAGCCTGCCAAGCCACCCAGCCAGCCAAGCCAGGCAAACAACCCAGCCAGCCAAGCCAGTCAAGCCACCCAGCCAGCCAAGCCAGCCAAGCCAGCCAAGCCACCCAGCCAGCCAAGCTGGCAAGCCACTCAGCCAGCCAAGCCAGCCAGCCAGCCAAGCCGGCCAAGCCACTCAGCCAGCCAAGATGGCCAAGCCACCCAGTCAAGCCAGCTAAGCCAGCCAAGCCACCCAGCCAGCCAAGCCAGCCAAGCCACTCAGCCAGCCAAGCCAGCCAGCCAGCCAAGCCGGCCAAGCCACTCAGCCAACCAAGATGGCCAAGCCACGCAGTCAAGCCAGCCAAGCCAGCCAGGCAGCCAAGCCAGCCAAGACCTCCAGCCAGCCAAGAAAGGCATGCCAGCCAAGCCAGCAAGGCAGCCAAACCAGCCAGCAAGCAAAGCCAGGCATGCCAGCCAAGCCAGCCAGGCAGCCAAGCCAGCCAAGCCAGCCAGCCAGCCAAGCCAGCGAAGACACCGAGCCAGCCAAGCAAGCCAAGCCACCCAGCCAGCCAAGCCTGCCAAGAGACCCAGCAACCCAAGCCAGCCAAGACACCCAGCCAGCCAAGCTAGCCACGACACCCAGCCAGCGAGAGGCAGCTAGGCAGCTAGCCAAGCCTGCCCAGCCAGCTCGAGCCAGCTAAGCCAGGCCAAGCAAGCTAGCCATCCAAGCTTGACAAGCCAGCCAAGCATGCCAGCCAAGCCAGCGCAGCTGGAGCCAGCCAAGCCAGCCAAGCCAGCCAAGCCTGCCAAGCCAGCCAGCCAGCCAAGCCTGCAAAGCCAGCCAGCCAGCAAAGCCAGCCAAGTCAGCCTGCCAAGCCAGCCAAGACAACCAGCAAGCCAAGCCAGCCAAGCCAGCCAAGGCAGCCAAGCCAGTCAGCCAGCCAAGCTAGCCAAGCCAGGCAGCCATCCAAGCCAGCCAGCCATCCAAGCCAATGAAGCCAGCCAGCCAGCCAAGACACACAAGCCAGCCAACTCAGCCAGCTAGCCAAGCCAGCCAAGCCAGCCAGCCAGTCAAGCCAGCCAAGCCAGCCAGCCAACCAGGCCAGCTAAACCAGCCAGCCAGCCAGGCCAGCCAGCCAACCCAGCCACCGCAGCCAGCCCAGCCAGCCACACAAGCCAGCCAAGTCAGCCAGCCAGCCAAGCCAGCCAAGTCAGCCAAGCCAGCCAGCCAGCCAAGCCAGCCAAGCCAGCCAAGCCACTCAGCCAGCCAAGCCAGCCAGCCAGCCAAGCCGGCCAAGCCACTCAGCCAGCCAAGATGGCCAAGCCACCCAGTCAAGCCAGCTAAGCCAGCCAGGCAGCCAAGCCAGCCAAGCCAGCCAAGACCTCCAGCCAGCCAAGAAAGGCATGCCAGCCAAGCCAGCCAGGGAGCCAAGCCAGCCAGCAAGCAAAGCCAGGCATGCCAGCCAAGCCAGCCAGCCAGCCAAGCCGGCCAAGCCAGCCAGCCAGCCAAGCCAGCCAAGCCAGCCAGCCAGCCAAGCCAGCCAAGCAAGCCAGCAAGCCAGCCAGCCAAGCCAGCCAGCCAAACCAGCCAAGCCAGCCAGCCAGCCAAGCGCTTTACCCGAACGTCCGTGAGGCAGTGAGAGCCAAAGCAGCCTGCCAGCCAAGCCAGCCAAGCCATCCAGCCAGCCAAGCCAGCCAGCCAGCCAAGCTAGCCAATCCACTCACCCACTCAAACTAGCCAAGTCACCCGGCCAGCCAAGCCTGCCAAGCCAGCTAGCCAGCCCAGACAGCCAAGCCAGCCAGCCAGCCAAGCCAGCCAAGCCAGCCAGCCAGCCAAGCCAGCCGGCCAGCCAAGCTAGCCAATCCACTAAGCCACTCAAACCAGCCAAGTCACCCGGCCAGCCAAGCCAGCCAAGCCAGCCAGCCAGCAAAGCCAGCCCAGCCAGCCAGCCAGCCAGCCAGCCGAGCCGGCCAAGCCAGACAGCGAGCCCAGCCAGCCCAGCCAGTCAGCCAGCCAAACCAGCCAGCCAGCCAAGCCAGCCAGCCACCCAGCCAAGCCAGCCACCCAGCAAAGCCAGCCAAGAGACCCAAGCCAGCCAGCAAAGCTGGCCAAACCCGCCAAGCCAGTCAGCCAAGCCAGCCAAGCCGGCCACCCAGCCAAGCCAGCCAAGCCAGCCAACCAGCCAGACAGCCCAGCCAGACAGCCAGCCCAGGCAGCCAAGAGACCCAAGCCAGCCAGCGAAGCTGGCCAACCCAGCCAAGCCAGTCAGCCAAGCCAGCCAAGCCGGCCACCCAGCCAAGCCAGCCAAGCCAGCGAACCAGCCAGACAGCCCTGCCAGACAGCCAGCCCAGGCAGCCAAAACAGACAAGCCAGCCAGCCAAGCCAGCCAAGCCAGCCAGCCAGCCAAGACAGCCAAGCCAGTCAAGCCAGGCAAGCCAGCGAGCCAGCCAAGCCAGCCAACCCAGCCAGCCAAGCCAGCCAAGACAGCCAGCCAGCCAAGCCGGCCAAGCCAGCCAGCCAAGCAAGCCATGGAAGCCAGACAGCCAGCCAGCCAAGCCAGCCAACCCAGCCAGCCAAGCCAGCCAAGCCAGCCAAGCCAGTCAGCCAGAAAAGCCAGCCAAGCCTGCCAGCCAGTCAAGCCAGCCAAGCCTGCCAGCCAGCCAAGCCAGCGAAGACACCCAGCCAGCCAAGCAAGCCAAGCCACCCAGCCAGCCAAGCCTGCCAAGAGACCCAGCAACCCAAGCCAGCCAAGACACCCAGCCAGCCAAGCTAGCCAAGACACCCAGCCAGCGAAGCCAGCCAGCCAGCCAGCCAAGCCTGCCAAGCCACCCAGCCAGCCAAGCCAGGCAAACAACCCAGCCAGCCAAGCCAGTCAAGCCACCCAGCCAGCCAAGCCGGCCAAGCCACCCAGCCAGCCAAGCCGGCCAAGCCACTCAGCCAGCCAAGCCAGCCAGCCAGCCAAGCCGGCCAAGCCACTCAGCCAGCCAAGATGGCCAAGCCACCCAGTCAAGCCAGCTAAGCCAGCCAGGCAGCCAAGCCAGCCAAGCCAGCCAAGACCTCCAGCCAGCCAAGAAAGGCATGCCAGCCAAGCCAGCCAGGGAGCCAAGCCAGCCAGCAAGCAAAGCCAGGCATGCCAGCCAAGCCAGCCTGCCAGCCAAGCCGGCCAAGCCAGCCAGCCAGCCAAGCCAGCCAAGCCAGCCAGCCAGCCAAGCCAGCCAAGCAAGCCAGCAAGCCAGCCAGCCAAGCCAGCCAGCCAAACCAGCCAAGCCAGCCAGCCAGCCAAGCCACCCAAGACACCCAGCCAGCCAGCCAGCCAAGCCAGCCAAGCCACCCAGCCAGCCAAGCCAGCCAAGCAAGCCAGGCAAGCCAGCCAAGCCAGCCAGCCAGCCAGCCACCCAGCCACCCAGCCAGCCAAGCCAGCCAGCCACCCAGCCGGCCAGGCCAGCCTGCCACCCAGCCAGCCAAGCCAGACAAGCCAGCCAAGCCAGCCAGCCAGCCAGCCAGCCAGCCAGCCAAGCCAGCCAAGCCTCCCAGCCAGCCAAGCCAGCCAAGCCACCCAGCCAGCCAAGCCAGCCAAGCCACCTAGCCAGCCAGGCCCACCAGCCAGCCAGCCAGGCAGCCAAGCCAGCCAAGCCAGTCAAGCCCGCCAGCCAGCCAAGACAGGCATGCCAGCCAAGCCAGCCAGGCAGCCAAGCCAGCCAAGCCAGCCAGGCCCGCCAGCCAGCCAAGACAGGCATGCCAGCCAAGCCAGCCAGGCAGCCAAGTCAGCCAAGCCAGGCAGCAAGCAAAGCCAGGCATGCCAGCCCAGCCAGCCAGGCAGCCAAGCCAGCAAAACCAGCCAGCCAGCCAAGCCAGGCATGCCAGCCAAGCCATCCAGCCAGCTAAGCCAGCCGGCTAGCCAAGCCAGACAAGCCACCCGGCCATCCAAGCCAGCCAGCCAAGCCGGCCAAGCCAGCCAACCAGCAAAGCCAGTCAGCTAGCCAAGCCAGCCAACCAGCCAGCCAGCTAAGCTGGCCAGCCTGCCAGCCAACCAAGCCGGCCAGACAGCCAAGGCAGCCAAGCCGGCCAGGCAGCCAAGCCAGCCAAGCCACCGACCCAGCCAAGCCAGCCAAGCCACCCAAGCCACCCAGCCAGCCCAGACAGCCAAGCCAGGCAGCCAGCCAAGCCAGCCAGCCAGCAAAGCCAGGCAGCCAGCCAAGCCAGTCAAGCCAGACAGCCAGCCAAGCCAGCCAGCCAGCCAAGCGAGCCAAGCCAGCCAGCCAGCCAGGCCAGCCAGCCACCCAGCCAGCCAAGCCAGCCAGCCACCCAACCAGCCAGGCCAGCCTGCCACCCAGCCAGCCAAGCCAGACAAGCCTGCGAAGCCAGTCAGCCACCCAGCCAGCCAGGCCAGCCAGCCACCCAGTCAGCCAAGCCATCCAAGCCAGCCGGCCAGCACAGACAGCCAAGCCAGCCACCCAGTCAGCCAAGCCATCCAAGAGAGCCAGCCAGCCCAGACAGCCAAGCCAGCCAGCCAGCCAAGCCAGCCAAGCAAGCCAGCAAGCCAGCCAGCCAAGCCAGCCAGCCAAACCAGCCAAGCCACCCAGCCAGCCAAGCCACCCAAGACACCCAGCCAGCCAGCCAGCCAGCCAAGCCAGCCAAGCCACCCAGCCAGCCAAGCCAGCCAAGCAAGCCAGCCAAGCCAGCGCAGCCAGGAGCCAGCCAAGCCAGCCAAGCCAGCCAAGCCTGCCAAGCCAGCCAGCCAGCCAAGCCTGCAAAGCCAGCCAGCCAGCAAAGCCAGCCAAGTCAGCCTGCCAAGCCAGCCAAGACAACCAGCAAGCCAAGCCAGCCAAGCCAGCCAAGGCAGCCAAGCCAGTCAGCCAGCCAAGCTAGCCAAGCCAGGCAGCCATCCAAGCCAGCCAGCCATCCAAGCCAATGAAGCCAGCCAGCCAGCCAAGACACCCAAGCCAGCCAACTCAGCCAGCCAGCCAAGCCAGCCAAGCCAGTCAGCCAGCCAAGCCAGCCAAGCCAGCCAAGCCAGTCAAGCCAGTCAGCCAGCCAAGCCAGCCAAGCCAGCCAGCCAGCCCAGACAGCCAAGCCAGCCAGCCAGCCAAGCCAGCCAAGCAAGCCAGCAAGCCAGCCAGCCAAGCCAGCCAGCCAAACCAGCCAAGCCACCCAGCCAGCCAAGCCACCCAAGACACCCAGCCAGCCAGCCAGCCAAGCCAGCCAAGCCACCCAGCCAGCCAAGCCAGCCAAGCCAGCCAAGCCTGCCAAGCCAACCATCCAGCCAAGCCTGCAAAGCCAGCCCGCCAGCAAAGCCAGCCAAGTCAGCCTGCCAAGCCAGCCAAGACAGCCAGCAAGCCAAGCCAGCCAAGCCAGCCAGCCAAGCCAGCTAGCCAAGCCAGCCAAGGCAGCCAAGCCAGTCAGCCAGCCAAGCTAGCCAAGCCAGGCAGCCATCCAAGCCAGCCAGCCATCCAAGCCAATGAAGCCAGCCAGCCAGCCAAGCCACCCAAGCCAGCCAAGCCAGCCAGCCAAGCCAGCTAGCCAAGCCAGCCAAGGCAGCCAAGCCAGTCAGCCAGCCAAGCTAGCCAAGCCAGGCAGCCATCCAAGCCAGCCAGCCATCCAAGCCAATGAAGCCAGCCAGCCAGCCAAGCCACCCAAGCCAGCCAAGCCAGCCAACTCAGCCAGCCAGCCAAGCCAGCCAAGCCAGCCAGCCAGTCAAGCCAGCCAAGCCAGCCAGCTAACCAAGCCAGCTAAACCAGCCAAGCCTGCCAAGCCAGCCAAGCCAGCCAAGCCAGCCAGCCAGCCAGCCATCCCAGCCAGCCCAGCCAGCCAAGCCAGCCAGCCACCCAGCCGGCCAGGCCAGCCTGCCACCCAGCCAGCCAAGCCAGACAAGCCAGCCAAGCCAGCCAGCCAGCCAAGCCAGCCAAGCCTCCCAGCCAGCCAAGCCAGCCAAGCCACCCAGCCAGCCAAGCCAGCCAAGCCACCTAGCCAGCCAGGCCCACCAGCCAGCCAGCCAGGCAGCCAAGCCAGCCAAGCCAGTCAAGCCCGCCAGCCAGCCAAGACAGGCATGCCAGCCAAGCCAGCCAGGCAGCCAAGCCAGCCAAGCCAGCCAGGCCCGCCAGCCAGCCAAGCCAGGCATGCCAGCCAAGCCAGCCAGGCAGCCAAGCCAGCAAAACCAGCCAGCCAGCCAAGCCAGGCATGCCAGCCAAGCCATCCAGCCAGCTAAGCCAGCCGGCTAGCCAAGCCAGACAAGCCACCCGGCCATCCAAGCCAGCCAGCCAAGCCAGCCAAGCCAGCCAACCAGCAAAGCCAGTCAGCTAGCCAAGCCAGCCAACCAGCCAGCCAGCTAAGCTGGCCAGCCTGCCAGCCAACCAAGCCGGCCAGACAGCCAAGGCAGCCAAGCCGGCCAGGCAGCCAAGCCAGCCAAGCCACCGACCCAGCCAAGCCAGCCAAGCCACCCAGCCAGCCCAGACAGCCAAGCCAGGCAGCCAGCCAAGCCAGCCAGCCAGCAAAGCCAGGCAGCCAGCCAAGCCAGTCAAGCCAGACAGCCAGCCAAGCCAGCCAGCCAGCCAAGCGAGCCAAGCCAGCCAGCCAGCCAGGCCAGCCAGCCACCCAGCCAGCCACCCAGCCAGCCAGCCCAGCCAGCCAAGCCAGCCAGCCAGCCCAGCCAGCCCCGCCAGCCAGCCAACCCAGCCACCGCAGCCAGCCCAGCCAGCCACACAAGCCAGCCAAGTCAGCCAGCCAGCCAAGTCAGCCAAGCCAGCCCACCAAGGCAGCCATGCCAGCCAGCCAGCCAAGCCAGCCAAGCCAGTCAGCCAGCCAAGCCAGCCAAGCCAGCCAGCCAGCCAAGCCAGCCAAGCCAGCCAAGTCAACTGAGCCAGCCAAGCCAGTCAGCCAAGCCAGGCAAGCCAGCAAAGTCAGCCAGCCAGCCAAGCCAGCCAAGCCAGCCCAGCCAGCCCAGCCAGCTAAGCCAGCCCAGCCAGCCAGCCAAGCCATCCAAGCCAGCCAGCCAGCCAGCCAGCCCAGCCAGCCAAGCCAGCCCAGCCAGCCAACCAAGCCAGCCAGCCAGCCATGCCAGCCAAGCCAGCCAGCCATCCAAGCCAACCAAGCCAGCCAGCCAAGCCAGCCAAGCCAGCCAAGCCAGCCAAGCCACCCAGGCAGCCAAGCCAGCCAAGCCAGCCAAGCCAGCCAGGCAGCCAAGCCAGCCAAGCCAGCCAAGCCAGCCAGCCAAGCCAGCCAGCCAGCCAAGAGAGCCAAGCCAGCCATCCAGCCAGGCCATCCAGCCACCCAGCCAGCCAAGCCAGCCTGCCACCCAACCAGCCAGGCCATCCAGCCACCCAGCCAGCCAAGCCAGCCTGCCACCCAACCAGCCAGGCCAGCCTGCCACCCAGCCAGCCAAGCCAGACAAGCCTGCGAAGCCAGTCAGCCACCCAGCCAGCCAGGCCAGCCAGCCACCCAGTCAGCCAAGCCATCCAAGCCAGCCGGCCAGCACAGACAGCCAAGCCAGCCACCCAGTCAGCCAAGCCATCCAAGAGAGCCAGCCAGCCCAGACAGCCAAGCCAGCCAGCCAGCCAAGCCAGCCAAGCAAGCCAGCAAGCCAGCCAGCCAAGCCAGCCAGCCAAACCAGCCAAGCCACCCAGCCAGCCAAGCCACCCAAGACACCCAGCCAGCCAGCCAGCCAAGCCAGCCAAGCCACCCAGCCAGCCAAGCCAGCCAAGCAAGCCAGCCAAGCCAGCCAAGCCAGGAGCCAGCCCAGCCAGCCAAGCCAGCCAGCCACCCAGCCACCCAAGACAGCTAAACCAGCCAGCCTGCCAAGCCAGCCAAGCCAGCCAGCCAGCCAGGCCAGCCAAGCCAGCCAAGCCATTCAAGCCAGCCAGCCAGCCCAGCCAGCCAAGCCAGCCAGCCAGCCCAGCCAGCCCAGCCAGCCAGCCAACCCAGCCACCGCAGCCAGCCCAGCCAGCCACACAAGCCAGCCAAGTCAGCCAGCCAGCCAAGCCAGCCAAGCCAGCCCGCCAAGGCAGCCATGCCAGCCAGCCAGCCAAACCAGCCAAGCCACCCAGCCAGCCAAGCCACCCAAGACAGACAGCCAGCCAGCCAAGCCAGCCAACTAGCCAAGCCAGCCAAGCAAGCCACCAGCCAAGCCAGCCAAGCCTGCCAGCCAGCAGAGCCAGCCAACCAGCCAAGCCAGCCAGCCAGCCAAACCAGCCAAGCCAGCCAGCCAGCCACTTAAGCCATCCAAGCAACCCAGCCAGCCAAGCCAGCCAAGCCACCGACCCAGCCAAGTCAGCCAAGCCACCCAGCCAGCCAAGCCAGCCAAGCCAGCCAAACCAGCCTGCCAGCCAAGCCAGCCAAGCCATCCAGCCAGCCAAGCCAGCCAGCCAGCCAAGCTAGCCAATCCACTCACCCACTCAAACTAGCCAAGTCACCCGGCCAGCCAAGCCTGCCAAGCCAGCTAGCCAGCCCAGACAGCCAAGCCAGCCAGCCAGCCAAGCCAACCAAGCCAGCCAGCCAGCCAAGCCAGCCGGCCAGCCAAGCTAGCCAATTCACTAAGCCACTCAAACCAGCCAAGTCACCCGGCCAGCCAAGCCAGCCAAGCCAGCCAGCCAGCAAAGCCAGCCCAGCCAGCCAGCCAGCCAGCCAGCCGAGCCGGCCAAGCCAGACAGCGAGCCCAGCCAGCCCAGCCAGTCAGCCAGCCAAACCAGCCAGCCAGCCAAGCCAGCCAGCCACCCAGCCAAGCCAGCCACCCAGCAAAGCCAACCAAGAGACCCAAGCCAGCCAGCAAAGCTGGCCAAACCAGCCAAGCCAGTCAGCCAAGCCAGCCAAGCCGGCCACCCAGCCAAGCCAGCCAAGCCAGCCAACCAGCCAGACAGCCCAGCCAGACAGCCAGCCCAGGCAGCCAAGAGACCCAAGCCAGCCAGCGAAGCTGGCCAACCCAGCCAAGCCAGTCAGCCAAGCCAGCCAAGCCGGCCACCCAGCCAAGCCAGCCAAGCCAGCGAACCAGCCAGACAGCCCTGCCAGACAGCCAGCCCAGGCAGCCAAACCAGACAAGCCAGCCAGCCAAGTCAGCCAAGCCAGCCAGCCAGACAAGACAGCCAAGCCAGTCAAGCCAGGCAAGCCAGCGAGCCAGCCAAGCCAGCCAACCCAGCCAGCCAAGCCAGCCAAGACAGCCAGCCAGCCAAGCCGGCCAAGCCAGCCAGCCAAGCAAGCCATGGAAGCCAGACAGCCAGCCAGCCAAGCCAGTCAAGCCAGCCAGCCAGCCAAACCAGCCAAGCCAGCCAACCCAGCCAGCCAAGCCAGCCAAGCCAGCCAAGCCAGTCAGCCAGAAAAGCCAGCCAAGCCTGCCAGCCAGTCAAGCCAGCCAAGCCAGCCAGCCAGCCAAGCCAGCGAAGACACCCAGCCAGCCAAGCAAGCCAAGCCACCCAGCCAGCCAAGCCTGCCAAGAGACCCAGCAACCCAAGCCAGCCAAGACACCCAGCCAGCCAAGCTAGCCAAGACACCCAGCCAGCGAAGCCAGCCAGCCAGCCAGCCAGCCAAGCCTGCCAAGCCACCCAGCCAGCCAAGCCAGGCAAACAACCCAGCCAGCCAAGCCAGTCAAGCCACCCAGCCAGCCAAGCCAGCCAAGCCACCCAGCCAGCCAGCCGGCCAAGCCACTCAGCCAGCCAAGCCAGCCAGCCAGGCCAGCCGGGCAAGCCATTCAGCCAGGCAAGATGGCCAAGCCACCCAGTCAAGCCAGCTAAGCCAGCCAGGCAGCCAAGCCAGCCAAGCCAGCCAAGACCTCCAGCCAGCCAAGAAAGGCATGCCAGCCAAGCCAGCCAGGCAGCCAAGCCAGCCAGCAAGCAAAGCCAGGCATGCCAGCCAAGCCAGCCAGCCAGCCAAGCCAGCCAAGCCAGCCAGCCAGCCAAGCCAGGCATGCCAGCCAAGCCATCCAGCCAGCTAAGCCAGCCGGCTAGCCAAGCCAGACAAGCCACCCGGCCAGCCAAGCCAGCCAGCCAAGGCAGCCAAGCCAGCCAACCAGTCAAGCCAGTCAGCTAGCCAAGCCAGCCAACCAGCCAGCCAGTCAAGCCGGCCAGCCTGCCAGCCAACCAAGCTGGACAGACAGCCAAGGCAGCCAAGCCGGCCAGGCAGCCAAGCCAGCCAAGCCACTGACCCAGCCAAGCCACCCAGCCAGCCAAGACAGCCAAGCCAGCCAAACCAGCCTGCCAGCCAAGCCAGCCAAGCCATCCAGCCTGCCAAGCCAGCTGGCCAGCCAAGCTAGCCAATCCACTCACCCACTCAAGCCAGTCAAGTCACCTGGCCAGCCAAGCCAGCCAAGCCAGCCAGCCAGCCCAGAGAGCCAAGCCAGCCAGCCCAGACAGCCAAGCCAGCCAGCCAGCCAAGCCTGCCAAGCCACCCAGCCAGCCAAGCCAGGCAAACAACCCAGCCAGCCAAGCCAGTCAAGCCAACCAGCCAGCCAAGCCAGCCAAGCCACCCAGCCAGCCAAGCTGGCCAAGCCACTCAGCCAGCCAAGCCAGCCAGCCAGCCAAGCCGGCCAAGCCACTCAGCCAGCCAAGATGGCCAAGCCACCCAGTCAAGCCAGCTAAGCCAGCCAAGCCAGCCAAGACCTCCAGCCAGCCAAGAAAGGCATGCCAGCCAAGCCAGCCAGGCAGCCAAGCCAGCCAGCAAGCAAAGCCAGGCATGCCAGCCAAGCCAGCCAGGCAGCCAAGCCAGCCAAGCCAGCCAGCCAGCCAAGCCAGGCATGCCAGCCAAGCCATCCAGCCAGCTAAGTCAGCCGGCTAGCCCAGCCAGCCAAGCCACCCATCCAGCCAAGCCAGCCAGTCAAGCCAGCCAAGCCAGCCAACCAGTCAAGCCAGTCAGCTAGCCAAGCCAGCCAAGCCACCCGGCCAGCCAAGCCAGCCAGCCAACCCAGCCCAGCCAGCCAACCAGCCAAGACATTCAGCTAGCCAAGCCAGCCAACCAGCCAGCCAGTCAAGCCGGCCAGCCTGCCAGCCAACCAAGCCGGACAGACAGCCAAGGCAGCCAAGCCGGCCAGGCAGCCAAGCCAGCCAAGCCACCGACCCAGCCAAGCCACCCAGCCAGCCAAGACAGCCAAGCCAGCCAAACCAGCCTGCCAGCCAAGCCAGCCAAGCCATCCAGCCTGCCAAGCCAGCTGGCCAGCCAAGCTAGCCAATCCACTCACCCACTCAAGCCAGCCAAGTCACCCGGCCAGCCAAGCCAGCCAGCTCAGACAGCCAAGCCAGCCAGCCAAGCCAGCCAAGCCAGCCAGCCAGCCAAGCCGGCCAAGCCACTCAGCCAGCCAAGATGGCCAAGCCACGCAGTCAAGCCAGCCAAGCCAGCCAGGCAGCCAAGCCAGCCAAGACCTCCAGCCAGCCAAGAAAGGCATGCCAGCCAAGCCAGCTAGGCAGCCAAACCAGCCAGCAAGCAAAGCCAGGCATGCCAGCCAAGCCAGCCAGGCAGCCAAGCCAGCCAAGCCAGCCAGCCAGCCAAGCCAGCGAAGACACCGAGCCAGCCAAGCAAGCCAAGCCACCCAGCCAGCCAAGCCTGCCAAGAGACCCAGCAACCCAAGCAAGCAAAGACACCCAGCCAGCCAGGTTAGCAAAGACACCCAGCAGGGAGCCAGCCAGCAAGCCAGCGAGCCAAGCTGGGCAAGGCCACCAAGCGAGCCCGGCAGCTCAGTCAGTCACAGAGGCCAGCAGACCGTGGTCAAGCCACCCAGCCAGCTAAGCAGATCTACGCACAAGCTCTCCAAGCCACTCAGCCAGCTAAGCTAGCCAGCAGTCAAGCCGGCCAAGCCACTCAGCCAGCCACGGCGCCAAGCCACGCAGTCAAGCCAGCCAAGCTAGCCAGGCAGCCAAGGCAGCCAAGCCAGCCAAGACCTCCAGCCAGCCAAGAAAGGCATGCCAGCCAAGCCAGCCAGGGAGCCAAGCCAGCCAGCAAGCAAAGCCAGGCATGCCAGCCAAGCCAGCCAGGGAGCCAAGCCAGCCAGCAAGCAAAGCCAGGCATGCCAGCCAAGCCAGCCAGGCAGCCAAGCCAGCCAAGCCAGCCAGCCAGCCAAGCCAGGCATGCCAGCCAAGCCATCCAGCCAGCTAAGCCAGCCAGCAAGCAAAGCCAGGCATGCCAGCCAAGCCAGCCAGCCAGCCAAGCCAGCCAAGCCAGCCAGCCAGCCCAGCCAGTCAGCCAGCCAAACCAGCCAGCCAGCCAAGCCAGCCAGCCACCCAGCCAAGCCAGCCACCCAGCAAAGCCAACCAAGAGACCCAAGCCAGCCAGCAAAGCTGGCCAAACCAGCCAAGCCAGTCAGCCAAGCCAGCCAAGCCGGCCACCCAGCCAAGCCAGACAAGCCAGCCAACCAGCCAGACAGCCCTGCCAGACAGCCAGCCCAGGCAGCCAAACCAGACAAGCCAGCCAGCCAAGCCAGCCAAGCCAGCCAGCCAGCCAAGACAGCCAAGCCAGTCAAGCCAGGCAAGCCAGCGAGCCAGCCAAGCCAGCCAACCCAGCCAGCCAAGCCAGCCAAGACAGCCAGCCAGCCAAGCCGGCCAAGCCAGCCAGCCAAGCAAGCCATGGAAGCCAGACAGCCAGCCAGCCAAGCCAGTCAAGCCAGCCAGCCAGCCAAACCAGCCAAGCCAGCCAACCCAGCCAGCCAAGCCAGCCAAGCCAGCCAAGCCAGTCAGCCAGAAAAGCCAGCCAAGCCTGCCAGCCAGTCAAGCCAGCCAAGCCAGCCAGCCAGCCAAGCCAGCGAAGACACCCAGCCAGCCAAGCAAGCCAAGCCACCCAGCCAGCCAAGCCTGCCAAGAGACCCAGCAACCCAAGCCAGCCAAGACACCCAGCCAGCCAAGCTAGCCAAGACACCCAGCCAGCGAAGCCAGCCAGCCACCCAGCCAGCCAAGCCAGGCAAACAACCCAGCCAGCCAAGCCAGCCAAGCCACCCAGCCAGCCAAGCTGGCCAAGCCACTCAGCCAGCCAAGCCAGCCAGCCAGCCAAGCCGGCCAAGCCACTCAGCCAGCCAAGATGGCCAAGCCACCCAGTCAAGCCAGCTAAGCCAGCCAGGCAGCCAAGCCAGCCAAGCCAGCCAAGACCTCCAGCCAGCCAAGAAAGGCATGCCAGCCAAGCCAGCCAGGGAGCCAAGCCAGCCAGCAAGCAAAGCCAGGCATGCCAGCCAAGCCAGCCAGGCAGCCAAGCCAGCCAAGCCAGCCAGCCAGCCAAGCCAGGCATGCCAGCCAAGCCATCCAGCCAGCTAAGCCAACCAGCAAGCAAAGCCAGGCATGCCAGCCAAGCCAGCCAGCCAGCCAAGCCAGCCAAGCCAGCCAACCAGTCAAGCCAGTCAGCTAGCCAAGCCAGCCAAGCCACCCGGCCAGCCAAGCCAGCCAGCCAACCCAGCCAAGCCAGCCAACCAGCCAAGACATTCAGCTAGCCAAGCCAGCCAACCAGCCAGCCAGTCAAGCCGGCCAGCCTGCCAGCCAACCAAGCCAGCCAGACAGCCAAGGCAGCCAAGCCGGCCAGGCAGCCAAGCCAGCCAAGCCACCGACCCAGCCAAGCCACCCAGCCAGCCAAGACAGCCAAGCCAGCCAAACCAGCCTGCCAGCCAAGCCAGCCAAGCCATCCAGCCTGCCAAGCCAGCTGGCCAGCCAAGCTAGCCAATCCACTCACCCACTCAAGCCAGCCAAGTCACCCGGCCAGCCAAGCCAGCCAAGCCAGCCAGCCAGCCCAGACAGCCAAGCCAGCCAGCCCAGACAGCCAAGCCAGCCAGCCAGCCAAGCCAGCCAAGCCACCCAGCCAGCCAAGCCAGCCAGCCAAACCAGCCAAGCCACCCAGCCAGCCAAGCCACCCAAGACAGCCAGCCAGCCAGCCAAGCCAGCCAACTAGCCAAGCCAGCCAAGCAAGCCACCAGCCAAGCCAGCCAAGCATGCCAACCAGCAGAGCCAGCCAACCAGCCAAGCCAGCCAGCCAGCCAAGCCAGCCAAGCCAGCCAGCCAGCCACTCAAGCCATCCAAGCAACCCAGCCAGCCAAGCCAGCCAAGCCACCCAGCCAGCCAAGCCAGCCAAGCCAGCCAAACCAGCCTGCCAGCCAAGCCAGCCAAGCCATCCAGCCAGCCAAGCCGGCCGGCCAGCCAAGCTAGCCAATCCACTCACCCACTCAAGCCAGCCAAGTCACCCGGCCAGCCAAGCCAGCCAAGCCAGCCAGCCAGCCCAGACAGCCAAGCCAGCCAGCCTAGACAGCCAAGCCAGCCAGCCAGCAAAGCCAGCCAAGCCAGCCAGCCAGCCAAGCCAGCCAAGCCACCCAGCCAGCCAAGCCAGCCAGCCAAACCAGCCAAGCCACCCAGCCAGCCAAGCCACCCAAGACAGCCAGCCAGTCAGACAAGCCAGCCAACTAGCCAAGCCAGCCAAGCAAGCCACCAGCCAAGCCAGCCAAGCATGCCAACCAGCAGAGCCAGCCAACCAGCCAAGCCAGCCAGCCAGCCAAGCCAGCCAAGCCAGCCAGCCAGCCACTCAAGCCATCCAAGCAACCCAGCCAGCCAAGCCAGCCAAGCCACCCAGCCAGCCAAGCCAGCCAAGCCAGCCAAACCAGCCTGCCAGCCAAGCCAGCCAAGCCATCCAGCCAGCCAAGCCAGCCGGCCAGCCAAGCTAGCCAATCCACTCACCCACTCAAACTAGCCAAGTCACCCGGCCAGCCAAGCCAGCCAAGCCAGCTAGCCAGCCCAGACAGCCAAGCCAGCCAGGCAGCCAAGCCAGCCAAGCCAGCCAGCCAGCCAAGCTAGCCAAGCCAGCCAAGACAGCCAAGCCAGCCAGCCAGCCAAACCAGCCAGCCAGCCAAGCCAGCCAGCCACCCAGCCAAGCCAGCCACCCAGCAAAGCCAGCCAAGAGACACAAGCCAGCCAGCAAAGCTGGCCAAACCAGCCAAGCCAGTCAGCCAAGCCAGCCAAGCCGGCCACCCAGCCAAGCCAGCCAAGCCTGCCAACCAGCCAGACAGCCCAGCCAGACAGCCAGCCCAGGCAGCCAAGAGACCCAAGCCAGCCAGCGAAGCTGGCCAACCCAGCCAAGCCAGTCAGCCAAGCCAGCCAAGCCGGCCACCCAGCCAAGCCAGCAAAGCCAGCCAACCAGCCAGACAGCCCTGCCAGACAGCCAGCCCAGGCAGCCAAACCAGACAAGCCAGCCAGCCAAGCCAGCCAAGCCAGCCAGCCAGCCAAGACAGCCAAGCCAGTCAAGCCAGGCAAGCCAGCGAGCCAGCCAAGCCAGCCAACCCAGCCAGCCAAGCCAGCCAACCCAGCCAGCCAAGCCAGCCAAGACAGCCAGCCAGCCAAGCCGGCCAAGCCAGCCAGCCAAGCAAGCCATGGAAGCCAGACAGCCAGCCAGCCAAGCCAGTCAAGCCAGCCAGCCAGCCAAACCAGCCAAGCCAGCCAACCCAGCCAGCCAAGCCAGCCAAGCCAGTCAGCCAGAAAAGCCAGCCAAGCCTGCCAGCCAGTCAAGCCAGCCAAGCCAGCCAGCCAGCCAAGCGGCCAAGCCGCCCAGCCAGCCAAGATGCCAAGCCACCCAGCCAGCCAAGCCTGCCAAGAGACCCAGCAACCCAAGCCAGCCAAGACACCCAGCCAGCCAAGCTAGCCAAGACACCCAGCCAGCGAAGCCAGCCAAGACAGCCAGCCAGCCAAGCCGCCAAGCCAGCCAGCCAAGCAAGCCATGGAAGCCAGACAGCCAGCCAGCCAAGCCAGTCAGCCAAGCCAGCCAAGCCGGCCACCCAGCCAAGCCAGCCAAGCCAGCGAACCAGCCAGACAGCCCTGCCAGACAGCCAGCCCAGGCAGCCAAACCAGACAAGCCAGCCAGCCAAGCCAGCCAAGCCAGCCAGCCAGCCAAGACAGCCAAGCCAGTCAAGCCAGGCAAGCCAGCGAGCCAGCCAAGCCAGCCAACCCAGCCAAGCCAGCCAGCCAGCCAAGCGGGGGGAGCCACTCAGCCAGCCAAGATGGCCAAGCCACGCAGTCAAGCCAGCCAAGCCAGCCAGGCAGCCAAGCCAGCCAAGACCTCCAGCCAGCCAAGAAAGGCATGCCAGCCAAGCCAGCTAGGCAGCCAAACCAGCCAGCAAGCAAAGCCAGGCATGCCAGCCAAGCCAGCCAGGCAGCCAAGCCAGCCAAGCCAGCCAGCCAGCCAAGCCAGCGAAGACACCGAGCCAGCCAAGCAAGCCAAGCCACCCAGCCAGCCAAGCCTGCCAAGAGACCCAGCAACCCAAGCCAGCCAAGACACCCAGCCAGCCAAGCTAGCCAAGACACCCAGCCAGCGAAGCCAGCCAGCCAGCCAGCCAAGCCTGCCAAGCCACCCAGCCAGCCAAGCCAGGCAAACAACCCAGCCAGCCAAGCCAGTCAAGCCACCCAGCCAGCCAAGCCAGCCAAGCCGCCCAGCCAGCCAAGCTGGCCAAGCCACTCAGCCAGCCAAGCCAGCCAGCCAGCCAAGCCGGCCAAGCCACTCAGCCAGCCAAGATGGCCAAGCCACCCAGTCAAGCCAGCTAAGCCAGCCAGGCAGCCAAGCCAGCCAAGCCAGCCAAGACCTCCAGCCAGCCAAGAAAGGCATGCCAGCCAAGCCAGCCAGGCAGCCAAGCCAGCCAGCAAGCAAAGCCAGGCATGCCAGCCAAGCCAGCCAGGCAGCCAAGCCAGCCAAGCCAGCCAGCCAGCCAAGCCAGCCAAGCCAGCCAGCCAGCCAAGCCAGGCATGCCAGCCAAGCCATCCAGCCAGCTAAGCCAGCCGGCTAGCCAAGCCAGACAAGCCACCCGGCCAGCTAAGCCAGCCAGCCAAGGAAGCCAAGCCAGCCAACCAGTCAAGCCAGTCAGCTAGCCAAGCCAGCCAAGCCAGCCAGCCAGCCAAGCCAGGCATGCCAGCCAAGCCATCCAGCCAGCTAAGTCAGCCGGCTAGCCCAGCCAGCCAAGCCACCCATCCAGCCAAGCCAGCCAGTCAAGCCAGCCAAGCCAGCCAACCAGTCAAGCCAGTCAGCTAGCCAAGCCAGCCAAGCCACCCGGCCAGCCAAGCCAGCCAGCCAACCCAGCCCAGCCAGCCAACCAGCCAAGACATTCAGCTAGCCAAGCCAGCCAACCAGCCAGCCAGTCAAGCCGGCCAGCCTGCCAGCCAACCAAGCCAGCCAGACAGCCAAGGCAGCCAAGCCAGCCAGGCAGCCAAGCCAGCCAAGCCACTGACCCAGCCAAGCCACCCAGCCAGCCAAGAGAGCCAAGCCAGCCAAGCCAGCCAAACCAGCCTGCCAGCCAAGCCAGCCAAGCCATCCAGCCTGCCAAGCCAGCTGGCCAGCCAAGCTAGCCAATCCGCTCACCCACTCAAGCCAGCCAAGTCACCCGGCCAGCCAAGCCAGCCAAGCCAGCCAGCCAGCTCAGACAGCCAAGCCAGCCAGCCAAGCCAGCCAAGCCAGCCAGCCAGCCAAGCCAGCCAAGCCACCCAGCCAGCCAAGCCAGCCAGCAAGCCAGCCAGACAGCCAAGCCAGCCAGCCACCCAGCCAGCCAGTCCAGCCAGCCACCCAGCCAGCCAAGCCAGCCAGCCATCCAGCCAGCCAGGCCAGCCTGCCACCCAGCCAGCCAAGGCAGACAAGCCAGCCAAGCCAGCCAGCCACCCAGCCAGCCAGGCCAGCCAGCCACTCAGCCAGCCCAGACAGCCAAGTCAGCCAAGTCAGCCAGCCAGCCAAGGCAGCCAAGCCAGCCAACCGAACAAGAGAGCCAGCCAACCAAGCCAGCCAAGCCAGCCAGCTAGCCAAGCCACCCAGCCAGCCAGCCAGCCAAACCAGCCAAGCCACCCAGCCAGCCAAGCCAGCCAAGCCAATCAGCCAGCCAGGCAGCCAGCCACCCAAGCCAGCCAAGCCAGCCAAGCCATCCAAGCCAGCCAGCCAGCCAGCCAGCCAAGCCAGCCAAGCCTCCCAGCCAGCCAAGCCAGCCAAGCCACCCAGCCAGCCAAGCCAGCCAAGCCACCTAGCCAGCCAGGCCCGCCAGCCAGCCAGCCAGCCAAACCAGCCAAGCCACCCAGCCAGCCAAGCCAGCCAAGCCAATCAGCCAGCCAGGCAGCCAGCCACCCAAGCCAGCCAAGCCAACCAAGCCATCCAAGCCAGCCAGCCAGCCAGCCAGCCAAGCCAGCCAAGCCTCCCAGCCAGCCAAGCCAGCCAAGCCACCCAGCCAGCCAAGCCAGCCAAGCCACCCGGCCATCCAAGCCAGCCAAGCCAGTCAGCCAGCCCAGACAGCCAAGCCAGCCAAGCCAGCCAAGCCCGCCAACCAGCCAAGACAGGCATGCTAGCCAAGCCAGCCAGGCAGCCAAGCCAGCCAGGCAGCGAAGCCAGCCAAGCCAGCCAGGCAGCGAAGCCAGCCAAGCCAGCCAGCAAGCAAAGCCAGGCATGCCAGCCAAGCCAGCCAGCTAGCCAAGCCACCCAGCCAGCCAGCCAGCCAAACCAGCCAAGCCACCCAGCCAGCCAAGCCACCCAGCCAGCCAAGCCAGCCAAGCCAATCAGCCAGCCAGGCAGCCAGCCACCCAGCCAGCCAAGCCAGCCAAGCCACCTAGCCAGCCAGGCCCGCCAGCCAGCCAGCCAGGCAGCCAAGCCAGCCAAGCCAGTCAAGCCCGCCAGCCAGCCAAGACAGGCATGCCAGCCAAGCCAGCCAGGCAGCCAAGCCAGCCAAGCCAGCCAGCCAGCCAAGCCAGGCATGCCAGCCAAGCCATCCAGCTAGCTAAGCCAGCCGGCTAGCCAAGCCAGCCAAGCCACCCGGCCGGCAAAGCCAGCCAAGCCAGCCAGCTAGCCAAGCCACCCAGCCAGCCAGCCAGCCAAACCAGCCAAGCCACCCAGCCAGCCAAGCCACCCAGCCAGCCAAGCCAGCCAAGACAGCCAGGCAGCCAGCCACCCAAGCCAGCCAAGCCAGCCAAGCCGGCCAAACCAGCCAACCAGCCAAGCCAGCCATCCATCCAAGCCAGCCAAGCCAGCCAGGCAGCCAAGCCAGCCAAGCCAGCCAGCCAGCCAAGCCAGCGAAGACACCGAGCCAGCCAAACAAGCCAAGCCACCCAGCCAGCCAAGCCTGCCAAGAGACCCAGCAACCCAAGCCAGCCAAGACACCCAGCCAGCCAAGCTAGCCAAGACACCCAGCCAGCGAAGCCAGCCAGCCAGCCAGCCAGCCAAGCCTGCCAAGCCACCCAGCCAGCCAAGCCAGGCAAACAACCCAGCCAGCCAAGCCAGTCAAGCCACCCAGCCAGCCAAGCCGGCCAAGCCACCCAGCCAGCCAAGCTGGCCAAGCCACTCAGCCAGCCAAGCCAGCCAGCCAGCCAAGCCGGCCAAGCCACTCAGCCAGCCAAGATGGCCAAGCCACCCAGTCAAGCCAGCTAAGCCAGCCAGGCAGCCAAGCCAGCCAAGCCAGCCAAGACCTCCAGCCAGCCAAGAAAGGCATGCCAGCCAAGCCAGCCAGGCAGCCAAGCCAGCCAGCAAGCAAAGCCAGGCATGCCAGCCAAGCCAGCCAGGCAGCCAAGCCAGCCAAGCCAGCCAGCCAGCCAAGCCAGGCATGCCAGCCAAGCCATCCAGCCAGCTAAGCCAGCCGGCTAGCCAAGCCAGCCAAGCCACCCGGCCAGCCAAGCCAGCCAGCCAAGCCAGCCAAGCCAGCCAACCAGTCAAGCCAGTCAGCTAGCCAAGCCAGCCAAGCCACCCGGCCAGCCAAGCCAGCCAGCCAACCCAGCCAAGCCAGCCAACCAGCCAAGACATTCAGCTAGCCAAGCCAGCCAACCAGCCAGCCAGTCAAGCCGGCCAGCCTGCCAGCCAACCAAGCCGGACAGACAGCCAAGGCAGCCAAGCCGGCCAGGCAGCCAAGCCAGCCAAGCCACCGACCCAGCCAAGCCACCCAGCCAGCCAAGACAGCCAAGCCAGCCAAACCAGCCTGCCAGCCAAGCCAGCCAAGCCATCCAGCCTGCCAAGCCAGCTGGCCAGCCAAGCTAGCCAATCCGCTCACCCACTCAAGCCAGCCAAGTCACCCGGCCAGCCAAGCCAGCCAAGCCAGCCAGCCAGCCCAGACAGCCAAGCCAGCCAGCCCAGACAGCCAAGCCAGCCAGCCAGCCAAGCCAGCCAAGCCAGCCAGCCAGCCAAGCCAGCCAAGCCACCCAGCCAGCCCAGACAGCCAGCAAGCCAGCCAGACAGCCAAGCCAGCCAGCCACCCAGCCAGCCAGGACAGCCAGCCACCCAGCCAGCCATCCAGCCAGCCAAGCCAGCCAGCCATCCAGCCAGCCAGGCCAGCCTGCCACCCAGCCAGCCAAGCCAGCCAAGCCAGCCAAGCCAGCCAGCCACCCAGCCAAGCCAGCCACCCAGCAAAGCCAGCCAAGAGACCCAAGCTTTTTCAGCCACCAGCCATCACTATCCTCTTGTTTTCAAACAGGATTGGGATTTGATTATTTCAAACCCTTCATGGGATTGAAACTTTGTCTTAAGTCAGTGACTACTACATTTCCAAGTACTTTCGAGGAGACATATTTTCATGTGTTTTTTTGCATAGCTCTGGATTTCAACTTACACACCCAGAAATGTCACCTTTAGAGGCCCCTTTGTTGAGTACATTTGATCTCAAGTATTCCAGGTCTGGGGATGGATCTAGCTGGAAAATGTTCAGACACTGAAGTTTCTAGAGCCTGAAGATGCTCCCCTATCAGGTACCAGGACCAGCCAGATCTCATTCTCTGACTCTACATAACTTCTGACAAATGAAATGAAGTTTCCGTTTTTGGCCAACCATGGAGCCTGCTCCGTGTCTGATATTCTTCTTTGAAGACTGAGGATGTGACCTGATTGTTCTCTGCCTCCTTTTTCTAGCTACATTTTTTTTTTTAGCTGGTTCTCACACGGGCTTTCCATGGCCTCTCTCTGATTGTGGGGACTGGCCGTTTCCCAGGCACAGCACCTTGGCCTGGGGGAGCCGTGAGAACTGATGAGTGTCTTTTGAAGGAGTCACTGGGCTTCTGCAATGGGAGGATCTTGGTGTGTGGGGAGCGTGGGAACTTTTCCTTTTGTTGGTTCAGGAATGAAATTGTTGTGTAAATGGACCAAGAGACCTAAGGAAAGGGACAGTCCTTTTGGCTGGTGGGTCCTCTCCACTGATAGATCCAAACAACAGAGTGGAAAATGTACCACAAGAAGACTACGCTCGTTGCCTGGAACTCAGTAGCCCCTGTGGCTGGTGTTGGCACTTGCCTTACCAGTGTGAGCCTGGTTTTCCCGATCATTTGGCCTTCCACAATAAGGACAATTTAAGAGATTATTTCTCAATGTTAACTACTTCCTTGATTAATTTTGTGATCTACCTTTCTCCTTTCTGACCAGTAGTAGAATCCATTTATGTTTTCAAGATGTTGCTACTTAGGATACAATTATTTCTAAGAAATACAAGTGACATTGCTTTGTAGAATGGGAACCATGTTCTACAGCCCTGCAAAGACCTGTCCTGAGAGAGCTGGGGGGACGCAGGCTTGGAGGAGGTGAGGGCAGGCACTGAGTGGGTGGAGGGAATCAAACGGCTGCCAGAATAAACATCAGATGGAGCTCCTGGGCTTCTTGAGGGGTAGAATTTCCTCTGAGCTCTCTACAAGACCTCAGCCACAACCATTCATCTACTTAATACATTGAAGCAATTCACATAAAAAGCCAGACAGATTTTTTTCTCTGAATTTAAAACTGGATTTAGAGACTAGATTAATAAATATTGTCTTTGTCATGTGAGTCACTTTGGAGAGAATCATGTCCCCACTGTATGGCAATGCAGCAGATCCTGACCATGCATATTTAGTGTGTCCTTCCTGCTCTCTTGGGCAGACCATCCCATCAGGCTATAGCACGGAGCTCTCACCCATCTCCCTGCTCTGCCATGCACCCTCCTTCTTGCCTGCTCTTTCTTCTCCCTATGGCCAGCCCCTCCAGCCAACATACTTTTTATCTCTCTTTGTTTTGCAAAATCCTTTTCTCCTATCACTTCCATCATAAAACTAGTATTTGGCAAACAATCACATGTCGGCATAAAGCTCTTAAATTGACCTGCTTTAGATTAAAGCACAATATGGGTTTTATAGTTTGCCTCAGGTGACCATTTAAATGTCTTGAATAATGAAATGAAAAACTGGACAGACTAAAATAAGAGTCCTGTCTGCCTGTGACAGTGAAGAATAAGAGTCCTGTCTGCCTGTGACAGTTAAAGAATGATCCCTCATTGCCTCTCACACAGCTGCAGTCAGGGTTCCCACCACCCTTTCTGCTGATTCTGAAATCAGCCCTAGTTCATAAATTATCAGGGAATTTGGTGAGTTTTCTCTTTTAATGTCAGTCTGTTTATTTGACTGGTAGTTTCTGGCCTTAACACATCCCACTAATGTGTTGTTTAGTTGAGCACAATAATAAATAGAACTTTTGTTTACTTTTACATCCAAAGATAAATGTTGAGTGCTATTAAAAACTTTTCTAACATAGTAGGCCTCCAATGAGGAATTTTCCTTCAGCAAATCATAAAACTGGGTCTAGAAGTGCCAACCCAAGTAAAATTACTGATGAACTAATCATAGTTGTTATTTTTCCTTCATCTTTTCCTTTTTTTTTTTAGACAATCTTGCCCTGTCGCCCAGGCTGGAGTGCAGTGGCGTGATCTCGGCTTGCTGCAAGCTCTGCCTCCTGGGTTCACGCCATTCTCCTGCCTCAGCCTCCCGAGTAGCTGGGACTACAGGCGCCCGCCACCATGCCTGGCTAATTTTTTTTGTATTTTTAATAGAGACGGGGTTTCACTGTGTTAGCCAGGATGGTCTCAATCTCCTGACCTCGTGATCCGCCCACCTTGGCTTCCTAAAATGCTGGGATTACAGGTGTGAGCCACTGCGCCCGGCTCCTTCATCTTTTCTATGTGCTTTGTTTGACACTTATTGAGGATACAGTTGCTGAAGACCAGCTGAGTAGGACATAGGCTCTGTCATGCATTAACTCATCCACCCATTCATTTATTCACTCATCTATTGAGCATCTGCTATGTGTCAGGCTCTATGCCAAACTTTCTGTTCAGGAGCCAATATATCAATAACTACAGTGTAAGCTAAGTCATGCAATGAAAGACTTAGAGAATAGACACCAAGTTGAATATTAACCCAAGTAAATTATTGGAAGATATATTAGTTATCTAAAATAGGCTTAAAACAATAAACATTTATTATCACAATTTCTGTAGGTCCAGAATCTGGACATGACTTAGCTTGATGTTTATGGCTCAAGACCTCTTGAGGTTTCAATAAAGGTGTTAGTCAGGGCTGCAGTCTCATCTGAAGGCTCATCTGGTTGGGGGTGGTGTCTGTATCTATGTGGTTATTGGCAGGCCTTGGTCCTCACTACACTGGAACTCTTCAAAGGGTTATCTCATGACACAGAAGCTAGCTTTCCCCAGGGTGAAGAATGTAAAAGAATGTGAGAACTCTTAAGACAGATGCTATAGTCTTTTCTATAACTTAATTTTGGAAGTGATATTCCATCACTTCTGCCATATTCTTTGTTAGAATCAAGTCAGTAAATCCAGCCCAGATTCAAGTGAAAGGATTCCACAAGAGTGTGAGTACCAAGAGGTAGGGATATTGGGAGCCATCTGAGAGGCTGCTTACCACAGAGGGCCAGCCAGTTAGGAAGTGGGTTCAGCTGCTGCTGTTAACAGGCTCGACCTAAGTGGCTTAAACACAGAAGAGTTGTTGTTGTTGTTGTTTTTTCTAATGAGAAATCTGGAGGCAGTCAGTTGCTGGCCTTGGCTCAAAGGCTGAGGGCACTGTGGTTCTTGTAGCCTTTCGCTTATGGCCCTAAGCTGCTGGAACTCTTGCCATCATGTCTGCATTCCAAGCAGCAGAACAACAAGAAAAGAACAGGGGGAGAAGAGAAAGAGGGCACCAGCCCACTGACTATCCTGTTCATCCTGGGAAGTACCACTCAACAAGCTCAACTCTCATTTCCACAGCCATCTCCAGCTGCTCAGGAGTCTGGGAAATGTAATCACATGCACCATTATCCCCAAGTGCACCACTGCCTCCAGCCCCTTTCCACCTTTCAGTTATAGCCATAAACATCCAGTTAGCCATAAACATTCAGCTAATGCATGTGCAGATTCTTGATCTACAGAAATTGTGATAGTAAATATTTATTGTTTTAAGTCTATCTTAGATCACTAACATATCCTCTACTTAACATTTCACTTGGGTTAATATTCAGCTTAGTGTCTATTCTCAAGTTTTCCATTGTATGTCTTCGTTCGCACTCTCCTCATTGAAATATTGGCTCCTGATTAGAATGCTTGAGTACTGTTCTTTTATACCACCAAGCCTGCTCCTCAAGCCGATTTTGTGCCCCGCAAGCCAGCGATGGCTCTATTAATGGTTGTCCTTGTCTTTTATGAGTTCATGTGACTGGGTGGGGGAGATTCAACACCCACCCTCATGCTGCTCACTCTCAAGTAAACAAGTAAGCCAACATTAGAGTCTCAGGGCTATGAATGGGAGCACAGAAATCACAGTGCAACCTCCCAAGTACAGGTCAGGAAGCCTGGTTTAAATATTTGAAAGCAATTTGAGGAAGTTCCCAGTGGGAAATGAACTTGAGAACTAGGTCATTCATATGTCCATTCAACATCTACCTTCTGCTTATCTGGAGTGTGCATGGCACTGCCTGGGGCCACTGCAGTGAATAAGAGAGATGAGAACCCAGGCAACTCCGAGAGACCCAGTCCCACCTGCTTTGCTGGCAGGGGCTTAGGATGCAGTCACTTTCCATTAAAGTCAGAGTCCTGGAGTCCCATCTGCTTTGCTTCTGCATTCCCTACAATGATGAGTGGTTAGGAGTCCAGGTCTCAGAGAAAGACTGTCTAGGTGTGGGTCCCCACCTTGTCACTTCTGTGTCCCCTTGTGTGAGCTGCTGGACATCTCTGGGCCTCAGTTTCCTAATTTATAATGTGGTTGCCTGTCAGAGGATTACATGAGAAGATGCATATTGCTTAGCGTAGTGCCAAGGGCATAGTAATAGCCCAACACTTATTAACCACGTTGATGATGGCTATGGAGATGATGGTGATGATGACAATGATGTTGATGATGACAATGGTGATGATTATGATTCAGTTTCTATTCTAAGATGTGGTTACAGTTTCCTAACTTTGGGAGATATGCCTATCTGTATATATCACGGCATAGTCTCTTTCTCTTATTGTAGAGAAAACACCTTCACATTATAGATGCACCGCTTGGCCTTCCTATCTCTCAGTGTAGAGGAGACTCTGGAATTCCTCTTGACTGGTCCAGATGCCCACAAAATTCTACAGACAAGCAGCACCAAACTTAAGAGCATACATGTGATCCAAAATATTCTTTTAAAGTCAAAGCTGTCATTGCATTTTTCCAGAAATAAAATGATAAAAACTGTGCACAGGACTGCTTATCATACTTAACTCTTAACACAGCTGACCTTTAAATGGCATTAAGAGTACCAACCTGAGTTCTGGGTCCTAGGAACCAGGAGGAGATAAAAGATTAAGAAATAGGGAAGGAGAGCCCGGGTGTGGTGGCTCACGCCTGTAATCCCAGCACTTTGGGAGGCTGAGGCGGGTGCATCACCTGAGGTCAGGAGTTCGAGACTAGCTGGCCAACATGGTGAAACCCTGTCTCTACTAAAAATACAAAAATTAGCTGTTCTGCAGACTTGGGTCTAGAGGTGATCAGTTTTTCCCCAGCCAAAGCCCAAGGGCAGCCTTGCTCCTCTCTCCCTCCCCTGGCTTATGTTCCCCTGTGTATGACTGTGTCCCTCCAGCCCATGACCTATAGAGAATGCAGACCATCTCTCTGCCAGTGTTGGAGACCAGATCCCATGGAAGGGCACTCATGTCCAGCCTGGGGCCCCCTGCCTTGGCAGACACTACTAGTTGACATAATCCAGCTACTTGGGAGGCTGGGACAGGAGAATTGCTTGAACCCAGGAGTCAGAGGTTGCAGTGAGCTGAGATTGCACTGCTGCACTCCAGCCTGAGTGACAGAGTGAGACTCTGTCTCAAAAAAAAAAAGAAAAAAAAAAAAAGAGAAAGAAACAGGGAAGGAAAAATGACTGGAAGAAGATGAATATGCTGAGCCACATTCTGAGATTGAGAAGTCTATCTATGATCACTTGCACCTCTTCTCTTCTGGGTAGTGTCTACTTCCCCACGTCCCTCTGCCATTCTTTTGCTGAAGCCATGCCCACCTTACCATGGGGTGCAGGGCAGTGAAGAAGCAGCAAGCTGCGAAGGCTGAGCCATACCTGGAAAGAGTGACTGCTAAGTGCGTGTGTCCCTGGAGGCATTTGTTCCTTCACAAGGAAATGGTTGTGAACTCAAACTGGGTTCTAATTGTCAACATTCAAGGGAGTTGGCAAAAAGAGTCATTATTCAATAAACTATACCAAATACTACAGTATGTGCCTGGCATGTTGTAGATGCTGGAGACACAGGAGTGAACAAATAAGCAAAGCCCCTGCCCTGTCACTGCATTTCTGCAGAAAAGATGTTTTGCTTCAGGGAAGCCAAATCGCTCACCAGGAGCCTGGCCCCGAGTCCACTCTTGGGGTCAACACCCAGGGCTGCCCAGTGGGCTGTGTCTGCTGTCCCCCCGGTCCTAGCCCACAGGCTTTTTGAAATCTCCAGTGTGCTCGCCATGAGGAAAGCAGGGGTGAAGTCTGCTGGGCAGCCTTTGTCATGTCTGTGATTAAGGACGACTCTTTTCTGGAAATTAAAATGAGCAGTCCTGCTATCTCACCGTACAATCACTGGCATAGTTTACTTTTTTATTCTGTGTCTGGATTTTCCCCCTGGGGCTGCAGCAGTAAGCCTGCTTCCTTGGTTCAAAGCCAGTGTGTGTTTCTGCAAGAAAGAACTTCTGGATCAGCAGGGCCCCTTAACAGGCTGCAAGCTGGCTCTTGAGAGGGAGCAGGCAGCCAAACAATATTTGGCCTGTCCTTCCCCTCCATGCCAGCCTTAGTTCTGGTTCCTGCTCAGTAGGCAAGGGGCAGCCCAGGACTTCAGAGGGAACCTGATAACTTGTCTTTGTGTGATTAAGGCTGGGTAGCAGAGCCCACTGAGAACCAGCTATGCTTCACCATAAAAATAGAACTTAGCTCTGGGTACCAGGGAGTTTTAATAATGTGGAAAAATGCTTATGTTGTCATGTTAAGTGAAATAAAGTAGAGTCCTAAGCAATGTATACAGTGTAACTACAACTCTGTAAACAGAGAGAGAGCAGAAGGAAATATAGGAAAATATTAATAGTGTGTGGCTTTGGAAGGTGGGATTAATATGCTCTACTTGGCTGGGCACAGTGGCTCATGCCTGTAATCCCAGCACTTTGGGAGGCTGAGGTGGGTGGATCAAGAGGTCAGGAGTTCGAGACCAGCCTGGCCAACATGGTGAAACCCCGTCTCTACTAAAAATACAAAAATAAGCCAGGTGTGGTGGCATGCACCTGTAGTCCCAGCTACTTGGGAGGCTGAAGCAGAAGAATCACTTGAACCCGGGAGGCAGAGATTGCAGTGAGCCAAGATCATGCCATTGCACTCCAGCCTGGGTGACAGATGAGACTGTCTCAAAAAAAAAAAAAAAAAAATACGCTCTACTCTTCTAATTTTCTAGGTTATCCCCAGGCAGCATTTATAACTTTTATAATCATACAAAAATAAACTTTATATTAAAATATACATATTTTGCATATTTTAATACTTTTCCCCAGCTTTAAGAATATCTGATAAAAGAAATTTATGTTACTCTAACGAGCAGCTGCTATCTTGGTTAATTCATATTTTTTCACAATTAATAATATAAACATTAAACAGAAACTGGTGGGAGCAATTGTCCATTGGGTAATCAGTGGGCGAAACTGCCCATGAAATGAAAGCAAAACAAAAAACAATATGAAAATAAAAACAAAAAATCCACAAACTACATCAGAAATGAATTTCCTCTTTGGGACATGCTGAAAAATATCCTGGGTAAAATCAAGGTATTTTGCAATTATTTTTCAAGTAAATATTGTACAGAGGGACGCAGTGATCAATGCTGCTTTCCTTTACTGCTTTGCAGGCCTGTCTAGAAACTTTAGTGGCCAGAGAGGCGGCCTGCAGGCTCAGGGATAACTGTCTTGCCAACAAGGAACTTGTTAAGTTCCTTGTTGCAGTTTCCTACTATGAAAATGTGGGGTAGTTTTGTGGGAAACTGTTAGTTCCCTAGTCAATTTCTGAAAGATCTAAGAGAATAAGGAAGTTCACCAAATCGCAAATTACGGTGGGGTTACAGCCACACTGCAGATTTTTACAATGTGGTACCCAGAGTTGATTAGGATGGGGCCCACTGTATCAATTACACTTAACGGTTCGTTGCATATAGCAGAAACCTACAATAACAAAGGCTCGAATACAAGACATTTTATTGTTTCACATAAAAGAAATCCAGAGGATAATGGGTCTGGGGTTACCTGGCCACTGCTCATCCCTGCTAACTCAGGCTCCTTCGACCTCTTCACCCTGCCTCTCCCCAGTGGTGGCCACCCCCAGCTGCAAGGGCGATAACACACGTGGAGTTGTTCTAGGAAGAATTATTTTGTGCCCAGCTGAAAATCAGGGGCTTGATTATCAGGGAAGGGGGAGAACACATGTGGGGTTAGGCAATCAGCAGTCACTGCCGTGGCCATGACTGGAGCATGTCGAATGTTCTGAGGCCTCCAGGGGGTGCATGGCAGTCTCTCAGTAGTGTGCAACTTGGCCTTTCTCGACCCAGAAGCCTATAAACAGATAATAAAGCAATAAATTAGCTGCCACACACAGCTCGGTACCCTACAGTAGAACAGGGGCAGGATAATAGCAACAGCACCACCATTCCAAGAGGAGCAGACAGGAGGCACACAGGGGCCCCTGCCTAGCAATAAACCTTCTGAGCATGCAGTGGGAGGCCTTTCCCCCTGGTTTTCTGGTTTATCCCTGGGGAACCTCTCTACTCACTGTCCTCTGGGGCCCCTAGCTTGTGCTCAGAGAGACCCTCTGGTCTCTCACTCTGGATAGCTGTGTATGATATGGGATTAGGGACATGCCCTTAGTGGGGTCTGCACAGCTCCTCCTTCCCACTTGCTGCTGCTGAAGGTTGGAGGTTCCACAGTTGAATAGTCGAATGCCTTTAAAAAAATTGAGATGTCGTGGGGCACAGTGGTTCACGCCTGTAGTCCTAGCACTTTGGGAGGCTGAGGCCGGAGGATCCCTTGAGCCCAGGAGTTTGAGACCAGCCTGGACCATGCAGTGAGACCTCAGCTCTACAAAAAAATAAAACAATTAGCTGGATGTGGTGGTACGTGCCTGTAGTCCCAGCTACTCAGGAGGCTGAGGTGGGAGGATTGCTTTAGCCCAGGAGGTCGAGGCTGCGGTGAGTCATGAACTCACCACTGCACTCCAGCCTGGGTAACAGAACCAAACACTGTCTCCGAAAGAAAAAAAGAAAAAAAAGGGAGGGCGGTGAAATTCAGGTAACATAAAATTACCATTTAAAAATGAACAAATTCAGTGGCATTTAGGACAACCACAACATCGTACAACCACCACTTCTGTCTGGTTCCAGAACATTTTCCTCACCCCAAAAGGAAACCTTGTACTCATTAAGCAATTATTCTCATTCCCACCTCCCCCCCCAGCCCCTGACAACCGCTAAACTACTTTCTATCTGAATGGACTTGCCTATTCTGAATATTTCATATCAATGGAATCATGTAGTGTGTGTCCACTTTGCATAATGTATTCAAGGCTTGTCCATGTTGAAGCATGTATTAATATTTCATTCTTTTTATGGCTGAATAATATTCCAATTTATCCATAAAATATATTTTTAACTCATGGTTTCTTTGACAATTCAGGATCCACAAAAACACAGTCAGCTTCTGACCTAGTTGCTTCTCATCAGCTCCCTGGCTGCAGTCACACTGAATTCTTGCCAAGACCTATGCCTCAGACCTGCTTTATTGCTTTTCTTTTGTGCCCCTTCCCTCACTCTCATTTGATGGAATGGTGGCTACCTTGACTCTTCCCGGAACACCATATGGCAAACGCCAGTCCTTTCCCTTCATCTCATTCTGAGCCGCTTCAGACCTTGACCACTCAAAGGCCAGCACAGTCTCATCTCTAATATTTGGGCTTTATAAGCAGTCGACTTTTCTGACTTTGCAAAGCCCTGAATTTCTGAACTCTATTCCTTTCCTAAGAACAACAATTCCGTTGACTTCTAAACAGCATTGGTTGCATCACCAAGGGGAAAAAAATAAACCAAAAAAACCCAAAAAACCCAAAAACCCCAAACCTCTGCCAGTTAAACCATGTCATGCCGTATAAAGCAAGTGCCATTACAATGTGAAAAAGAAATATGCACCGCAGAGTTGACGACGTGCAGTAAAACAGTACCGATATGAATGGCTGACATTAGTTGAGGTTCTACGCTGTGTCAGGCATTGTGAATCTTTTGAGAGAGATGTCAGAATTGTTATCTTTCTTTTACAGAGGAGGCAGTGGAGGCAGAGTGAGGTTCACACCCAGCAACCCTCACTCAGAAGGCTTCTGCTTGGGTAGAGCTTGCATTGGCCAAACCTCATCCACTTGCCATTCATTCAGTCATTCAGTGACAAGTGTTTATGGTCACCTGTGGGAGTGTGTGTGTGGGAAGGGTGGAAAATTTCCCTCTTGGTGTTTTCAATTTAGTGGAGGAGTAAAGCCTTGCAGCAAAATATGAAAGATCATTCAAACATTAGGGACTCAAGTGAACGCAAAGGAGTTGGGGAAAGTTCCGCTTAGGAAGTGACATTTGAATCTGGTCTTCAAGACGAAGAAGGAATTTGCTTGGAGAGAGGGGCTGGAGGAGAAATGAGCAGGCTGGGGGTGGGGGGAGCACAGGTGTAGGCAGGGAGAAAAGAAAAGGGGCTTTTGGTTTGAGACCCTGCGAGGAGGCAGCATGGAGGAAGGGGCTGCAGGGAGCTTTGGGGTTGGGGAGAGGATGCAGCTGGAGGAGTCCCTGATGTCACTTGGGTATTATTAATGTCAATAATCAGCTTATATAGAATGACCTTCTCACTAGAATAAACAGTCATAACTGTGGTGCTTTAATCAACATGACAGCATTGGAGAATCTACTCAAACTCACTTGGGTCTAGAGGGGATCAGTTTTTCCCCAGCCAAAGCCCAAGGGCAGCCTTGCTCCTCTCTCCCTCCCCTGGCTCATGTTCCTCTGTGTACAACTGTGTCCCTCCAGCCCATGACCTATAGAGAATGCAGACCACCCCTCTGCCAGTGTTGGAGACCAGATCCCATGGAAGGGCACTCATGTCCAGCCTGGGGCCCCCTGCCTTGGCAGACACTACTACTTGACAACAGATACCCCTCTCCCCTTCTTGCTTAATTTAAAAAAATTCTATTTCAGATGGCATTGTGTCAGTTGAAAGATCACATTTTCTAGACTAGTCTGCAGCTAGGTGAGCCCAGGTGATCTAGTTCCATATGTGGAACCATTATGTGGAATTTTCAGTAGGCTCCGTCACGGTGGGAAGAGATGGCGTTACACATTTTTCTGTCGTCCCTCACTTCCTCCTACTGTCAATATGGGGAATACGGACTTGCTGGCTGGAGTGCCAGCAGGCATCCTGGGCTGTGAAGCCACTTTGAAGATGAAAGCCAGGCTCTGGGATGGTGGATCAGGAAGACAGGGGCCCAATTTCCTAGCAATGCTTTGGGGCTGCACCCTTGGCCTGTGCTTCCTATGCCAGGCTACTTTTACATGAAAGAGAAAAAGAAGTCCTGACTTAATGCATTGCTGTATTTTTCCAGAAATGTGCAGCCAGACCTAATGATAGGTGGTTTAGGGTGGGAAGCAGAGTAAGATGACAGAACTTTAGGACCACATGAAGGGAAGGAGAGGGTCCCCCAGGAAAGGGTGCAGTTTGTTAGACAGAACAATAGCATATCCGTTACAAAGAGCTGCCATTTGCTGGGCGCTAAGGGCCTGGCCCTCTGTGAACCTCACCATCTGCATCATCTCACTTCATCCTCACCAGGGTGGGGGCATGAGGACTCTCTCATGACCAGGGCTATTCTCAATTTACAAATGAGGAAACAAAGGCTCAGGAAGGGCTCTTTCTCAAGGCCACTGAGTTGGGAGCTACGTTCCACTCTGGGTCTGTTTGTTTCAGGGACAAACCTTGAAGCCACACAAGGGCCCCGAGAAACTGTGCAGATGTGAAACCCAGAGTGGCCCGATCAGATCTATGACTTTGTGTCATCACAAAAGTGAAAGAAGCAGTTCACAGAAGGAGTGGAGTGTGCAGGTCAGAGGCAGGAAGGACAGGCAGACACTGTGATGATGATAGGCTGTGAAGAGGTGGGCGATGCCTGGGATGGGAGGGACTGTGTTGGACCCAGTGCTGACCTGAGAACCTCCTCTCAGGCCCTCAGTCAGGCTGGCCCCTGTTAGACATGAGATTTGACTCACTGGTTCCCATTAACAGCCACTAGAGATGAATGCACTCTATCAAGTCCATGTCTGATTAAATTCAACAACTCAGGAGTAGTGGTCAGGAAGTGTGCTGATTTTTTTTCAATACAGGTAAAGTTTTTAATTATGAACTTTTCAGAGGGCAAACTCAGATTGCTTAGGGTGTATTTGTCCTTGTAGTGTTTTTGAGGGAGTCATTAGGGGCATGGAATAATTAAGTGAAAATTAAGAAGCTATGAAAGAATCACTCAGCTAAGAAACAAGATGGTAGATCAGGCTCCGTCTGATCTCTTGGCAGTATGCATTAGACCAAAGGGTTATTTAGGTGTCAAGGATTTTGTTTTGCCAGTTATCAAGCCTAAGAAACTTCCCAGTTACATCAAATCAAGCAAAATGATGAAGGCTATCATCCACCCTTGCTTACAACAAAAAGAAACCACTTATAAGTTCTTCCCGTTAGCCAAAACTGAAGAATTTAAACTGCCTTGGCTCTTAATAATAGTTTTACTTTATGGTTTTCTTGCTAGTATTTCAAATACATAGTCTGTCTTCACCAAACTAGAAATAGTTGATACCAAGAAAAACGTGTTTGCCCGGACTGAATGATGTCATTGCACACTCACGGACCATGCACTCTTTAGCAGCACCCATCTAATTCCATGCTGACCTGCCTTCTCCATTTGTAGGATAACTGCAATACTCAGAAGCCGGCTGGTGGATCCCAGGCCTCTATCATTCAATTGCCATCACTGTACTTGGTGGGGCCTCAAAGGATGCTCCAGATCCCATTTTCCTGCTTCTCTTTTTGAAAGCATTGTCTATGGGTGCTGCACCCACTCCCTGCAGCCAAGCTCCTGTGCCTCACTCATGGAGGCTGCCGGGGCCATCTCCCTGGTCACCATGGCCTCCATGTGGCCAGGTCAGTGCATCCTGCTCTGCTCCTGTCTGACTTGACCTCTCAGCAGTGCTGGCAGGTGGACCTCTCCTGCCTTCTTGATACGCTCACTCCTTGGCTTCTGAGCGGTGATTTTCTTGGTGTTCTTCCAACCTCACCCTCACTGGCTGAGGGTGCTGGGTTCCCTTCTCATCTTTCTCCACATATTCTCTCTCTCTCTCTCATCCAGGCCAGGTCTTTAATTCCATCTGTAGAACATTAACTCTTGAATCTGCCTCTAATATTGACTTTTCCCAAGAATTCTAAGCCTACTCAACATCTCCACATGGATATCTGATAGGCACGTCCAAATTAAGATGGCCAAAACCAAATCTGGGATTTCACACCACCCATCTCTGTAAGTGGCACTCCTCAGTTACTCAAACCAAAAATCGAAGGATTATGCTTGATTCATCTCTCTCCATCACTGCCCTCGAACCCAATCCATCCAACAACTCTATCTCCAAAACATTACTCAAACAGGTCCTCATCTTTCTGTCTCTGTTACACTCATCAGACCCCAAGGGGACCCACTGATCTCCCTTGGTTCCACTTGGTCCTACACAAGGGCTTCACACTTAGCAGTAAGAGTTATCCTCAGAGGCTGGGCATGGTGGCACATGCCTGTAATTCCCGCACTTTGGGAGGCTGAGGCAGCTGGATTTCTTGAGCTCAGAAGTTCAAGACCAGACTGGGCAACATAGTGAAACTCTGTCTCTATAAAAACTACAAAAATTAGCCAGCAGTGGTGGTGTGCATCTGTAGTTCCAGCTATTTGGGAGACTGAGGTGTGAGGATCACTTGAGCCCAGGAGATTGAGGCTGCAGTGAGCCATGATCACGTCACTGAACTCCAGCCCGCAACAGAGCGAGACCCTGTCCAAAAAAAAAAAAAAAGAAAAAAAAGAAAAGAAAAAAAGAAAAAGTTGTCCTCAGAAAATTCAAGTCAGATCATGTCACTCTCCTGTTTAAAAGCCTCCAGTGTCTCCTCATCACACCTGGCACAAAATTCAAGCTCCTTCCTTGCCACCTTCTCCAGCCCCATCCCATCTTCTCTTGCTGTTGCTTACTAAGCAGCAGCCATCCTGGGGACTCTTACTTGTTCCTTTGTGTCTTGGGGTCTTGGCGACAGCTGCTCTCTTGTCCTGGAATGCTGCTGACTGGCTCCTGGACATCATTCAGATCTCAGCTTAAATGGCACCTCTCCAGAGTGACCTTCCTAGATGACCTGCCCATCTCAAGTATTTCCCTCCTACCCTATGCTAATTTTTTGCACTGTTCAATTCACTAGCTTGTACTTTTCTCATGTACTTATTTTCTGTCTCACCCTCCTAGAATATAAGCTTCACGAGAACAGGGATCTTTTGTGCCTTCTTCTTGCTGTGTCCCAGGACCTGAGTTGGAGCTTGGCATCTGGTGTGTATTCATTAAAGATTAGTTGAATGGTTGAGTCCCAAACTTACTGTCTTTTGCTCCATGTGTTCTGATATCTTCTTTATTATGGTCTGCTTTGTTGAGTAATGTGTTATGATCATCGAGATTTACTCATAGGCACTGAGTTTCAAAAGATGATGCATATTTAGTGTATGATTCATTTATTTAAAATTCTAGACTTTTGACTGCAGCCTGTGACTCAAATACTGTATTGGTGGAAAAACTTTCAAATCATCAACCACACGTATTTGGGTTTTACCAGCTCCATGGCACATACGAAAAATAGCCAGTACTTAGAGATTGTTCTTATTATCATCCTAGACATTTGTGGATATTAATTTTTAATTCTTATATAACCCTATGAGTATGAAACTCTTATCCCCATTTTGTAAATTGGCTGAATGTGTCAGTTCTCTAATGCTGTGTAACAAATTCCTGCAAATGGAGTGACATTAAAACAAACCCCATCTATGAGTTCACAGTTCTGTGGGGCAGAAGTCTGGGCAGACTCCACTGGGTTCTCTGCTCAGGGTCACACAAACCAAAATCAAGATGTCAAAGGGGTTGGGTTCATGTCTGGAGGCTTTAGGGGAAAATTGACTTGCAAGCTCATCGGAGTTGTTGGTGGAATCCAATTCCTTCTGGCTATAACCTAGAGGTATCTGTTTTACTGCTGGCTGTCAGCTGGGGGTTGCTCTTAGTGCTTAAAGACCTCCCGAATTCCTGACACGTGACCTTCTCCTGCTTTGCGTCTCTGACTTCCTCTTCTGCTTTCAGCCAGAGAAAACGCGCTGCAATTTTTTTTTTTTTTTTTTGAGACAAGGTCTCATTCTGTCACCCATGCTGGAGTGCAATGGCATGATCACAGCTCACTGCAGCCTCTCTGAGTAGCTGGGACTACAGGCATGCACCACCATGTCTGGCTAAATTTTTAATTTTTTTTATAGGTAAGGTCTCACCATGTTGCTAGCTGGTCTTGAGCTCCTAGATTCAAGTGATTCTTCCGCCTCAGGCTTCCAAAGTGTTGGGATTTCTGGTGTGAGCCACCACGCCTGGCCAATGCCTTGCTTTTAAAGGGCTCACCTGACTGGGTCAGGCCTACTCATCTATTCTCCTTATTTTGTGGTCAGTTAACTTGGACTTTATTATACTTACAAAATCCTCTTGCAGTATTACCTATTATTAGTGTTTGACTGAAAAAGCAGAGACAGGAATCTTGGGGAAGTATCTTTAGAATTCTGCCCACTGCCCTGAGGTTCAAAGAAGTTAGGTGATTTATCCAAGGTCATACAACCAGCAGTGGAAACCAGATTCAAATCAAGGCATTCTGGCCCCCAGAGTCTATGACCTTGAATAATACCCTGCAGTGTGATGAGAATCCAGTGCTGCATTGGAAATTCTGCTGGGCAGATTTTCTGACAATCTGATGTAGCCATGCAGGTGAGACGCACTGGGCTACTTTGTTCATAAGGACCGGAACTATCCATGGTGCCTTGTCTCCTCACTCCCATCACCTCCGATGTAACCGAAGACAGACATGACCAAAGAAGTCAGGACTCTGCTTTTCAATGGATTGAACCCACGGATGCTGCACCATTTTCCACGAGTCAGCAGCACCATTTCCAGGTTTTTGCTGCCCCCAGAACTTGGTTACCCCTCAAATCCTTTCATCATCAGCATGAGTGAAATCAATGTGACTCCCATTAACAAGAATATTATTATTGTGCACATGAGAATTAAGCCCAAAATGCAATCTGTGCTCACACAGGTTTGATGATGGATGGATGCAGTGGTGTGCTGGCAGTGACTTGTTCTGGGTTTTGGAACTAATTTGTTCATCTCTGCCCAACTCACTTTCAGTGAGAGCATGCTGGTAGTTTGCAATTGGCAATTGGGGAGAATTTACACTAGAGAAATCAGCAAACACTACAAATCAGGGTTTGCTTTATTCATTTATATTTGAAGATGTGATTGCTAAACATTTGCCAGCACACCTCTGGATGGATGGATGGTAGATGGAAGCGGTGAGAGCCAAGAGAGCTTGGGGATTCCAGCTTTCATAACCAGAAGCATGGACATTCTTGGAATGCTTATGGGGGTGTGGAGGGAGGACCCCCAGCATCAGCCCAGGAGAATGAGTCTTGTGAGCTGGGAGATGAAGTCTCTAAATAAGTGAGAAGGGAGGTGATTTGAGCTAGGAATCTTGGCAAATAGCCCCAGGGCAGAGGCAGAGGGGAGGAGAAAAAAGAACCATCAGAGCCAGGAAGATCAGTGGAAAACTGGAGGCCTCACAGAAAGCAAGGGCCTTGCTTGAGCAGAATGATGCCTCTTGAGTTTCTTAAAAAGGAAAAGGTAGGGGTAAGGGGCTGTTTAATCTATTAATACTTCAGCCCACTCTCAGCACCCAAATAATAGGGTGGGTGCATCAAATCTTGGTAGCCATATACATAAGAATACTTGTAGGGGTTGTTTAATTTAGGGCCTTATAAAGACAATAAAATGACTTATTGAGAATCACTAAACCAACACCCAAGTATTTAATGAAAATACTTTTTAGCTCATATAGCTTGAGACACCAAACTATGACTATGTAAATAGCTATACCATGTTTATAGATTGGAAGACTTAATGTAGTAAAGAAGTAGATTCTACACAAATTCATTGATAGGTTTACTGCAGTTCCTTTCAAAATCCAAGGGGGGGACATTTTGTAGATACAAATGAACTGATACTAGAATTTATATAGAAAAAAACCAAGAATAGCCAAAATAATTTTGAAAAAAGAAGAATAAAGTTGGAGGAAACATACTACCTGATTTTAAGATTTAACATATAGCTGTATTAATCAAGATTGTGGTGTTGGGAAAGGAATAGACTGGTAGATTAATGGAACAGAATTGAAAGTCCAAATATAAATGCACATAATATGGCCAAGTGATTTCTTTTTTTTTTAGACGGAGTCTTACTCTGTCGCCCAGGTTGGAGCGCAATGGTACAATCTCGGCTCACTGAAACCTCCCTCTTCCAAGTTCAAGCAATTCTCCTGCCTTGGCCTCCCGAGTAGCTGGGACTACAGGCGTGCACCACCATGCCTGTGTAATTTTTTCTGTTTTAGTAGAGATGGGGTTTCACCATGTTGCCCAGGCTGGTCTCAAACTCCTGACCTCAGGTGATCTGCTTGTCTTGGCCTCCCAAAGTGCTAGGATTACAGGCGTAAGCCACCATGCCCAGCCAGCCAAGTGATTTTTTTTACAAAGTCCCAAAAACAATTCAATGGAGGAAAGATAGACTTTTTAACAAATGGTGTTTTATTGGATATCCTCAGTCAGAAAACTCCTCAATCTAAACCTCACATATTGTGAAAAATTAACTTAGAATTGATAATATGCCTAAATATAAAATGTAAAACTCTAAAACTTTTAGAATAAAACAGGAGAAAAATCTTCATTACTAGAGTTAGGCAAATATTCCTTAGAAGACCTAAAGCACTATCCATAAAAAAAAGATAACATCAACTGGATTTCATCAAAATACTTTTATTCTGCAAAATATATTGTTAAAGAGGATGAAAAGACCAGATATAGACTGGGAGAAAATATTTGCAAATTACATATTTGATCTAAAAAGTTGTACCTAGAATGTATAAAGGTGGCTCTAAACTCAACAGTAAGAAAACAAAGAATCCGATTAAAAAGTGGAGAAAAGAATGAGCACACGGAAAGATGCTCAGCATCATTAGTCATTAGGGACATGCAAATTAAAGCTATGAGGAGACACCATGACTCACATGTTAGAGCAGCTAAACTAAAAATACTGACAATACCAGCAGGGGAAAGGATGAGGATCAACTGGTCTCTCATGCATACATTGCTGGCGGAAATGCAAAATGGATTGTATGGTCACTTTGGAGAAAGTTTGACAGTTTCTTATAAGGGTAAGCATACAGTTACCATATCACCCAGCAGTAAATTAACTATTTACTTTAGACAAAAGAAAAACTTACATCCATACAAAAACATGTACACAGATGTTTACAGCAGTTGTGTTTGTCACAGCCAATGTGGAAAACAAAACAAATTTCCCTCAACAGGTGAATGGATGAACAACCTATGGTATATCCATAAAATGGAATAGTTCTCAGACATCAAAATAAATAAAATCCCACAACATCACCAAAGGAGACTTTAGTTTCATCTGTAATGTTTTAAGGTTTTAAGTAGACAGACTATTTTCATGTTCTATTTGTTGTTGAATTTTTAAAATTGATGTTTCTTTTATTACAAAGTATGAAAACTACAAGAGCATATCTCTGTGCCTGGTCAATGTCCTGTCATGTAGATAGATTCTCCCTCACCATAGCCAAACCCTCTCTTTGAGCAGTAGGTTCTAGCCTTCTTTCTACCCCACCAAATTCCTTCTCATTCTCTCTTGCATCATCAATTTTTCTCTTTCTACCAAATTATTTCTATCAACAAGTACACGGATGGGCTATTATTTTTCCCATCTTAACAAATAAGGAAATCTCTCTTGACCTCATTTCCCCCTCCAGCTATAGCTTTATTTCTAGAAAGCAGTGTCTGTTCTGTCTTCAATTTCTTTCCCCTTTCTCTCCTCACTCAATTCAGAGTTTCACCCCCTCTTCCCCAGCAAATCCTTTTTTTTGCCAAATCCATGTATACTTTTCTGTCTCCACCTTACATGACCTTTCAGCAGTGATTATGCAGGTGATCAGTCTCTCCTCCTTGAAGCACCTTCTTCACTTGCCCTTGAAGGTCCTACACTCTCCAGGCTTCCCTTCCACCTCACCAGCCCTTACTTCCCCCACTCCCATCTTTGCTGGCTCCTCCTCACTCCCTGACCTCTTAAAGCTGCAGGGCAGGGCTCAGTTCTTGCTTTCTTTTTCTACGTTCATTTCTGTGGTGAACTCATGCAATTCCCTAACTTTACAGACTACATTAGATCCAATTTAAGATGTCCTCAATTATAAGATGCACCATTAAGTTAAAGTTCCACTAAGGAAGAAGAAAGCACTGCCAATTAAACTCTTTTCAAACTCTTTTTTTTTTTTTTTTTGATATGGCTCTGTCACCCAGGCTGGAGTGCAGTGACAGTCTTGGGTCACTGCAACCTCCACCTCTCAGGTTCAAGCGATTCTCCTGCCTCAGCCTCCCCAGTAGCTGGGATTACAGGTACTCACCACCATGCCCGGCAAATATTTGTATTTTTAAGTAGAGACAGGGTTTCACCATGTTGGCCAGGCTGGTCTCGATCACCTGACCTTGTGATCCACCCACCTTGGCCTCCCAAAGTGCTGAGATTACAGGTGTGAGCCACTGAGCCCAGCTGCCAATCAAACTCTTACATCCTATCATCCCAATTTCAGATGTCTCTTTGTTCTCAGAGTCCCTAAACTGCTCTGGAGTGAGTGATGATGCTTCTCCTTCCCAGCACCCCTCTTGGGGAACAGGGTTCGCACCCTTCCTTCTATCTCTTTCCTTCTAACTCTCTTCATCACCCAGCCTGTGGAATCCTTATATGAGCTTGGGATGGTATCGCCTGTTTCTACACCTAGCTTTGCCACATATGGTTGGGCACATCACAACTTGTATGGATTTACTCCATTGGGTTGTGCAGTATATAACCTGTACAACTATACATTGTTGCCTGACTTCACCCATTCCTCCAAGGTTTTTTATTTTTCTCTTTATAATACTGTCTTAGTCTATTTTTTGTTGCTGTAACTGAACACCTGAGGCTGACTAGTTTATAAAGAAGATAAATTTATTTTTAGCAATTCTGGAGTCTGGGAAGTCCAAGGTTGAGGGGCTGCAACTGGTGAGGGGCTTCTTACTGGTAGGGACTCTCTGCAGAGTCCTGAGATGGCTCAGGGCAACACACGGTGAGAGGACCCACCAGAGACGGCCAAAGTGGCTTTCATATGAGACCCACTTTTGTGATAACCCATTAATCCATTAATTTATGAATGGGTCCATTCATGAGAGCAGAGCCCTCATGACCCAATCATCTCCGAAAGGCCCCACCTCTCATATTGCTCCATTGGGATCCAAGTTTCCAACACATCAACTTCTGAGGAACACATTTAAACTACAGCAAATACCTTGTCCTGAACTTTTGAAACTTTAAAGCAAGAAGGAGACTCTTTAGTTCTGTGCATTCTTCCCTGTTATTTCTTGCCTGAGGCAATCGCTGTAGCCTTGGGGTTTTTGCTCCAGTTGGGCACCCCTGAGCTTACCACGGTGGCTAGAAAAAACATGCCCTCACTGACATAGGCCTGGGAGCCCATCTAGGAGCCATTCACAGTGGCAAGGGGTGGCCCTTATTTTGCATAGCCAATGAGAAGACTCCCCTGGCTATGAGGGTGGAGTCCATCTTAACCAAATGTCAAGGTTGCTGCCAAGGGAGGAGGAATGGAATGAATGTGGGGGAACCCATTGGGTCTACTCCACAGTGTCAAAGGCAGGGATAGTATTACTGGGATGAAAGAGACTTGAGCCTGTGTTTAGGTCTACAGACAGGAAGCGATTAAAGACGTTGGAGGAAAGAGCCTAAATTTGGTTAGGAGCAAAATCCTAGAGAACAAATGAGGTGTACGGGGGAGGGTCTAGATTTGAAATGAAGGCATGAAACTTCTCCTGGATGGAGGATGATGAAGAGACCTGCTTTGAAGGTGTAAGCGAAGGAAGGGATGTGAGGGCCTCTAACAGTCTTGTGTCCTCCAGGTAGGAGGAGCAGCGCAGCTGGAGATATTGGTAGTGTGGACAGCTTCATGGTACTTTCTGGGAAGTGTCCAATGTGTAATTTTAATTGGCTCTTTTCATTAAATAGAATTGATATTATTTTAAGAGACAGATCACTTGAAAATTAGGATTTTGATTCACTTCTCAAATGAAGAGAAAGTGCCTTTGCCTCATGTATGTGTGCAGAATTTGGGAGAATACATCATGAGCTCAGGGAATGTGTATGCGAAGATGTTTGAAAAGTCACTTGTGGGAATTTGCCTGGCTTGGTGGTTAGGAATGTGGACTCTGAAGCCAGGAGGCCTGGGCTCACATCCAGGCTTTGCAGCCTTGGGCAGGCTCCTGAACACCTCTGTTTCTTTGCTAAACAGTGGGCAGGATATCACTATTTTTGGTATAGACCTACTGGAAGGATCAGAAGACTTAATACCTGTGTGTGTTTTGGAGAGTTATTGGCACATATTAGATAGTTTTACTGTGAATCATCATTATTTATAATAATTCTCTGACATGCTGGAATGTACACTGTCTTTAGAAATGAAATTTGTTTTGTTTTCCTAATTTCGTGCAACCTACATTTTTCCAGTGCTATTTTCTTTGGGGAAAGAGCATGCAGATGTTCCGTGTTTTCAATGTAGCGGTGTATAAAATGTCATCATTGTTTCCTTTCTGGTGGAATATTAAGAGCCAGCTTAAAGATAATCTACTCCCAGAAAGTTCCATATTAGCAATTATGTGGGGCTGGTGCTCATATGCCTCAATGAATGATTTATTTATTAGTATATTGGGAATGGCCTCCCTCTTCTCACACTAGCACCTTTTCCCCACTTTCCAGCCCATTTCCAAATGAGAAGGGCTGAAGTCAATCAGGAATTAAGATTTAGCATTTGTGGGATTATCTTTGAATGCGACACTGGGGGGGACACAGTTTCACTCACTCTCCATGGTGGCAGTCCAAATTGCTCTTTCGGGACCCTGGCTGTGTCTAAAGCCTCAGAATGATCCAGAAGGCTCCTATAACAGTGCCACTGTGGAAGAAACCACTTCTAATATGGCAGGAAGGTGTGGCCCTGCTTGGAGCCCATGTTTTCTAACTATTTCACATTTCTTTCTTTCATCCCTGGTGTTATTTTTTGAAATTAATTTTTATTTTCAGTTCTCCTAGGAATTAATGAGTTAACTTAATAAAAGTAAAAGTCTTCATAAAGAAGGTAAAGGCTGGCTTTCCACATAGAGAACAAACATAACAACCCACATCCTCTGCAGAGCTCCTGGTCAATGCATTCTTCTAGTGGGGCTGCCACACCCCTGGGGCCTCAGGCAAGCAAGCCCCTTGTGGATGACAGGGGCTGGGCTCAAAGCAGTCTCTGGGGCTGTGCCTCCTTCCTGTTCTCCACTCTTTTCTCTAAAGGAAATGCACTGCAATGAATTGCACAATACAGACATTCCTAAATTCTGGAAAACCAGCAGGCTTTGAACTCTCCTGGGGGAAAAAACCCATAAAACACAAAACTGCAAGGAATGAGACTATTTGGCCAAATGGCCAATATGCTACAACTTTCATAGGGAACTCACCGCACTTGGTATTGCCTGATGGAAAAAAATGCCCTGAATTTCCCAATAAAATATTTGAGATGTGGCAAAGGAATAAATATTTTTTCCCTAAGATAAATCTAGCTGTAGATGAAAACTGGGTCTCATGCCTCGGACAAAATATTATTTCCTTATTTACTCTAAGTCTATATCAGAATATAGCCTACACAGCATCAGGTACTAAGCCAAAAAAGGCTCCAAGGGCACCATTGTTCATCCATGACTTTGACTGTGTCACCCCCCAGAAACCTTGAGTTGGGCAGATGTAATCACAGCAGCCTTTGGTGGTTTCTTGAGCAGCTGCTAAGGATCACATGGATTCTGCTCACACCCAGTGCTTCTCATAATTTAAAAATGCTTGAAGCTGTGGGAGGCTGCCCAGCCCTCTGCATTATTCAAAAGAAAACCAGGAGGCAGCGACAATTCTTGATTCTTGCAGATAAACATTCTCCAACAATTATTAAGAGTTGGATTGCTCTACCTTCATTTAATTCCTTGGTGCTTTACTATTTGAATCTAGAATATTCTTGAAGTCTGAAAGATGGATAGAAAAGAGGTAAGTCATGTAAACTTATAAACAGGGCACGAACCCCGCTAACAGACAGCTTTGAAGAGATGATGATTTTAGATCTTGTGAATTGTTATGTCAGAGGAATACATGCAGAAGAAAACAGGCACCGAAATAGTTATTACCAGAGCAAAGTAAATCTGAACACCTAAAAGAATAAGAAAATATCTTATGCTTCTCTCTACTCTGAACTGCCTTGAAAAGAGCAAGAATTTCATACATGAGCCTGTAGCACATTACAAAATCTGAGTATGTATTTGAAATTCAAATGCACACAAAGTTCATGCATTTTATTTTCCAGTTGTTCTCAAGACTCCTAAATAAAGCATTTCCCCTGTGTGGGCGACCCCTGGGTCCCATGTGGGGTCAGTGTTTGGGTCTCTCTGAGAGGATCAGGAAGGCTGCTCTTCCAGGAAGGGCTGCAGGGACCCTGGGAACCGGACCAGTCCAGCTCACAAGTATGAAGAGAATGTCGGGAGAGGAAGTGGTGGCTATGAGTCAGCATGAGTCATCTCGTTCCAATGAGAATGAAGGCTGAGGTGTGCGCCTTTTTTTTTTTTTCCTTCTTAGTCGTGTGTACATCATTGGGAATGGAGGGAAATAAATGACTGGATGGTCGCTGCTTTTTAAGTTTCAAATTGACATTCCAGACAAGCGGTGCCTGAGCCCGTGCCTGTCTTCAGATCTTCACAGCACAGTTCCTGGGAAGGTGGAGCCACCAGCCTCTCCTTGGTGAGTATGTTTCTGTCATTTTTAGGGTTGCTTCTGCAGTTTGCCTTGGAGTCTGGGCTGTGGGAAAGGCTGCTGCGTCCTGGTGAGGACACTGCGTTTCTTTCAGACTTTGAAGATCTGTCGTTTTAGAAAAGTGGCTGCCTCTGTCACCAGCCCCATGGTTACTGTCCTTTAGTGTGACTGTCAGGAGGTGTTTCTCAGTCCTTCGTTGTAAGAATGTAGATGCCGGTTGCACCTTCTGTTGTCTTGGAAGAGACTGCAGTGCTTGGCTGGAAAATAAGCTGCTCGGGACTCCTCTGAGAAGCCAAAGTGAAGCTCAGAGATGGAAGTGGGTATACTTGTGCTAACCCAGGGTTGCTGAGGTTGGGTGAGCTTCCGCTTCTCCGAGGTGGAGGAGAGGCAGCTCCTGAGCCATTTCTGGCCTCGTGGTCAGAGCTGCCCAATTTCAGTGTGAGAAATACCAGAGAGGCAGAACTTTGGCTGCCTTCTCTAAAAGCATATGAATGATTGCAGGAGCGTATTTTACGTCCTTTCCTTTTCCTTAACGTTGAAAGTCACAAACTGTAGTAAAATCAGGAAGAACGTAAAAATGCTGGGGGCCAGCGCTGGGGGTGGGGGACTGGGGAGGACTGAGGAGGGGGCCACTCAGTCTTTGAGGCCTGACTTGATCTTGATAGGTATTTCTCAGGCTGTTAGTATTCCGATGAAGCTTAGCTTTACTGTCAAGTAAAATACAGGAAACATTTTTTTTTAATGTTGTTCTAGTTACTGTAAATGAAACGGTTAAAATGTCATAAATACCTTATGATAAACATTTTTCAAATTTGCTTAAAAAGCAACACATCAGTAGGCAGGGTATGACAGGGAGCTTTTTCAGTACAGTCATTTGAGTGTGTGGGCTTCCTGAGTTAATAATGAGTCAGCACCCAATTCTAAAATTGGAGCAGCTAAGAGAATGTTCAATCTGCTCCTCAGCACAGCACGGTGGCTGGCCGGCCCCCCGTAGGAAGGCTTGGGGTTAAAATCGACTTAGGATGCCGCCCTTATGTAAGTGACCAGCTCCCAGCTTGGGTCCCAGCTCCTCTGGGCTACTGCTGAGAGACCCCCTCTGCTAAGGGATCTGTCTCTGAGGCAGGAGCTAACACATTTGGCTTCCAACCTTTGGCTAATGTTGACGATTTTTAGGTTGTCTTGAGGCAACAGGTTGAACATAGTTTCTGAAATGAAAAATCTAGTGTTTATTAAGGCTAGGGCAGCTGAGGGCTGAGCCTGCATCTGGAGCCTTGAGATGTTCCGCTTGCACGTCACCCTCGCCGAGGGATTGGGCGGGAGAGTCGGTCACCGAGTGAACTTCAAAGTTGGCGCTCTGCATGTGACGTGTAGCGTGGGAAGATTAAGTCAGCTTAAAATGAGAGAACAAGATTCCAAGGAAGAAAACCTCCCCAGAACCTTACTCGTTTATAGATAAAAGAAGATAAATATTGAGAAAATTAAAAAAATAAAACGAAATAGTTGGGCTGCAAACCAGCAGCTCTGGGACCAGATGCAGCCCTGGTGAAGGCATCCCCCACCAGGTTCTGTTTGGCCTGCTCAGGATTGTTTTTTTGTGTTGAGATAACTGTGGGTGGGGTCCACACTCTCCGGATCTCAGGCCCTGCCACACCCTAATGCCACAAAGCTTGGAGAGTGCGATTACAGCGAGGCTCAGAAGCCAGGCTGAGGGCCTGCCAGCCTCGTGGGGCTGCTGTGTGGTCCCCATGGGTTAGCATCTGCCCGGCCGCCGGAACAGGGCCTGGATGGAGAAGGAACTCCATCAGCACTAACTCTGCTAGACTCTCTTATTAATCTGCCCTCTGAAGGCATTTGGGCTTGTGGCCCTTGAGTTAGTTCCATGGCTTTTTCAAGAAAGATCCTGCAGTTCCAATGTGAGCAGCAGTTGTTTCCAAGGCTAACAATTTCACGCCAACTAGAAGCCTCCACAAGTCAGGTGCCAGGCATTTCTAAGCCAGTAGAGCAGCTCCGCTTGTTTCTCTGGGTGAGTCCTCTCAGGGTGAGACCCTGTCTCCTTGTAAGCACTCGGAGACGTGCCACCTTCATGGAGACGGGAGCCAATCAAAGGCAAACTGCGTTAGACAGCTCTTCCATGCGGTATGGACACCAACATTCGATCATCCTTGTTTCAGAGAAGGTGCCGGGCCCCAGACATGTGCTTATCACTGGGTCCCATGGCCTTCAATCCTTTAAAGGGTTTTAAGGTGGCTGATTTTTATCCCAGACATTGATCATGTTTTTTTTCATGCAGAATTTGGGCAGTTGTCTGGACATTAGGAGTTGAGTCACCTCCTACCCATGAGGAACAAGCCTGTGGGGGGACTGATATTATCACTTCTGTCATCAAGAAATAAGGCCGCAGGCATCCCTGAATATAGAGCATTTATTAATCGAACTGTGAAAATGAAACACAGACAGTGATGACAGCTGGAAGTTGGCCAATGTCCTGTTGTCATATTGCCCTCAGCCTAGGGACTGGCCTGTGGCTCACTGACCCTGTCTCCCACTCTCCACCTCTCATCAGCAACTGGACCTGGTGCACCTGGTCTACCTCATGTCCAGTGTTTTCCGCAGTACCTGACTGGTATCCCCACCCTTGGTTGTTGTGTGGTGAGCTCGTCCCTATGTTGGCAAGTTACTTAATTCCTAGGTGTCCCGCCTTCCTCACTGTAAAATGAGAAAAGTCATAGCACGAATGTCATGAGTCCTTGTGAAGATTTTATGATTAGCACACAAGTTACAAGGAGACACGATAACTGTTACGTACGTACTCATTCGTTCGGAAATATAACAGACAGCTTAGTATCTCCACCCGGGTCCCTCTGCCCTGTGGGAATCCATAAAGAATTGATTCTCATCCCCCAGAAGTGAGATCCCGCTTGTGTCATCAATTACATGGCATGTTCTGCATTTACAGGACATTTATTTATTAGGTAAGTGGGGAATCCTCCTTGGTTCTCTCCAGGAAAACCTGGAGTTCTAGTTATCATCATCATCATCATCATCATCACTGTCATCATCATTGACATCATCACAATAAGAACTCCCATTGTATTCAGCCCTAACCGTATGGTAGCAACTTTATGGTATTCCCTTTAACCTCCCCCCACCCCAATATCCATCCTGGAAGATGGGAAGGATGATAGGTTTGTTGACTCACTCAAGGCGGTGGGACTCTCCAGCAGGTATCAGGCACAGCATCTGCTTCAAAGAACACATCGGCGACAGGGGAGCCCCTTGCACTCACTCAGGACAGGAGAATCAGGAAAAGCAGCAGATCTGCAGGGCTTTGTGTGTAATCCAACCAGACTGATGCCACAGGCCAGGAAACCGAGGACGGTTGGCTTCAGACCTACCCTGGAGTGGAAGCAGCTGGATTCTGTCCTCACGCTTCCTGTCTAAAGCCAGCTAGAGTAAATTTCTAGTCATCTAGATTCTGGTTATTTGGAAATCATCACAGTATCTGGAGATGACTCATATTGAAAAAAATTAAATAAGATACACTTAAAACTTAACCCAGGGTGAACATAACATGGCCTTTCCTTGTCAATTCTGAAGAAGATCATTCAAGTTTGTGCAGTGCCTTAGAAGCCAGATGCTCTCTTCCATTCTGCCAGGGTCCTAAAGAAGTACTACTGTGTCCTTTAGATCACTCTGCCTTGATCACTCTGTCCCGTCACTCTGCTATTTCACCTGTCAGTGAAATACCTGGTATCGTCCTGCCAACATGAAGCATTGAATGCTTTATACGTCTCCATCCTGATTGTTTAGGCTTTGAATGCTGAGAAGTATCTGCACTTTGTTGGTCAATTGTAGATGGTGCTAATTTGTGGGGAGTTTTTCCTGCAAATTCCCCCTGTGCCATAATCCAGAGGACCTCCCTCTGCCCCCAGTGCTGTAGGCTAGGCAGCTATGGGCCTGGCTCAGGGCTGTCGGGCAAGGATTGGACTCTCTATAGGTTCCGTTTGGTTCTGGTTAGATCACAGAGCTCAGGCAAGGAAAAGCCGACAATAGATCAGAAGGAAGTTGAGCGCTCAGGAAGGAGGAGTGGGCAGGATGCTTGGTGGTGTCAGAGGATTCCTTCGGATTAAAAAAAATAGATGTTATTGCACTTTGTGTAATCAGAAAAGCTAAGGTTGACAGCAGATCTTATCCACTGTGGTTTTCCTGCTTATCTTTTGTTTTAGGAGTGATAACCCTGCGAGTGAGGGCTTCTGCTACAGGGTCTTGTAGCTCTTCTCTTCATCCTGCCCTTTAAAACATTTATTGGACTAAAAATCACAGGATTTTTAATGATGACAGAAAATGTATTATTTTAGCTGTTCTCACTGGACAAATCACTTACGGAGTGTTGATTAATACATTGATAAGTTTCTATCAATTCAGCTAGATACAAGGGAAAATGTATAAAATAGCAAGGGCTCCGAAAAGAGTCAGGCTTAATTTCTCTTGCACAGAAAAAGGATTCTATTGCTCTTTCTGTTCCGTCCTCAAACAGGAAGCAGGTTTTCTGGGACAAGGGTCAACAGGCAGCCAGTTCATCCATCTGCCTACTCAGCCATCCTTAGCACTGGCTTCCTTCCTCCAAGTTATCTTATGCTTCAAGAAGGCTGCTGGAGCTCCTGCCATCACTTCTGCATTCCAGACAGAAGAGAGGAAGGAAGTGGAGGGCAAAAGGCAAAGCCTCCTAGATGTCAGACTCCTCTGCAGGCCTTTCCTTGAATTCCCAGCTAACCCTTTCAGCCTAGTCTTTCACTGGCCACCCTATCTGTAAAGGAGCTGGAGGAGGAAGATGGAGGAGTGAGGCAAGGCCCTGAGATGATGCAGAGCAAGGGGCACACAAGAGGGGACTCAGGTCCAAGGTGAAATAGCAGCAAGCACTCTCCCTCCAAAACCCACCGCCTCCTTATGAATCCCTTTGGCCTTGATTATGCCAGTAGATAATAGGTATGTGACAGTTTTAGCTTCTCTGGCCTTTGATCAGGTTGATTTATGTGAATAGACTCCATGTCCTTGGAGATGAACCTGTTCTAAAAATTCTAAGCAACCAGCCATTTGGCTCTTTGCTGGAAAGTAGCCTGGCTTTTGAAGCCAAGTCTGGACAGTTTCCTTGCTGCACCTCAGGACTCAAAGGACATGGTCCTGACTCAGGAAGAGCTGGCTTTGAGGGAAGGGGTGAGTCATGAACCCAAGCACAGCAGAGATTCTTGGTGTGTGCTGCAGAAGGTGAGAGTAGCCCCCATCTCCCTGTGCCAGTCTTCTGGGGGAAATTTATGATGGCCTTACATAATTGGGCTTATATGTGTTTCACTAGAAAGACAAAAAAAGGTGAGACCTTGTCTGCCAATTCGCTACCACCTCCTTGGGGTCTAAGAGCTAGGCTGTTTGTTCAAAGCTAGGCTCCTTTGTGTATTAACAGTGTGACCCCGGGCATCATCCTTAACCCCTCTTTGTCCCAATTCCACATCTGAATGATGGGGATGATAATGGTAGACTCTGCCACATATGGTTCTGAGGACTAAGTGAGGCCACATGTGCAAAGGATCCGGAACAGTGCCTGGCCCCAAGTCAGCCCTCAGGCAACAGAACAGTGTTTGGATTGTCCTTGTTGCTTTATTGGATACGTGATAAGTACTGGTGAAATGCATGAATGAAAAGAAATCCCACTTGATTTTAATACAAGAATCAAGCAAGTGACTTCTGTCCCTTTGAATACCCTCCTCCAAGTGGTCCAAAGTCCTTGAAGCTACCATCTCCTTGGTACCCTTCCTGATGCTTCTGGTGTGGGCAATGTGGTTACTTCATCAAGTAGACCCTGGTTACAGAGAAGTTAAATGATTTGTCCCCAGGCCCACTCACAGGAGAGAGTACTATACAATATCAAGCTGGTTGTCTTCAGCACTCTGTTGTAGAGACTTCCAGTATGCATTCTCTTCTGCTTCCTCTGTTGTCAACCACAAGTCCATGTTGTTAGGGACAACAGTGTGCCCAGTTAAAAAACGATATTTCCTAGTCTCCTTTACAGATACGGTGGCCAATGAAAGATATAGGCTGAAAGGTTAGCTAGGGATTCTAGAAAAGCTCTCTAAAGGAGACTGACATGTAATAGGCTTAGCATTTTGCACCTGAATTCTCTCCTTCCCCCTGTCTGGAATGCAGACGTGATGGCTGGAGCTCCAGCAGCCTCCATGAAGCCATAAGACAATGTGGAGGAAAGAAACCAGTGCTAAGGATGGCAGAGCAGGCAGATGGTCACAGGTCTTTGGGTGACCAGCTATTTTGCCTGCCTGGAGATTTGACTATTTTTGGAGCCGGATGCAGAGGGAGGTGGGAAAAATATTCCAGCTGAAATTCAACCTGTAGGAGTATTTTTCAGGGTGTCAGGGTCACTTCTTTGTGGAGCTGCCTTTCAGGTCTCTGGTATAGGGGGCAAGGGTCATGGCCTCATGGTGATGCCCAGGGACCCCAGGTGCTTTGGTCTTTGCAGACCACTTTCTTATGAAAAAGCAGAGTGTGACTGCTCTGGCAGAAAGATAAATGTCATTCAGGCTGATTCATTATTATACATTCATTATCATTTATTTGTGGTTTTCCTCTGATTTTAAAATAAATCAAAATTAAAACACTTTTGCAGGCCCCTAACAGTATCATGGGCCCCATGCACTGTGCCCAGCATGCCCAATGGACATGTAGGCCCCAAGAGGGCAGAGAGCAATCACAGAAGGACTTGCCCTGGCCAACATAGGCTGGTCTCTCTAGGGGCAGCTTCGGAATTGTGAATTACCCAGAGCTGCGTGCCAGGAAATGTGGACCTAACTCTTGCCTCTGAGGAAGGCAGGCAGGCTTGGTTTCATGTACTGTTGATGAGCCCGACATCCTCAATGCTCACTCGAGCTTTGGAAATGACAAGCAGGATTTTCAGAACAGGATTCTCTGTCCTGTCCCTGTTTTAATTTCAGCCTCCTTATTCCCCATGTAATAATTCCCCATACTGGCTCAATTATTTGTTTAACGGGTATGAATTCCAGTCTATAATGCCAAGGTATCAAAATGTGACGTACCTTTACTCTAGAAATCTCTAAATTATATTAAATCTGCTCCAAGATCGCCCTGCCCTACCTCACCCTCTCTGCCTGGTTATTGGGAGATTCAAATTCTGTCATTATTGGGGATCCTTTCTTGTCATAATGCTCCAGATGTCATCAAACAAACTTGGGCTTAGGTGATGCCAGGAAACCTGGGGGGGAGCATCCATTGTCTGCGGTGGCTGCTACCATTGCAACTTCGACACCTGCAGTCTCAGTGTGTGGGGGGCTCTGGGAGCTGCTCAGGGCCTGCTCCAGTTGGGGTGGACCCCACACCTCTCGTGATCTGTCCTCTAACTGTAGGCTCCGCTGCTGGAAATGTGTCGCTGCTCTCATGGCCACTGTGTGAGCTCCCAGTCTCAGCAAATGCACCCAGCAATGTCTGATTGATAGGGCACCCTCTGTGGGCTTTGTCCTGCTTGCTGCTAGCTGCTGCTGGGCCTCTCCCAGCCTGGGCCTCCTGTCTCAGTCTGAAGGCCAAGAGACAGCAGCGACAGCAGAGGAGGCAGAAACAGAAAACTCTCCGAGGACCCGGGGAAGTCACAAGGTGGCTTCCCAAACTCTCTAGTGCAGCACTGTCTGATAGAACCTTCTGCAAGGATGGAAAAGTTCTGTATCTGTGCTGGTCAAAGCAGCGGCCACAAGTCACATGTGGCTCCTAAGCAACTGAAATGTGGCTACTGTGACTAGGAACTGGATTGAAAGTTTTATCTAATTTCAGTTAATTTTAATTTAAATGCCCACAACTGCATGTGGCTACCAGGTTGGACAGCATACATGTGGAACACAGACTCCTGATCTGGGAGCCTTGAAAGATGAGCCGTCACTCTGATGAGGTGGAGGGCCTGAATTGAGCCCTGCGGTGGCACTCGGCAGGTCTTCAGAGGGGCTGGTGACCCCTCCAAGGTGCACAGCCCCTGGGCTACGAGCAGTGGCTAGTCAGGTTGGGGTCCCTGGCCTCTGCCACGAGTGGCCACTAGTGGAAGCCTCAATGTCTCCACTTCCAGTGGGCTCTCAGGCCTCACATGCCCATGCCAGGGTAGGGGGCCTGTCGAGGAGGATGCCCTGGCACCCAGAGCTTCTCTGCTGTTTGTCCTGAGGGTTCCCTTGGGCTGGGGGCCTCAGGTGCAGGGCACATGCAGCCGGACTGTCCAGCCTTGTGGTATTTGCACATGAACTTTCCTGCGTGGGGATAGACAGCCTTATTCTTGTTTGTGTAAAGCCATTCCAGGAACTATTAATAGTTAGACTGGCATAAATAAGCCTCAGGTTTGGTTCTTGTTAGTGTCCTACAAATCCCTCAAACTTTACTCTTTTGGCTTTTTAAGGGAGAAGATTTACAGTATGTTCAGGCACAATTGACAAGAAACATACAAGTTGTGCGGAGATGAGCAGACCCAGGGCCCCAGGCCTGAGCCTCTTTTCTCTCCCATGCCCTGCCTGCTCAAGTTACCTTGAGCACAAATGATGTCCTTCTGTGTGTGGGATCACAGACTGAGACATGGGGCTGTTCCTCCCCTGAAGTCACCCCTCAAGTTCCCCACATGATTTTACTCCTGGCTACTCCCCAGTTTGCTGTAGTTTGCTGGACCATGTGACCTTGGAGGGGCTCACAAGGCCCAGTGATGAAGCCACCGCCAGGGCTGAGCCTCAGCTCAGCCAGCTACTTAATGCATGCATAGCAAGTTACTTAACACCTACTGACCTCAGTTTCCTCACCCGTAAACTAGAAATAGAGGAACAATTACCACAGAGAGTTGTTCTGAGGATGCAAAGAGTTCTTGCATGAAAAATTCTTAGGAAAGTGCTGCACATAGTAGGTATTCAATAGCATTAGCTATTTAGATTGGAATTAGTGGCTTTTTGCCATTTACTCCTGACTGTAGGAGCTGTTCTCTGGGCCCCAGATCTCCATTCCAGCAATGATCTCTCTCCTCCAACTCTGGCATTGGAGGAGTACCACAATCCTGCCTCCACATTTCATTTGCTGACACCCAGGGGCAGCATTAGGTGTAGAGTGCTGGACATCTAAGGGAAGAGGTTCAATTGTCCATCTGTTTAGTTATTTACTCATTATTCAATGAATGTTAATTGAGACCAGTCAGGGCAGCTGAGAAGCAGTGCGGTTGTGAGGAGGGCTGTTAGTAGGGGAGATGCAGGTGCTGGTGTGCTTCCGTGTATGAATATGGCAGCTAGTGCAGGGTCATGAAGAGGGAATCAGGGACACTCTGGGGATGTTAAAAACTCTGTTGATGTGGAATCAGAATCCCTGGGCCAGTCCTGCCTTCCTCTTGCTAGCTGTGTGGCCATGATCGAGGGTCCTCTTTGATCCTCCCTGATACATGGGCGAGGTGACCCACAGTGGCAGATGCTTAACCATCCAACATGGAGTCATCATCATTACTTAGACACCCTTCATTTGGAATCACGATTCTCAGTGTGAAGGGCACTTCCCACCATAGAAGCCCCTCTCTGTGAGCCCTCAGAGGGCTGTCTAATCCATAAGCCCTTTCCCTCCCAAAGAGGCAGCCCAGCGCATCACTGCAAAGCGCCAGCTGAGAAGACGTTCTATAAATTATCCAAAGCCTATTCTCTGGCACATCCATATTTTGGACCTAGCTCTGCCCCCGAAGTCATATAAGCATAGCCACGATGGGAAGGATGGTCATAACTCAACATGCCCATTCATATACCTTGAGCACATATCCTGTCCCAGAGACTGCTGAATTATTGCATGAGCCCCAGCTCCTTCCACACCAAAGCCCTTCCGACTGCATGGACCTCACCACTTCTGTTCAAGCTCTTCCTTCTTCTCATGGTTCCTGGAAAGATTCTTTATGTGCTGAGGTGTTCAGCTACCCTTGATCTTGTGCTGCCTTCCACAGCATCTACTTGGCAACTTTCCAATGTCCCACTTCAGGTGGGCACAGTGACCTCCTTTGTCTGGTTTTTGGCAACCATACCTATCTGTTGGACCTGGGCACTGCACTGACAGCCAGCTGACCTCCCTGCCTCTCTGTGTGGGAACGTGCTGCAAAGCCACATCTCTCTAATTCTGTGTGTGTGTGTATATATATATCTTTTAGAGACAAGATCTCACTCTGTCACTCAGGCTGGAGTACAGTGAAGCAATCATAGCTCACTGCAGCCTTGAACTTCTGAACTCAAGTGACCCTTGACCTCAGCCTCCTGAAGAGCTGGGACTACAGGCATGTGGCACCATGCCTGGCTAATTTTAAAATCTTTTTTTTGGTAGAGACGAGCGTCTCACTGTGTTGTCCAGGCTGGTCTCAAACTCCTGTCCTCCAGTGATCCTCCCACCTCTGCCTCTCAAAGTGCTGGGATCATTCTGAATATGAGGTGGTGACTTTTTTAAAAAAAACTTTTTTTTTTAACCTAAGTAGAACTTTGCATTATCGTTGGTGTTGTCTTTTAGATTTAGCCCATGTATTCTCTAATATAAAACATGAAGCTTCATGTCATCTATAACTTGGAGTGGTATCCCCTTTACATCTTCACCAGAAGACCACTTGGATCAGTGAAGACCAAGAGCAGAGACCTGTGACATCCACTAGCGATTGTCTTCACTGTTGCCACTATCCCAGTGCTCTCGGGCACTGCATTGAACACAAATAGCTCCCCTTGCTGCACAAGTTTCACTGATGGGGGTAAAGGGGGTTATGAAACGTATCATATGATCAAATATGTGATAGTGATCCCACAGACAAATGGAGCGTGTGGGGATGATTTAGACACTCAGCCAGCCTTGTCTTGATGGATACCCATCCTTCTCTGCTGTTCTCTCTTTCCTCCATCCTCAAGCACAGGGAGCTTTTGGCGAGGTTAGCTAACTTCGGGGCAGCTGTGAATTAGATACTGGCTGTAAGTTACCTCCAACATCCAGAGCATTTAAACGCTCGGCTGTCAATGATTGTCATTTTCATTGTTTACATATAGTCACATCCTCAGTTTGTGGGGTGGATGCATTTGATTCAATTCAGATATGCCTTTCAAGCTGGCCCTGCTGAGCTGGGCCTGAAAGGCACATGGCTCATCTCATCTGCATGTGACAGTCTCTTTGAAGTCCCCAGAAGTGCCTGCTCAGAGTCATGCTCGGGAGGGAAGAGGTAAGGCACAGAATGAGTACAGACTGCCACCCAGCCGCAGGAAAGGTGACTGCACACCAGAGGTTCCTGGTAAGGAGGTGACTCACCCGCGACTGTCTCACCTGTCCAAAGTGTGTGTCACCTGCTCTGTGTTCACCCACTGGGTTCATCAGAGGGGCACTTGAACAAAACAGGAATGTCACTGGAGAGGGGAACAAATGCTGTCCCCAAGTCCTTCCCTGCCGTTTAGAGTAACGCAGCCCCTGTCCGCACATCCTCACCCCCATCTGCCCTCTGCTTGCCAGAATTATCAGAATCTCTCAATTCTAATTTCAGCCATTCTCTGTGAAAATGAAAAGTTAGTGGCAGGCAATGGACACCCTATTGAAATAGAAATTGTTCTTCATATGTCAGAAAAGTCCCAGAGTAATCTGGGAGTAATCTGAGCAAACTGATTCAAAGGATTATTACAATTTCTTAGTCTTCTACTGCTGCAAAAGTGGCACTCTTTGATTCTCATGTTTGAGGTTCTAATTACTACCTCATGCAGGACTTACAAGAGATCAGCCATGCTGCTTACATTGTGTGTAGTGAATCAATGTTATTCTGAAGGGCCTCCTGGAAGCAGTAGGGATTGGAGAATGTATGTCTTTTAACATGATCATTCCCATCCTATGGGGGTTGGGCACTCTTAACTCATGTTGCAGATGAGTAAACTGAGGCTTTTGAGAGTTTGAGGGTGCACAGCTTGAGGCAGAGGTGGAATTCCCAGCTTCATCCAAGAAATCACGAATCTCCAATGGCTTGCACACATCCAGGTTTGCTGGATCCTATTTGTCAAGACCACATGCAGATTAGGAGCCTTCAAACAAATTATTTCCAAGGGAGGGCATCTTTCTCTGTAACCCCTACCCTGGCAATTCTCCATGGCCTCAGGGAGTCCAGCCGGAAGCTCTGCAATGAGTCCTGGGGAACTCTCATCTGGAAAAAGGCGCTCATGACAGGTGGTGCCAACCTTCCACGGATGCTTTTCAGCATCTCTTGGGATGAGGATACAGAATTTCTCTTTCACCCTGTAAATGTGGTAAATGAGGGAATAGAATTTCCAGCTTTAATTTTTCTGAATAGGATTCAAAAATGAAATTGTATAAAAAGGTATCCAGTGAAAAACACACACCCATCCCCATCTCCCATCCAGTTCCCTCCGTAACCCTTTTCTTAGTTTCTTATATGTCCTTTCAGAGTTTCTTTATGCAAATACAGTATAAGCAAAAAAGAATGGGCCTTTTTCTTTTCTTCCTTATTTTCCACAAAATCTATCAAAATGGGTTTTTTTTGTTTTGTTTTGTTTGAGACAGGGTCTCACTCTGTTGCCCAGGCTGGAGTGCAGTGGCACGATCACGGTTCACTGCAGCCTCGACCTCCCCAGGCTCAGGTGATCCTCCCATCTCAGCCTTCTGAGTTGCTGGGACTACAAGCATGCATCACCAGGCCTGGCTAATTTTTCTATTTTTTGTAGGGACAGGGTTTTGCTGTGTTGCCCAGGCTGGTCTCAATTTCCTGGACACAAGCAATCTGCCTGCCTCAGCCTCATAATGTTTTTTTTTAATGTTAAACCCCTTCTTGTGTTGAGAGGCCTGGCTTGTGTGTTTGAGCGCAGCTGCCTACCTTTGCAGCTGTAAATGTCAGGGCTCCAGGAGGGCTGGCTGGGTCTCCCCTCCTCCCCTGTTGGGTGGGTGGGGCCCTGAGCTTATCCAGGCATCCCTAGGTGGATGGATGGGTGGATGGGTAGGCCCTGGCCTTCAGGGAATGCACTGTGTGTGGTCTTCCAGCCCCAGCAAAGTCTCAGGGGGCCCGAGCGGGAAGTCGCCATCCTCAGGGGGTCCGAGTGGGGAGTCACCATCCTCACGGTCAGCCGTGGTTTCGAATTGAGCTCCCAGGGGCGGAGACTCCATTCCCCCGGGGAACAATCTGATAGCCAGAAATGAGAGCAGTGAGTGACTTGGACGCTGTGTGATTCAGGAGGGTCCCAGTCCCTCAGAGTCGCCTGGACACCAGATTGTATTTACAAAACAGATGGATGAGGAAATGGAGATTGGGTCTTCAAAAGAATTAACCTCAGATTTTATTTATTTATTTTAAAAATTTTAATTTTTCCCAAGGACCCTTTCCAAGTCAAGAATTGTTTTAAAAAGAAGCCTGGTGAAGGCAAATGCTGTCTGTGGCCGAAGGCACCGTGAGGAGCTGAGGCTGACTTATGTTTCTCCTCTGGGCTATGTGCGCCTCTAAGGAGTTCACACACTTTAACCCCCTTAGGAACCCTACATGATCATCCTCGTTTCTTAAAGAGGAAGCAGAGCCAGCAAACAAGTGGGGGAGCCACAGTTCCAGCCCAGGTGTCACTGGGCCCTGCCTGCCCCAGCCAGCTCCTCAGGAGCACACGGCACCCCACGTGCGTGCAGGGGACAGCTGTCCTCACAGGAACAGCCCCGGGACCTACAGGACTTCCTGGGGTTTACCCTCAGAGCACCCATGAGGTTAGAATCACAAAGCCCGGGAGTCAGGAGACACAGGGCAGCTGGAGGGAGGTCTTTACTGAGGCTACTGAGGCACAGCAGCCCCGTCTAGAGGCCTCCCCGAGAGGCACTTCCTGAGGAGTCTGGTGGATTTTGAGCTGCTTTTTAAACAACCTTCTCCTTAGCATAGACACTGACACTGAAGGGAAAGAAAGCAAATGGTCTGTTCTTAGTGGGAAGGCAACTTGCTTTCAGGGGAACGAGTTTGGGGGAAGAGGACTGGTAGAAGACACGACTAAGAAAGTGAGTAGGAGTCCAGACGTGTGTGATTCATCCTTTAGGGCCTCTGTGTGTGATGGGTTGACTTGTGTGTCCCAAAATTCACATGTGGACGTCCTCGCCCCTGGCAGCTCAGACGTGACCTTATTTGGAAATAGTGCCATTGCCGATGTAATTAGTTCAAATGAGGTCATGCTGGAGTCGGGTGGGCCCCTGATCCCATATCACTGGTGTCCTTATAAGAAGGGGAAATTTCAAGACAGACACACACTCAGGGAGTACACCATGTGAAGACTGGACTTAAACAGCTACACCACCAGAAGCCGAGAGAGAGGCTGGAACATAGCCTTCCCTTTGGAGGTAGCCTGGCCCGGTGGGCACTGTGATCTCAGACTTCCAGCCTTCAGAACTGTGAGACAATATTTTATTGTTTAAGCCACTTATTTTTTGGTACTTTCTTACGGCAGCCCTAGCAGATGCTAATCCAGCGTGCGTCCTGACAGAGGTTGAAGGGGGCTTCTCAAGTCCCAGGTCCAGCTTGGTGTGGTTCAGCTACTCAAGAGACATCTGCTGCTAATGGATGAGCAGTCAACCTGGACGCAGGAAATCATTTTTTATTTGGGTGAATACAATATTCTCCTTTTGTTTTCACTTTTCCTAAAAGTTAAATCAAGGTTCAAAAGAAAATCGAGGTTCAAAAGAAAAATTTGGTCTTTACATGTGCTAAAAAGAAAAAAACAAAAAGACTCATTTCATCTTTATATGGGATGGGATCCGTGCTCTGGTGGGCTACAGAGTGTGTCTCTGTGTGGGTCCCTGTACTCCGTGCGAGGTTGGCGGCCGAGCCACGGTTCCCATGTGAGCAGGACAGCACAGTCTCACCTCACACAGAGAACCTCGCCCGAACATGGAACTTTCACCCACGTTGCCATTTTCCCGCTCCCTTTCCCTCCTTTGAGGTTCACACTCGTCTCTCCAAATTAAAATTTACAAAGAGAGGAGATGGAGGCTCCCAAGTGGCCACAAAGTCACATTTTATGTGAGACCTTTTTGCCTCATTTGCTAGTTATTGAACAAAGGTGACTCTGAACCTAGCAGAAGCACGGGTTCAACACACAGTTCAGAAAAACAGGAACCATCAATTCATAAGAACTTAAAGAAAAAAATAGTTTAAAGAACTGAGAAGTTGCCACATTATAGTGAAAGAATGTTGGGTTTTGGAAATGACAAAAACGAGCAATCTTCACCTTGAAAATCCGGTGGAGTCAGTTACACAAGACATAACCGCACACAAACATGGCATTTCTGATAGTATAATGGCATTTACAGTCAAGAAGCTTCTTTCAGAGTATTTCATGGAAAGTTATTTTAGTAGCAAGGGTAGCCTTAAGCAGTGAGTATTCGTCAAGAGAGTGAAACCTTGACTTCAAAGTCAAGAGGCGGAGGAGTGAGGACTCAGATCTGGAGGCGACCTGCAGGGCGGGTGCCCACGCACAGGTGTCCCAGCTGTGGACATCCCACGTGCACAGGAGTGGGCCAAAGAGAGGCCCATGGATCCCTGCCCACCTCAGAAATGTGAGCAGGCAGCTGGGGGGCATTTGGACTCTAGCCGGGACAACCTAGTGGCCGGGCAGGGGATGCAGGCACCACAGGTCACAGTGGTTTGCTACGAGCGTCAGCTTTTAAAATTTTAAATAATCCTCTTATTGTAAAATTGAGGACATTATTTGAAGCAACGCAAAAACCATGTAAAAAAATGTCTGTAGGATGTGAATAGCATGTTTCTTTAAGGCAATATCTGAAGAAAATATAAAAGCCCCAGGTGAAAGACACCCTGGGAGCAGAGGTGCCCCTGAGGGTCGGCTGCCCCAGGACAGAGGAGGGCTCTGCTGGTGCCCAGGTGGCACTGCCTGTCTTGATGCCAGGTGCAGGGGTTTAGAAGAAAAGACAAGGAAGAAAATAAAACTCACCACCGACATTCCTACCACTAGAGTTACCCACTGTTCCCAGTCAGGCATATTTCCTCCCAATCCTGTCCTCTCTGTGTATTTGGTAATTGCGTAAATCATCTCTCCCATAATTAATCTCCTTTAAAATTTGGAATAATATAGTTGTTAGAATAATATAATAATCATGCAGAATAATTTAGAATAATGTTGTTTAGAACAATTTTTGTAGTCATGCTACCTTGCAGTCATTCATAACTCAGAAGAACTCTGCATTTAGAAGGTCTATTTAAAATGTGCCTTCTTTGCTGAAGAGTTAGTTTTATGGTAAAAATCCAATAAAATTGTAGCTAAGCACTGAAAAAAAGTAAAGAATTAAGCTCAGCCTCCAGAAATACTGATTTTATATATATTTGCTCTGGGGAAGATTGGTTTAAGAAGACCTATAGCCTGTTAATTGCCCTTTTATAAATTGCCTCCCTATATTTTTTGCCCTCTTTTCCCCTCCCTCCCTCCTTTATTCCCTCTGTCTCTTCCCTTTCCCCTCCCTCCCTCCCTTCATTCCTTTCTTCCTTCTCCTTTTCTTCCTTTTTTTTATTGTTGTTCTGGGGGAACTTTTCTAATATCCTGGATTTTAAGACTTTGATATATATGCTGCAAATACTTTCTCTCAACCTGTCTTAACTTTCTTTACTGTGTCGTTTATATTATGGAACTATTTAACTTTTAAGTAGTTATTATTTTCCTTTTAACACCCAGGTTTTGTCTTGCTTAGAAAGTCTGTTCCTACCCCTAGATTCGAAAAATATCCTCACATTTTTTTCTTCTGATACTTAGTAATTTTATTTTTGGTTTAAAATGTCAAGTCAAGTAGAACTTATTTTTGTTTATAATTTGAAGTAAGGGAGTTTCATTTTACCCTAAATGTGTAGCAAATTTTCCCAGACTATTTATTAAGTCATTCACTTTTTTCCTGCTGAAATTATGATATTTAAGTTGATAAGTTTTATGTGTTGGGGAGGTGTCAAATGGGCAGTTTCCAGTTGGAATGTGGGATTGGGTAGAGCTTTGACACAACGTCTGTGTCTTTCCGACTCCCATGTGACTTCAGGGCAAAGAGGCAGAGGAATGGAGCTCAGAGCTTTTAGAGAATATGGGCCAGAAACAGGAAGGAGTCAGGACCTGATAACGGGAACCAGCGGACAGTGAACGCAGTGGAGGGCCACTGGGGCCGGAGCAGCCGAGAGATTTCAGGAGGTGAGCTTCAGAGAGCCTCGGCATAAATGGATCCAGGGTGTGGTCAGCTCAGGGAAAGACAGACAACCAGGGCTGAGCACAGGCCAGGCCAGGCCAGGCAGGGCCCCCGGAGAATCACGTTTTAGTATCTGCATATTGAGAAAGTTTGACCTTGAGTGTGAAATGTAGACAAGCAACCCAAATAAAAAATAGGCCTGATTGGGGCCAAAAACAAAACAGATTGATGAAAATAATCTCAAGAGTAGGAATGGACACAACCTACAAGAAGGAGACTGAACCCACCAAGTGTGGCGCTTGAGTCAAATCAAACGATTAGAGGCTGCCAAGTCGGCCCAAACCCCAAGAGCGTGGGAATCTGGGAGGGCACCGAGGGCTGGGCTGAGAGCCTCTTTTCAAGGAAGTCTTTCCAGGATGCTGTACTTCTGTCTTGCCACCTTGCAGGCCTTACAGTGAGACCATGAAGTCCCTGGCACTCTCCCTGCCGGACCCGTGGCCGATGTTGATATCTGCTCGGCCGGCCTCACAGGTGTGCGCGCTGTGCAGTCGCTTAGGGCCTCCCCTGCGCAGAAGGTCCTGGCTTGGTTTAATGCCCTGCTGTTACCATCTTAAAATTCTTAATGGTTTTTGAACAAAGGCCGCACATGTTCATTTTGCACCGCTTTGTAATTACATGATTTAAAACTCTGTGCTTTTCTCTTCCTTTTTATTAAAAACAAGAATGTCAGAAATTGCCCCTTTAAAACTGTAAAACAAGAAGGCATTAAACTCTTAATATTTCAGGTCAAATTTGACACTGTCTCTGGACATGCAGGTCTGGGTATTGGTGGGCCTTAGCCCCTTTCCTGCTGAGCCCAGAACATGCTTCTAGTCACCTAGCATAGGTCTCTAGGGGGCCTCTGCCACAAGGCAGGGCCAACGCCAAATGACATGCAGTTGCCTTTGATGAATGGGACTCTCCACCACTGCTTTATGTAAACAGCAGGTCCTGATATATGAAATGTGGCTTCAAAGCAACTTAAAGAAATGAAGGGTCAAGGATAGAATATGTGATGAGATTCTGATACCATGGAGCCTCCAGCCCCATGGCTTGCTGTGCTTGGGCTGTGTTCTCTGTCCTGGAAGGGTCCACAGAGAGGGCAGGCTGCCAGCAGGAGGCCTGCCTGCTCCACCAGACTGATGACACTTATTCCACTTGGTTCCCAGAACTAAGAGGTCAGGGGCCATGAAGGACTAGTTGCAGGAGAACTCTCTGTCTTAATTTAAGGCATGCTCTGTGGAGTGGGGCTGTTGGGCAGCCTTTCCAATTTATCCACCCATCCCTGGGATCTCTTGGGATTGAGAAACTGAGTTTCTCCAGGGTTCTTCTCTCACCACTCATATCCTGCAACCTTAGGGTCCTCCCTGTACTGGGTATCAGCCTGGTCTCAGCATTCAGGGACTCAGAGAGAATAATCAGAGGTGCATTTCTATCACTGTGAGGACCTTAGGCTCAGGCCAATAATGTAAAGAAGCACCCTACCTGGGAGAAACTTACTGTCTAGTTGTAAAGAAAGCACCAGGGGGCCATGATGCCCATCCCACCCATGTTCCCACCCAAACTCTCCTAAACCCACAGCTCCCAAACAAGTTCTGGATTGTACAGATCAGGCTCCAGCCAAGGTGAGCTCACTGAGGTCAGAGCTTACAGAATCTGGGAGCTCAACCAACATGATGGCTTCAGAGATGAAATACCCAGCACATCCAGCTGCAGTTGCCCCATAAGGAGCAGAAAGTTTGCTATCACTTCCTCTGTACTGTTTTTATGTTCAGGTGACCTGTGGGTCAGTTGTTCGTAATGTGGTGATGCCTGTAAAGGGAGCACTGGAGGTCAGGGGGTGCCAGTGAGTGGAGGAGACCATTATAAATACTGTGTCCCCAAAGGGTGTACAGTCAAATAAATATAGCATGGGAAAAGCCAGGTTGACCCAAGAGAAACATCTTTTTCTAAAAATCTGCAAGACTTCTCAGAGCCTTTGGTCGTGCATTTTAAATATCCAAATATGTGTTTTGAAAATATGTGAAACAGCATAACATTTGTGGTATATGTTAAATGTAGATGATGGTGGAACTTTCTGTTTTTTTCTTAGAGAATTTCATGGGACCAGGCTTCCAAAAAACACAAATGTTTTGAGGACAAAACATATGAATATTGTAGAAGATTAGAAGCGATAAATTACTATAGGCAGAAGATAAGTGACATTGGATTGAAATTTTTAAAATGGGAAAATAATTACAAATGGAGGAGTGGCATGGTCAGAGGCGGAGTGCAGGTGCCTGTGGCACATCTGGGCTCACTGGCTCAGGCAAGCTGCGGTGGAGCAGAAGGCTGGGGACATGTGTGTAGAGTCCCAACTGTCAGATCACAGTGTTGGGTTGGGTCTTTCACCTGCAGGGGCGTGTGTGTGTGTGTGTGTGTGTGTGTGTGTGTGTGTGTGTGTGTCTGTGCACATGTGTGTGTGTGCTGCTTAGAGTTTTTGAGCAAAGTTTGGAATGATCAATGTGCAGCTTTAGAATAATGACTTGGTGGGAAGAATTGAAGTGAGGAAACACTGGAGATTTGTAGCCCTCCTAGAAGTCACTTTCAGCATGGATCTTGGTGTGGCCTGGAAGGAAAGGACCTGGCTTGTGGGAGGCAGCAGCAGAATGGACACATGAGAGCCACAATCAAGACAGACGTGGCAGGGTGAATAACTGGCTGAATTGTGAAACTCTAGGCTGCCCATATCACACTGACATTTTGAGAATTCAGAACAGATGGCAACACCTGGGCCCCTGCCTGTGCAGATGGGCCAGAAAAACGTGACATGTGTGAAGGTGGGCATGGGGTGGCAGCAGTTTCTCTCGCCCAAGCATTAAGAGTGTTACAGAGCAGAACTGTTATTACGGAATTGGTGAAGCACCTCTGGGGGACTCCCTCTCCTTCCCCCAAGTATATGTTGGCTAAGTAGCCACCAATAACAAATGGAGACACCTGCATGCTCCTGCAGCCACTGCAGTGTGGCCAGCTCCTCTGCTGGGCTATACACGTGGAGATCGTGTAAGTGACCAGGGCCAATGTCTCTGGCAGCCATGGAGAAACAGGTGGCCCAGCCCGGCCCTTTCACTGCCCGTGATGGACAGCTTGCCATCGCTGGTCAATAGCTGCACTCCCAGATAGTATTAGGTAATATATAATTAATAAAGAATATTCCAGTTGATCTGGTTCTTTTAAAACAAGGAAACTTCTTGCTATTTGGTACCCACAAATTCCACTACTCCCTGAATTGTATGTCCTGAAATCTCACAAATTTGCATGCTGACATTGTTAATAAAAGAACAGGAGATAATTTAAACAGCCCTGTGGTTTGGAAGTCACAGGTTCTGCTGCTTCATGTTCATGCACGAGACTAAGAGCCTTTGAAGAAGATCACTTCCTAGACCAAGGCTTTATGTTTGGATTAAATGCAGCTCCTCCAGATCATCTCCCGAGGAGATTCAGCCAGCCTCTGTTCTCTCTACTATCCCCGTCTTCTTGCCTCATCCCATGCACACATTTATATGTGTTCACATTTATGCATGGACATGCTCTAGTGTGCCCTCTAGTGCAGACATTTTATGCATGAAACTTTAACCCCTCTTGCATCAAGGCATATAAGCAGAAGAGATGAGTGGAAAGATTTTAGGGCTTGGAAGGGCAAACGTGATAGTCACTGTACATTATAAAGAACACCAAATGACAGTGTGCTTTGGAATATACTACTAGGAATGTTTCTGCTTTGCAATTGGAAAGTAATGACATTGAAAAGAAGTGAAAAAAATCACAGGTATATAATTCAGCACCAAATTGATGAGGACACAGAGGTGAACTAGAAAGGCATCCCAGCGGAAACCACTTACAGCCCCATAAAAGCAAGATCTAAGCAATGGGGATATAAAAAAGGAAGGGAAATTGATGAAGATGACTTGGGGTGACGTGACCTGGAGTTTAGGGAGGGACAGGGACTTGCCTTGGACTCACTATGGGTGCTCATGAAGGAGGCAGCATTTGGACAAGGCCCTGAGAGGCAGGTGGATTTGGATGTGCAGTGGTGGTCCGGGTGTGTGGAGTGGGGGTCAGCATGTGCAAAGGCATGGAGGTCAGCAAACCAAGGCTGAGAGCACAAGAGGTTCGCTGTGTGTCTTCCAGCTGCCCAGTGAGCACATGGAGGTAAAGGTGCACAACTTGGTAAGCGACAGGAGTTTGTGTGGATCAGGCCTGCTGTGACATAAATATGCAAATGATGTGGTCCCTCGTGGTAGCACCCTCAGGATGACGCACTCTTCTACCAAAACATGGCTGAAAATTTTTGGTGTGTGGGGGTGTACCCTGGGAGCCCATTTAGAAGCTACAGTGAAAAGAGCCCTCATTGCTTCAGCTTTGAGCCATCTGGGCCCTCCCACCTGGCTCATTTCACCTGACAGTTTCTAAAACTTCTCACAAGGAATTTGTCGGTTTATTACACATCCATAGAATGCCCTGAAGAGCTATTCCAAAAGAAGAGCTTGAAAGTCGAACGCTAAGCAGAAAAACAGTGACTTCCAAACCACAGGGTTTGTTCGAATTATCAACTTAGTCCTTTATTAACAACTTCAAGGTGCAAATTTGTGAGATTCCAGACAGGCAGTTCAATGAGCAGCTGGATTTTGCTGGTTCCCAAGAGCAAGGAAAATTCCCTTGTTTTAAAAAGCCAGATCCATTTGGAATAGTCTTTCTTCCCCACATATTACAGCATGAACGTGACTCTAAAGTACCTGCCGAGGGTCTTTCTTTTTGTGACGGTGGGCGCTGTTCCCCACTGTCGTGGACTTCTCACAGCGCTCAGTGTGCATTCGGTTGCTTCTCTCCATAACGCCTCTCAGCTAACTGTGCTGTTTCTGTGCTCCTGGGTTGTTAATGTTCAAGTCTTGGCTCTATACCATTTTCCTTATCATTTAGGATTCCACTGGGAAGACATCACTAAGTTGTGAAATCAAACTTCATGAGTTGGCTGAGATCATAGGGTTGGGTGTCCTCTGAGCACTTGCAGGCTGGGGGAAGACAGAAAACCTGGACAACTTGCAATTGTTTGCAACAAAGTGGAAAAACTAAAGTAGTTTTGATATGTGCATTAGTTTGCTTGGACTGCTATAACGAAATACTACTTGGTGGCTTAAACAACAGAAATTTCTTTTCTTACAGTCCTGGAGGCTGGAAGTGCAAAAGGAAGGTGTCGGCAAGATCGTTTTTTTCTGAGAGCTCTCTCCTTGGCTTGCAGATGGCAGCCTGCTCCTGGCACAGTCTTTTCTCTGTACGTGCTCATGTCTGTGTCCTGATTTCCTTTTCCTAGTAGGGCCAGTCAAATTGGATTAGGGCCTAAAGTAATTATCTCATTTTACTTTACTTCTTTAAAGGCCATATGTCCAAATACAGTCACATTCTGGGGTGCTAGAGGTTAAGATTTCAATATATAAATTTGCAGGGGACACATCTCCACCCATAACAATTTGTTTTTCGTAATACGTTTAAAATACCCATTTCTGGGCTGGATGCAGTGGCTCATGCCTATAATCCCAGCACTGTGGGAGGATCACTTGAGCCCAGGAGTTTGAGACCAGCCTGGGCAACATAGCCAGACTCTATCTATAAAAAAAAATACACACACACACAAACTTGGCCAGATACAGCGGTGCACACCTGTAGTCCTAGCTGCTTGGGGGACTGAGGTGGGAGGGTCGCTTGAGCCCAGAAGTTTGAGGTTACAGTGAGCTATGATCATGCCACTGCCCTCCAGCCTGGGCAACAAAGCAAGACTGTGTTACTTAAAAAATAAAATAAAACAAAAAGACCCACTTCCATTTATTTCACCCATGGATAAATTGTGTAGCAAGTGGTTAGGTGAAATGTGAAATGTCTGGCCAATTATTGTCATCATGCTCAATTATAGAGACACAGTATGCTCCCCTTTGCATTCTTCATTGCTGATTCTGTGCTTTACATCTGGCAGCTACAAAAATTTAGTATTTTGCTAGCAGGTGCATCAAATCTATTTTTGGTTTCAAACAATACACTTTTTGTTTTCAGCGATTCTGACCAGTAGTCAACAATTGCAAGTATGTGGAATGTGATTCTCCTGCTTTGGGAACAAGGGAGCTCCCAGTTTTGTGGGCAGGATCCGACATTCCCATCATAAGGGCGGCCTCACCTGTCTGTACCTCTGACACCTCAGTCAGAGCCCTTGGAGTCGGCTAGGCCAGTTTTGGCCCTCCTTACTGAGACCTAGTCATTCTGTAGACATACTTCATTCTCCCAGGCTTGGGCTTCTGGTTCAACCTGTGGCTCTGTCATTATCACCAGAAGATATCCATCTGGCCCACCTTCTGTGGCTTTTTTCCCATGCACCTTTCAGACTAAATTGTATACGCTCATCCTCCAAAGGGTTGGCTGTCTTTGGTGGTATTTTGGCCTGAGTTCTGCCTTGGATTTATGTTTTTTGTTACATATATATATATATATATATATATATTTTTTTTTTTTTTTTTTTTTTTTTTTTTTTTTGAGATGGAGTCTTACTCTGTTGCCCAGGCTGGAGTACAGTGGTGTGATCTAGATTCACTGCTACCTCTGCCTCCTGGGTTCAAGTGATTCTCCTGTCTCAGCCTCCAGAGTAGCTGGGATTACAGGCATGCACCGTCATGCCTGGCTAATTTTTGTATTTTCAGTAGAGACGGGGTTTCACCATGTTGGCCAGGTTGGTCTCAAACTCCTGATCTCAGGCGATCCACTCGCCTAGGCCTCCCAAAGTGCTGGGATTACAGGCGTGAGCCTACCGTGCCCAGCCTTATTTCATAATTTTTGATCGTAATTCCACCCACATGTTCTATTCATGTGAAATTTACTAAGGTGAGACCAAGTGGAGATAAAAACTATCTAAACGAAAAACTTAGGTCTCTCTTTCAGACTTTTTTTTGGTTTTATGGTGGTAAATACAACCCACTTGGCCTTTCCCCTGAGACTACTGGTTCTTTTGTCACTGGAGTCCCAGAGATCAGGGTTTGAACTAGCCCACCACTTACTGGTCATGTAACTTTGGGCAATTCAGTTTGCATCCCTAAGCCTCAATGTCTTCATCTGTAGGATGGAGGTAACCATAATGCCTGTCTCAGAGGCTGCTGCTAGTGTTAACTGTGGGACACAACACAGAGTGAGGCACAGACGAGGTATGCAGAAAACATCAGCTTCGTGGTTTTTTACTCTTCTGCACTTGCTGTAGCATTCTGCAAAACTATTATTCCTTTCCTAGACTCATGCCCAAAGTTACGGAGGACCCAGCAACCATCTCCTGCAGCCCCTGGAAACCTCTTGACTCTTCTGTGATGTCCCCAGTGATCCAGCAGCCCTGGCCTTCTTTTGATGGCTTGAACATTTGGTCTTCATTGAACAGTTTGTATATTGGAAACTTGCCAGCCTCCATCCACATTCCAACCTCCGTCTGCATCCCTCGGTACAAAATGGTTCAATCTGTCTACCTCCTTTCACATTCCACCAAGATATTCCAAGGCCCAGGGTTCCTTTGACCACCTCACACCTAACAAGTTCCCTCACTGTCTCTCACTCTCCCCTGAAGATTCTAAGCTGCCTCTGTCCTGCTAAAACTGTAGACCTGAGAATGAAGTAAGGTGCTTCAGGTGAGGCTTGATCAGCCCAGAGCAGAAAGGGGCCACCTCCTCCCACCCTATAAGACCCTATTAGTGCACCTTGGAGCCCTTTGCTTGGCTGGTGGCTACAATACACTTCTGTTAATGACGGAATTCCATAACATTTTTCCCCATTAATTTCTGCTACAAAACACAAAAGTCTTAGCCAGGTGTGGTGGTGCACACCTGTTGTCCCAGCTACTCAGGAGTCTGAGGTGAGAGGATCGCTGAGCCTGGGAGGCAGAGGTTACAGTGAGCCAAGATGGCGCCGTTGTACTCCAACCTGGGTGACAGAGGGAGACCCTGTCTCAAAAACAAAAAACAAAACAAAACAAAACAAAAACCAAATACACACACACACACACACACATACACACACACACATAAAAGTCTCATATTTTACACTTATGAAGTTAGGTGGGTTTTTTTTGTTTGTTTCTTTGTTTTGTTTTGTTTTGTTTTGTACCCAAAAGTACATAACCTACTACTACCTACCTTTTTGGTTTTTTTTTTTTTTTGAGATGGAGTCTTGCTCTGTCACCCAGGCTGGAGTGCAATGGCGCTATCTCAGCTTACTGCAACCTCTGCCTCCCAGGTTCAAGCGATTCTCCTGCCTCAGCCTCCCGAGTTGCTGGGATTACAGGCACCTGTCACCACACCTGGCTAGTTTTGTATTTTTAGTAGAGACAGGATTTCACTATGTTGGCCAGGCTGATTTTGAACTCCTGACCTCAGATGATCCACCCGCCTCAGCCTCCCAAAGTGCTGGGATTACAGGTGTGAGCCACTGCGCCCGGCCCCTTTCCTAAGGTTTTCTAAAGCATGTTTGTGGCAATCTATCTTAGAATCTTGTCAAAGGTAAATACAAGGTTCAGGGTTTACGGAGCCACCTTCTAGCCCTTTAAGCCACCAGAATTGCTGATGTCTTATGGACTCCTGAGAAGTTTGTGGTGGTGATTCTTAGAGCTCAGCTCCCGACTGCTGGACTGTCGGTCACTGGGCAGAAACAGAACTCAGTTCTCATCACCTGGATGCCGTTTCATACTCTCCACCCTCTCCTGGGCTTCAGTTGCCCCACACAATGTCAGTCTCTTTGTGATGGTTAGTTTTATGTGCCAACTTTGCTAGGGCATGGTACCCAGATATTTGGTCAAACATTATCCTGGATGTTTCTGTGAAGGCACTTTTTAGCAGATTAACATTTAAATCAGTAGATTTTGGCAAAGCAGAGTCATAATGTGGGTGGGCCTCATCCAGTCAGTTGAAGGCCTTAATAGAAAATGATGGGCTGGGCGCAGTGGCTCACGCCTGTAATCCCAGTGCTTTGGGAGGCCGAGGCAGGCGGATCATGAGGTCAGGAGATTGAGACCTTCCTGACTAACATGGTGAAACCCCGTCTCTACTAAAAATACAAAAAATTAGCCAGGCGTGGTGGCGGGCGCCTGTAGTCCCAGCTACTCGGGAGGCTGAGGCAGGAGAATGGCGTGAACCCAGGAGGCGGAGCTTGCAGTGAGCTGAGATGGCACCACTGCACTCCAGCCTGGGCGACAGAGTGAGACTCTGTCTCAAAAAAAAAAAAAAAAAAAAAAAAAGAAAAGAAAATGACGAACCTCCCCAAAGAAGATTGGATTCTGTCAGCTGACCCAAACTGCAACAGGGACTCCTGGGGTCTCTGCCTGCCAGCCTGCCCTGTGGATTTTGGACTTGCCAGCCCTTACCATTGTGGGAACCTAATCCTTAAACAACTCAATCTCCACTACCCTCCTCGCCCTTCTCTCTCTCTCTCTCTCACACACACACACACACACCCACACACACACACCCACCCACACACACCCACACACACACACACACACACACACACACACATCCAATTGATTCTGTTTCTTTGGAGAACTCTGACTAACACAGTCTCCTTCTCAGTATTAATGTTTTTTTCTTGGACAGAAAATATAGATAAAATAGAAGTCTAGAAGTTCTGTTTTCTCTCACGACCAAATTCTTCTATTTCTCTTTTAACCCATTCAGATTTGTGAGTCCCGGAGCGTGCTTTGCCAGGGCTCTGTTGAGTTCCACAGTGCATTGAGCACCACTATGTGGGAGGCACTGGCTCTCAACAGGCAGCAGGCACCTTTTCCCTAATGAACTGTCTTTCCAGGTTTCACTCAAGCCCTTTCTATCAGACTTCTACCATGCAGCTCTGCCAATTTCTTTAAGCATCTCTCCCTTCTTCCTGACTGTCCTGACCAGGAAACTCCCTAATCTCTAATATCTAAAGTCATGAAGCCAATTGCATCATTAGATGCGCAGTATATATAAATAACATTTACTTACAAGAATATTTTTATAGAAATGTATGTAAACATACTTACATACATTTCTATAAATACATTTAAATTCCTAAAGACTTGTTTGAGCAATTTAAAAAAAAAATGCTCCAGTTTAACTTCCTACTACAATTAGGAATTTGGGGCAGGGTGCATAATTGCCAGTGTACTCACAGTGACTGCAATTAGAATGTGCTGTGGAGTCAGAGGAACTGCCTGACAGTGCCGGGCAGTTGACCCTGGGCTGGGTTCAGAGCTCTCCAGTGGCCACTGAGAAGTAGGAGAGTGTTTCCTGCACAATCCTGATTTCTTGGGGGAGGAGGTACTACTGCACGCTGCTGGGAGGAGCCTCTGAAACTCTCCTGGGCCAGGTCTCCTCCCGTGCTTCCTCTCCCTGAGGCAGCCTCACCTCTTGACGCCTGTCCCCAGCACACCCTTCTGTAGCTTTCCTCTGACTCACCCCTCTGTGTGTCTTTCTCTCCAACTCGGGGTCCTGTCACCTAGGCCTCTCTCCTTTTTCCTAGGTGGCTGGCAGTTGCTCTTCCCTTGGTTTTCTCTAATTTGATCTCTTTCCCACCCTTCCAGTCTGCCACAGTCACCCTTGATATCCGCAGAATCCACCCTCCTTGGAAGGGATGAGGAAGGGGGTTTATATAACTCAATTTCATTTGTAATGTTTCAAATGGTATTTTTTTTCTGGGAATAATTGGCGCTGGATTCTGAACTATCTTTCCTGTTGCAAAGAATGAAATCCCTTCTAGGTGATGGGGCTTGATCTTTCTCTGTTGCAATAGCAGCGATGTCCAAAACAATCAATCAGAGGCATTTTCTACCGTACCTGAGCCATTCAGTGGTTTCGACCTCTGCTCCAGATTACCCAGGGTTATCCAGATGGGTTAATGCGAGTCCTTAGAATGGTGTTTCCCACCTTGAGAGTGGGTTGTTGGCTAGGTGTGTGGGGGAGCTGTTTGTCTACACCTCAGAAACGCTCACAACAGCAGGTTCCAGGGAAAGTCCCTGGGTGTCCAGTAAAAGCTGGGTCGCCCTCCCTAGGGGGCTCTGAGACTAGCAGAACTGATGGCCCCATAATTTGAGCACAGGTATGCATATTTCTTAGGGGTTGGTGGGCAGACTCATTCATGTTCCCATCCCAGGGGTGCAGGGGACCCTTCTCCCTTCCCCACATCAGCCCAGGGCCACAGAAGCTCCTCAGGAGGCAAGGAAGGGAATGGAGAGGACAAGAGTGCCTACAGAGTGGGAAGGAGACAAGCATTCTCAGGTATTTATCCAGGGTAAGGGCAAGGGCTTTTCTGCAGTCCAGGACATTAGAAGAGTCCTGAACCAAGAACTCCACCCCTGCCCCGATATCAGCTGTTTTTATTGACTGAGCTGTTGGAGAACAGTTTTGGTGTGCGGAAACAGTGAGATCCCTAACCCTACACCCCTGAACCCAGCAGATATATCCACACTGACCAGAAAGGACTGGCTAACCACAAGCCTGCCTGTGCATGGCAGGGAAAGGAAAGCCATTCTTGAGTAAATGGTGTTCAAAGGTTGGGCAATATATGTATATGGTGTTCTCCTGTGGACATAATTGTGCACAAGGGTCAGAAGAAATTGCTTTCATTGGGCAAGCTACTTAACCTGTCTAAAGCTTTGTTTTTTTATGATCTGTAAATGAAGACAGATCCTATCTCATGGCTCTGCACGTCACACAGCGATAGCAGACAGGTAATTAGGATGCAGGTAGTTAGCAGACAGCCTGGGTGTACTTTAGCTGTTCAAGTTTCCTCAACCTGGCCTCCTAGCCATGACCTTTCACAGAGGTGCAAATCATCTATGAGTTTGCACAGAATCCCCTGCAAGGAAATATGTTCTTGTTCTTGACTTACATTTGAGTTGGTTGGTCTTACAGTTAAGGCGGAGGTCATCACTCTTAATAAAGGCCATTTTAAGTGGAGTGACAAGTCACTAAGGGACTTGTTGGCATTGTTTACTTCTTATCCAGGGCTTTCCAAGAAGGGACAGTGTGTCTGAGTTTTTATCTTATGAAGGTTTCCCACCTGCAGTTTAGTTTACTATTATTCTAAGGGCTGTTTATAAATGAACTAGCTTGTCTTTGCACTCAGGGTAATTCACAGATTTGTCAGTGACTTCATTGCAGCTGTGAGCTTTACACGAACCTTGCAATCCGCCTTGAAAAATGAAACTGAGTATAAGTGGGGACCAAGGAAGAATGTTTTTGAGGGAAATAGAAATTACCATCCTAAAAATGGTTCCTTCTGTGTGTCTGCTGATAGAAACCCTTGACCTCTTTAGAAACAACCGCAAAATTATTCACTACAATTATCTGAATCTCATAAATAAAATAATGATTACAGCTGCATGGAATTATTCAGGTCTAAATTCATATAAACATATCCCTAACAAATTTATTTATCATGACAGGAAAGGAAAGCATAGCTTTGTGCACCCCATCCCACACCCTCCACCCCCTACAAATTTTACTAACACTGTTTCTGGGTTCAGAATTTTTTTGCCTGAGTTGGTACCTCAAATCACTTGAGTTAAACTGCAAATGAATCACACATAATGCAGATAAAATGACTTCATGCCCTAATTTCTAGAACGTGACCTGAATGTGAACTAGACATTCGTTTTCCTAAACCCCATGAGACCCAGGTATTCTTGACATGTGTAGAGAGGATTGAAGGGGCCCGAGGCTGTCTGTCCTCTCTCCGTGGGCCTGGCTCTCCTTGGACCAAATCGAATGCATGGGAACACACCCCCCAGTTGTCTTTTTCCTTCGGTTTATATAATTCCTGGCATGTGCCTTTCAACACTCCGTTTATGTTAGAAGTTTGGTATTAGCCTCGGGGCTTTACTCTTGACACTGCTACTAATTCTCTACTTTATATTCGTGATTGCCCTTCTGAAAGGAGAATCTTGTTTCAAAATTGCACCTGGGCATTTTAAAGTAAATAGGATGCAAATCCTTAGTTGGCCTCTTGTGTACATTAACTTCAGAGTGAAGAATGAATATGTAAGACAGTGATGGGGGATGGGGAGTTGAGCAAGGAAAATAATTTGCATAATGGTGTTTGCTCCCTGGTGAAACTGAAACCCAGCCTGTGTGGGTGGGGCCTTGTTTCCAAACGTCAGCGCTGCTGCCCACGAAGGCCTGCACCAACGCACGGTGCCCTCCGGGCCGCCCACAGAGGCCGGCGTCTGGCCAGGAGCAGGGGCTGGGGACAGCAAGTGTGAAACCAGCTGAAGCACCTGCAGCTCAGGCGGGCTGCAGGCTCCCTGCTCTCCCCCTGTGAAGAAGCACACATTGTTCTTTCTTCCCGCACATTTGAATCTCTCAGTGGGGTCTCATTTTCTGTGACATGGCAAACCTCAAAAAATGGGAGTAAATCATTTCTAAAGAGCTTAGCTAGGCATGGTGGCTCACGCCTGTAATCCCAGCACTTTGGAAGGTCGAAGTGGGATGATTGCTTGAGCCCAGAAGTTTGAGACCGGCCTGGGCAACATAGTGAGACCTCATCTCCACACACACACATGCGCGTACACACACACGAGCGCGCATGTGTGTGCACACACACACAAATTAGCCAGGTGTGGTGGCATGGTAATTCCAGCTACTCTGGGGGCTGAGGTTGGGAGGATGGTTTGAGCCAGGGAGGTCGAGGTTGCAGTGAGCTGTGATGGCACTGCTGCCCTCCAGCCTGGGTGACACAGTGAGATCTTATCTCAAAAAAAATAAAAAAATCAAAAATAAAGAGCTCCTGATTTCCATCCCCCACCGAGAATCATTTTCTGAGTCAGCTGGAGTGTTTCAGAGCCCAACACCCAAGGAGCAGTGCAGGGATGGTGCCCAGTTACAGGGGACAACTCAGCTCTGAATGTTACAAAGGGCACTTCATGGACCACCACCTTTTCTCTGCTTGCTCTGTACCCCTAAAGTACTACAAGGCATTTTTGGTTAATAATAATTTGAATACTATGTGATCTTGTAGATTCTACTGCGTTTGGCTAGCTAATGTCTCTAAGTAGCAAGATGATTTATTTTTTCTGGACAATACCAGGACTATATGCTGATACAGGACTGGCTTGCTCTAAGGATCAGATTTTCCAGTGTAAAATATATACTCCTTATAGGGTTGTAAGAGCAGAAGCCCTTCATAGCCTGTTTCTTTTTGCTCTCTCTTCAGCCAGCAGTTGGCCTGGATCTTTGCTGGTAGACACAGGGAATGTTCTCCTTGACGAGTGGTTCCCACCCTGGCAGCCTCAGATCCCACCATGTTGGCAGGGATGCTGAAATCCACCTGCCTATCAGCCTTTGTAAATAACAAAAATCACAAGTGGCTCTAGCATTTATGTATTCTATGATATTGGGACTCGTGATATAAATAATACAAATGCTTTTACATGCATAATTCAATTTATACTATGTTTTATCTTTAATTACTGGATAATAAAAACATAACTACTCTCAGGAAGTGTGGGGGATTGTGACTCAGGCTAAGGTGAGCCTCACAGCCTGGAGGCTGGCTTTAGTGCTGGCTGGGAGAGCTGCAAGGAGATGGCATATGCTGCCGATGAAGGTGTTCTCCAGGAATTTTCAGTTAGAAGTTTTGATCATTGTTCATTTGGCCTCAGGATGAACATCATGGTACTGCTCTTCATTCTCTATAATTAATATACTTTTCACCGTCAACTTTGCATTTGAAAGTATTTATTTTATGGGAAACAGTGAAAAGTAGATAATTAGCACATGTGCAAATCTGTTTGGCATTTGTGGGGTGTTTGCCCTGAAAACCTATGGATGAAGCCCAAAGACAGGAGCTGGGGGGTTTCATTTAGTTAACTTAAAAGTTTTAATTGGTCTGTGTTACTCTTCTTGTTACATATTTTTTTAAGGCCCTAAGGTGAGCAAGTTACATTTTAAAATAAGGAGGAAAAGCCAGTTTTAAAAGTAGAATTGAGTCATTGCATGTGTTTTTTTTCCCACAAACATTAGCTGTGTGATTATTATGTCCCAGGCACCTAAGGAATAGTGCCCTTGTCCTGGGGAAGTTCACAGTTTGGAAGGGGAGATAGTTGGGAAAGGTAATGTGAATATTAACACTCGTGTTTCCTGGGGGCCAAAATGTTCCAGCTTCTGGGCCAGGTTAATTATCTGAATTATCTTATTTCATCCTTACATTGGGAACCAGATGTCCCCAATGCCCTTCAGTGATTTTTTTGGTGGCTTTGAGGAAAAATGAGGCCCAGAGAGGTTATGTAACTTGTCCAAAGTCACACAGCAGGTAGATTTAAAGTCAAACAGTTAGCTCCCAATGTGCACACTCTTAATTACCATGCCACTAAACCAGACTCTGAACAAAGCACTCTGGGAGCACAGAGAAGACCTCTGAGGGTCTGTCTGTGTGAGTCTAGGGCATGTTCAAAGTTAAGAGCTGATGTTTAGCTCAGCAGGAAAGGGCTGGGGCACAGTGTTGGATACACATATCAGGTGGCATTTATTGCTGATGACAGTAAAAGAAAAGTGTAAAACAAGATAATTTGTTTACATTTCAAGATACATTAAGTTTTTTTTTTTTTTTTTTTTTGAGATAAGAGTCTTGCTCGGTTGCCCAGGCTGGAGTGCAGTGGCGCAATCTCAGCTCACTGCAACCTCCGCCTCTCGGGTTCAAGTGATTCTCGTGCCTCAGCCTCCCGAATAGCTGGGACTACAGGCGTGTACCACCACGCCCGGCTAATTTTTGTATTTTTAGTAGAGATGGGGTTTTACCATATTGGTCAGTCTGGTCTTGAACTCCTGGCCTCAAGTGGTCCACCCACCTCGGTCTCCCAAAGTGCTGGGATTACAGGCGTGAGCCACTGTGCCCGGCCTCAAGATGCATTAAGTTTTAAAGGCCCCTGGTTATTTCTCGTCTTCTGAGATGTCATTCCAGTGTGACATGGTTAACATCAGTGAGGATGGCATTCCTGTCCCACACAGTAAAATGTCACCTCTCACACATGTAACTCTGGGTGTAAAGTGAGTAAAAATATGAGACTTAGAAGAATATTTCATCATGGTATGCTGACTGGGGATTTCACTTACTGATACTAGAAAGGTTTTGCATTTCAGAACACGATGAAATAGGTAATATTTATCTGAAAGACGCAGACAAGTGGTGGAGGAACCAGACACCCCCAGTGCCATTTGCTGGCTTTTATCAGACAGAAAGCAGAAAGGAGAAACATGTTTTATCCCATGAGAAGGAAATATTGGCTTGATGCCTACCATGCCCAGCCTTGCACTAGACATCCAGGTAGCTGCTCCATGGAGAAGTTCACAGGGTGGTCAGGATAGCACAGGGAGGAGGTAATACGCTTGAGGGAAGTCCAGGAGGGACTCAGGGAGTGTAAGCCAGTAGGGGGGTGCTCCTGAGAAAGGGAATGAGGCTGTGCCTTGAAAGACTGATTAGATAGAGGAGGAAGTGAAGCATCAGAGGCTGCCCAACAGAGGCAGGAGCTGGGGCTGGGGTGGGCAAGGAGAAAATCACGCCATCCTCCTGTGTGGACAGTAGAGTTTCATCTGCTGAGGGCAGAGGCCATGTTTTATCCATCTCTGTCCCCTTCTATGTCCCTTTTTCTCCTCCCTTCCCCATTCCCTGGCATCATATTGGGACTTGTTAAGGGCTGAATTGTGTCCCATCCCAAATTCGTATGGTGCCACCCCAACTCCAGTACCTTGGAATGTGACCGTATTTGGAGAAAGGGTCTCTGAAGAGGTAATTAAGGTAAAATGAGGTCATATGGGTGGCCTCTAATTCAATATGACTTGTGTCCTTATAAAAGGAGATTAAGAGCACACCAACATGGCACACGTATACATATGTAACAAACCTGCACATTGTGCACATGTACCCTAGAACTTAAAGTATAATAAAAGAAAAAGAAAAAAAAAGGAGATTAGGATATAGACATACACAGAGGGAAGACCCACATGACAACATAGCAAGTAGGTGGTCATCTACAAGCCAAGGAGAGAGGGAGGCCTCAGAAGAAACCACCCTGCCAACAACTTGGTCTCAGACTTCCAGCCATCAGAGCTGTGAGGCAATACATTTCTGTTGTCAGTCTCTAATACTTTGTTATAGTAGCTCAAGCAAACTAATAATCCAGTGCTCAACATATTTTTGTTGAATAAAAGCACAAAGAGATTCATGAGAAGAGGGAAATGTTGCATACTTAGGGTAGGAGCAAACCACAGAGGTCTTTCTCAGCCTGGGCAAAGAATGTCAACTCTGTGTTGGAGCCAGTAGGGAGCTCTGTGGGTCCTCGAGCAGGAAAATCCCATGGCTTAAGCAGTGTTTCAGGAAGACTGGGATGTTAGGCTCCGGAGCTCTGAGCAAGTCAGATGGGACTGGGAGTCATAAGAAGGCTTGACTGTGGCTAGTGATAACCAATGAGCACTGGAAACATGGAGGGGAATCTTTCCTCCCTTTTATATCAGGGTTCTCTCCTAGAGGAGCAGGTGAGGACCTCTGATGGACCAGGAAATTGGAATTCTGCCTGGGAGGCAAGCCCATGGAGGCCCTGATCTGCTTGGACAGAGAGTAGCTCCCTTCACCTGTAAAATGAGAGTGAACGAGCTGGTGTCTAAGGAATTCAGAATCCACACCCATGGAGTTCCACAGGGTATGTGGGATTTTAGGGGGACCAGGGTGTCCCCAGTGCAAGAAGGAGGCTCCCACCAAGGGGCTGCAGCACTGCAGATAACCCCCAGGGGTATGAAAAGAGGCTGAACTGGGGGCCTCCACAGTCAGAATCCATCCATTGACCCAGGATGCCAGGAAGGGGGAGGCCCATGGGCAGCAGAGGCTCAACGAACTCCGTGGCCTGACTTGGCCACTAGGTTTTTTCAGCTCTTCAGCCACTGCCTGTAGGAGGCTAGCTGGCATTCCTTCCTTGGCCCTTAGCTTGCATGGATCGGGGTTTCACGTTAAATTCTAAGCCCAATAACATGGCTCTTTTTATTTAAACTCAGTGCTGCACAATGATGAATGAATGAATGAAAGATCAGGGCAGATGAACTGTCAAACCTCAGCAGTTGCCCTTATAGTTAGAGGTGTTTCTGTGAAGCAAATCAAAGCTTATAGTATCAAGAACTTTTTAAAAAAGTACACTTTGATCCAAGTTGGATGTTATTTCTAAGTGTACTCAGGGTGAACACCTCTTAAAACCCCTTATTATGTATGCTGAGCTATTCTGAACCTCAGTGAGAAATCAGTAATGTCAAGAAACCTATACATAATTATTTGTTATAATATAAAAATCCAGAGCTCTTCAAGCATTATTCTATCCTAGTTGGTCAGATTCTGCAGGAATCTGAGCCTGAAGGAAAATAAATTCCTTGAGTTGAAGAAATTTGTGTCTTGTAAAAAAGCTGAATGAGAAATAACGTTAAAAATGGAAGGAGGCCTAATGATGATATTATGCCATCTCTTGTCATTACTTAGTCCTCTGTTGTTTCAGTCATTTAATCTGGTTTTCTTTCTGGATGCTTTAACTTCCATCTTAATTTTCCTTATAATTGTTGTGCAATTATAAAAGACAATCTGAGGGACCCGCCTTGACAGCCTGGGGTAATATCACTGGGAGTAGGATCTCTCAGAATGCTAAGGAGCAGATGCACTAAGAGAGCTGCATTTCACTCCATTTTATTGGATCTTTTGGTATATACGTTTCTGTGACTTTAGTTCAATGGGATGGACTGTTGCATAATACTGAGGGCTATATGAAGGAGGAGTCGTCTACACTTGTAAAAACCTTCTTCTTTAGGGGTGGGTAGTGTATAATTGCAAAGGCATTTCTGATTTAATTAAGAGTTGTTTGGTTGGCCGGGCGTGGTGGCTCACGCTTGTAATCCCAGCACTTTGGGAGGCTGAGGTGGGAGGATCATGAGGTCAGGAGATCGAGACCATCCTGGCTAACACGGTGAAACCCCGTCTCTACTAAAAATACAAAAAATTAGCCAGGCGTGGTGTTGGGTGCCTGTAGTCCCAGCTACTTGGGAGGCTGAGGCAGGAGAATGGCGTGAACCCTGGAGGCGGAGCTTGCAGCGAGCCCAGATCGCGCCACCGCACTCCCGCCTGGGTGACAGAGTGAGACTCCGTCTCAAAAAAAAAAAAAAAAAAAAAAGAGTTTTTTGGTTACAAGTGACGGAAAACTCAATTCAAAGTGGTTTAAGCAAAATCCAGAGTTTTACCATCTCATGTAAGTGAACAATCTAGGAAAAGGGCGTCATACATACAGCTCAAAATGAAGTCAAGATATTTCAGATCTGTCTTCTCCTCCTGGCCCAGTTTTTAATGCTTTGACCCCATTCTCAAATAAACTCAACCCTCATGATCCCGAGGTGGCTGCCATTTGTCCTTTCAGGTCCAAATCCAGCAGGAAAAACTTTTGTCACAGCATTCCTGTAAAAGGTATGAGGTTCGCCCTGATTGGACCAGCCGAGGTCACATGCCTACACATGAGCCAATCACAGTGGATAAAGGACTGTGATGTACTCATTAATTTACCCGCCATTATCTCCACTCCTGTCCTGAGGGTGGAGTTATGAAGCTTGCTAATGGGGCACTAGGATGTCCACTAGGTTTTACTCAGTGACATAGGTGACCCACTAAATTTAAGCATATTGGTGTGCAAAGGAGGCATTTGTTGACTTGCAAGTAGACACCTCTCACTTATTTGTCACACTCGCTCTTCCTTTTGTAAGCTTCCTGGGAGAGGGATCTCAGTGGCTTTCAAGATCACCCCTTGCAAATTAGGCATCATGCCCATCATTCCATCCCCTGTGTGAGATGGCGGCAGAACAGTTCCTATTCAGACACCTGCCCTCATGCCTCTTCCCCCGTCCTCCCAGCAGCCCCAGCTCCTGGTTCCCAGCATCTAGCTCCTTCCTTATCAGCACAGGGAGTTGCTTTTTGTTTGTTTGTGTTTGAGAAAGACTTCTTATTTCGTGCATGCACATTTCCTTTCTGTGAAGCAGACTCGGGAGCTTTGCCTTTCTGACTTATTCTGTGCATCCTATCAGTGAAGTCAGTGAGTGGCTTCAAAAATGCTTGCTTTCTTTCTTTTTCTTTTCTTTTCTTTTTTTTTTTTTTTTGAGACGGAGTTTCGCTCTTGTTGCCCTGGCTGGAGTGCAGTGGTGCGACCTCGGCTCACCGCAACCTCCGCCTCCCGGGTTCAAGCTATTCTCTTGCCTCAGCCTCCCGAGTAGCTGGGATTACAGGCGCCTGCCACTGTGCCCAGCTAATTTTTGGTATTTTTAGTAGAGACAGGATTTCACCATGTTGGCCAGGCTGGTCTGGAACTCCTGACCTCAGGTGATCCTCCTGCCTCAGCCTCCCAAAGTGCTGGGATTACAGGCATGAGCCACCGCTCCCAGCATTTTGTTTGTTTGTTTGTTTGTTTGTTTTAGACAGAGTCTGGCTCTGTCACCTAGGCTGGAGTGTAGTGGCGTGATCTTGGCTCACTGCAACCTTCACCTCCTGGGTTCAAGCCACTCTCCTGCCTCAGCCTCCCAAGTAGCTGGGATTATAGTCACCCACCACCGTGCCCAGCTAATTTTTTTGTATTTTTAGTAGAGACTGGGTTTTGCCGTGTTGGCCAGGCTGATGTGGAACTCCTCACCTCAGGTGATCCACCCGCCTCGGTCTCACAAAGTGTTGGGATTACAGGCATGAGCCACCGCTCCTGACCCAAAATACCTTTTTCTTTTTTTTTTTTTTTTTGAGACGGAGTCTGGTTCTGTCGCCCAGGCAGGAGTGCAGTGGCTCGATCTGGGCTCACTGCAAGCTCCGCCTCCTGGGTTCACGCCATTCTCCTGCCTCAGCCTCCCGTGTAGCTGGGACTACAGGCGCCCGCCACCACACCTGGCTAATTTTTTTTTGTATTTTTAGTAGAGACGGGGTTTCACCGTGTGAGCCAGGATGGTCTCGATCTCCTGACCTCGTGATCCACCTGCCTCAGCCTCCCGAAGTGCTGGGATTACAGGTGTGAGCCACTGCTCCCGGCCCCAAAATACTTTCTGATGCTGATAAAATGTTTTGTCTACTCTTATGCCCAAGGAACAGTTCCTCCCTTAGCAGAAGTTAGTGGTTAAAGCTTCCTCTATGTTTGCCAGTCAAGAATGCCACAGGGCCAGCCTAAGTGTCCATGAGTGGATGAGTGGATAAAGAAATGCAGCACACACACGTATATACACAATGGAATACTATTCAGCTTTTAAAATGAGGAAATCCTGACATTTGCAACAACATGGATGAACCTGGAGGACATTATGTTAAGTGAAATAAATTAGGCACAGAAAGACAAACAACACATGATCTCACTTATACGTGATATAGAAAAAAGTTGAACTTACAGAAGTAGAGAGTCGAATGGTGGTTACCAGGCATTGGCAGGGATAGGGTAATGGGGAGATATTGTTCAAAGGATACAAAAGTTCAGATAGATAGGCGAAATAAACTTAAGAGATCTACTGTACAACATGTGACTCTAGTTAATAGCAATGTATTGTATTCTGAAATTATTGAGAGTAAATTTTAATTGTCTTCACCATAAAAGATAAGTATATGTGAATTAGCTCAATTGAGCCATTCCTTAATGCTTATTTCCAAACATCATGTTACACAGTAAATGTAATAGAGTTTTTGTCAATTAAAAAAATTACCAAAAAATAAAAAATGAATTCCATAGAGACGTTCTCTCCAGGAAGGGTCCCCTTCCTAGATCTGACTACTGGTTAGGGTTAATCAATGCCCCTTGGCAAAACAAAACCAACCCCACATTTCTTCATCTCCCATGTCCAAGACACATGCAGTGAGTTCTCAGTGTTTACTACCAGCACACAAATGATGGCTGCTTTATTATTTGGTGACCTTTGTTGTTTGCTGTGATTGTTCTGTTCAGTTTTAGTCCCTCACAGCACTTTCGGCCATTTAGAAAGACAGTATTTGTTCTGCTAGAGCATTTGCAATCTGTTTCTGATTAGCTTAACTGGTCTTGACCAGTGCTAAGTTCACACTTCAGCTTTGATTTATGCCGTCTCTATCTGCAGATATGTTTCTTGTTACACTATACAAGAGGAGGCCTCTTCTTATTGACTTCTTATTTTCATGTGAACGAGGTAATAGGTATCAGGAATAATTAGACAAGGCCATACGCGCTAATGTCATAGGAGACTGAGATATGGAGAGTAAATAATAACAAAATTCCTGATTACTAGGGCATAGAAAAAAAATCATAGGCAACTCCCCAAGTTGATAATCCCAAATGTCTAGGCGTCCTTCTCAAATAGGGAAACGTGACATTAAAACTACTCAAAATAAATGAGACTCAGTGGTATTTATAACCATAGATAAAAAAGAGCAAGGGTCCTGGGGAACTGTGCCAAGGCCCAGCCCTTTGATTCACAAGTATCCACAAAAACAGACTGTACGGGCTGCTTTCAAGAGAAAATGTGGCCATCAAGGTCAACACTGGAAGCCCTATGGCCACTCATTCATTCCATCTCATTGGCCCTGAGCCTTTCGAAAAGTAGGCAGAGAAGAAGCCCAAAGAACAACATGGCAGGCAGGTTAAGGAAGAAAGCAGAGTTCACAGACATCACTAACAATTTCGTAATGACCTCATGACTTCGCTGGAAGGATTCCAGTGGAGGCGTCACCAGCCCTTTGTCCACCTCTTAGGCTGAGAACCTCAAAGGTTGCCCACACCTTGACCACATACTTTCTTCCTTTTCTTACACAATCAAGCTCTGCACCAAACATTAGGGGGACATTTGCATTTTCATTATATTCATGCGTATTTCTAGCAAAATACAAATTCTTACAAGATGTTGACTTGTACAGTGTGGCAAGGAATACTGTCATACAGTTGTGCCAAAAACAAGCCCATTTACTTATTTTTTTAAAAATTAATTATATATAATTCTTATAAAATAACAAATTCCATTTATTTCCTCTTGATCTCTGTCATCAGAGACATTTGAAGGTCGGAGGTGGGTTCAATTGAAAGACATAATGCACTTGACAAGTTGTTGTATGTGTGCATTGTGAATAGGCCTTAACAGTGCATTCATTTGTTTTATTTTTTCCCATTTATACAGACTTTTGTTCTGCTCTTAGATAAAATACTAATAAACAGGAAGTTGAAAAAAAAATGTGGTGCAATTGTTCTGAATGTTGTTTTTCTTGCAAGGCTTTATGGGCTACACCACACCATCCTATTCAAAGCAGTCCCTGTAGGTGGTGGTGTTAATAAAGAAATGAGGCTGCCCAGGGCCGCCTGCCTGAGCCTCTCTGCAGCTGCTCACCTCCTGCTGAGGCCTCTGCCTTCAGAGCTAGTGGGGCCTGCTCACACATTCCAGTAGTTTCCTCTTTATTTGTCCTGAACCAAGTTGTAGAATTTAAAGGAGGTGAAGTAAGGCGATTTCTATGGAAAATATATTTTTCTTCTTTACTCCTCATGCTGAGTGCATAAGAATTTATTATTTCCCCTGAATGTTCAAAGTGGTGTGTGTGTGTGTGTAAAAGAACCAGGAGCAAACAATCTTAATAGGAATGTGCGATCTTGTGTTTATCTTTAGCACACTTAATTAGCTACAACCCGGGACTGTTGCCATTTGAACAAGTTGTTAAGAAAATCTGCCATGTTTTGCTCTTTTTTAAAAGGAATGACTTTAATAACCATAGCAACACTTACTCAGTTTTGTGATCCACTCCAAGATTATGGGAGCAAGAACAGATACTCCTGAAAGCAACCCTCACCTCCTCCCCCGCCCCCTGCCCTCAGCAAGTCCTGGCCTGTGTGAACTGAAGGGTTTGGAAGCTCTGGTTTCTAGGAGTGCCCAGAAGCTAGAAAGACTAGGGTGTACTAGTTATTGAGGGGCAGTTGTCAGTGGCAGTGTGGGGGCACCCCAGTTGTTATTCGAGGCACTGCATTGCTTTTTTGTCTCCTCTGTAAGCATCCTGCCTCAGTGTCAGGGCTTGCAGAACTAGGCCTGGAGTTATGCCCCCTACCCAACCAAGGCTTTGCCTTTTGCCCCCCACTATGGTGCCACCTACTTGGGTTTCCCACAGTTGGTAGTGCCAGGCAGGAAGCAGGAGTGCAGGTTGCAGGAAGGGAGAGCAGAGGAAACAGAAGTTGCTTAGGAGGGAGTTGGGCAGGCTCTGTCCCCAGCAGATCCAAGGGTCCCTGACAAAGAGAACACCTCACCTCCGCCCCTCCCCAGAGGCACACAGAATGCCCCCTCCCACCACCTCCAGGCTGTTAATTCACACCCACCCAGGCTGCCCCCAGGCTCCCCAGACCTGTGCCAGTCAAGCCTGGCCTGTGGCTGTGACACCTGCATTACCCCAGACGGTTGCCTGACCTAGGCCTGTCCTTCTATCTGCTTTGTTTTTATGTTGATTACTAGGTGAAGCACAGTGTTAAAAACGGGAAGAAAAGGCTAGGAATGCAGTTATGGGAGTGTGAGGCTGGGTTGGAATAGGTGGGAGAAAGTCCAGGGCTGAGTGTGTGGACCCTGCTCTAGGGATCTGACCGGCTCAAGCTCCCAGGCCATTAAACAAAGTTGTTAATGAAAAAAAAAAAAAAAAAAAAGGGAGAGAGTAAACAAATCTCTCCTCTGTTATTCTGCACCTGGAGAAAAGTAAACCCCTTGGGCATAATAGGCTGTCACCAATTAGACATCCGGGAAAGGCTTTTCTGGGTTTAGCCCTTTTGGGGAAGCATGGGGGTAGATGTAAGTGTGTGAACCTTCACCCAAGTTCTGGAGAAGGATTCCAGAGTGAAAGAGGTTTCCATGCTGAGTCTTGCATTTAAGGGACCTTCCATGGCATAGCTGCAAAGAAACCTGAATTGCCCAGGATTAACCACCTTTCCTTTAGACGGTGAGCAGTGTGTTTCACGAACACATTACACATTTTAGGGTTGTCTATGGAGGTATCGGCACTTTCATTACTATTTTTAACATTTTATTCTCTGTTCAGGGTTAAGAACTTCACCCACCTAAGTCAGCTCCTGATACAACATGGAATGTTCCAGCAATGAAATGTGAACTTAAGATATTTGGATTAAAACCCCAAAGTTGAGTCAGGTTTAAATATTCTGCAAGAAGCAGTGAGCTCCTTTTGTCTATTTGGGCACAGTTTTCGTGAATTATTTAGGCTTTTCTTAGATGCCTGAGCTCCGTGGTTAGACAGCAGATAAGTTATTTTTCCCTTTAATGCTGAGGCATTTTCACTGATTTCAGTCTTACTCATTAGAAAATTCTGTGCTCACCCACAGCTGCCAGGGTTTCTAGAACACAACACCCTACCTTCTCCTGTAGACATTTTAGTCCGTCCTCGCTCCTGCACTGTGGC